>NC_000007.14:46603878-46906908 GCF_000001405.40 Homo sapiens | reverse complement strand
GTGACTGTGACTGCACCATTTTATATTCCTACCAGCAACGTTTGAAGTTTCCAATTTCTCCACATGCTCAGCCAACACATTTTTTTTTTTTTTTTTTTTTTTTTGAGATGGAGTCTTGCTCTGTCACCAGGCTGGAGCGCAGTGGTGCGATCTCGGCTCCCTGCCACCTCCACCTCCTGGGTTCAAGCAATTCTCCTGCCTCAGCCTCCTGAGCTGGGACTACTGTACCCAGCTCAGCCCATGCCCAGCTAATTTTTGTATTTTTAGTAGAGATGAGGTTTTGCCATGTTGGCCAGGCTGGTCTCGAACACTTGACCTCAAGAGATCCGCCTGACTTAGTCTCCCAAAGTGCTGGCAGCATGAGCCACTGTGCCTGACCAACATTTTTTATTTTCATTAAAATAATTGTTATAGTCATCTTACTGGGTATGAAATTGTATCTCATTATGATTTTGATTTGCAATTCCCTAATCACGAATGATGCTGCACATGTTTTTATGAGTTTTTGGCCATTTGTATATCTTCTTTGAAGAAATGGCTATTCAAATCTGTGGCCCATATTTAACTGGGTTTTTGTTTTTTAAAACAAATATTACATTGTAAGAATTCTTTATGTATTCTAGATACTAGACTCTTATCAGCTATATGATTTACAGTTATTTTCCCCCATTCTGTGGATTGTCTTTTCCCTTTATTAATGGTGTTCTTTGAAGTGAAAGTTTTTAGCTTTGAGGAAATCTCTCTCTTTTTCGTTTGCTTGTTGGTGTGTGCATTTTATGTTGTATATAAGAAGCTATTGCCTAATCTAAGGTCACACAGTTTTATACCTGTTTCCTTCTAAGAGTTTAGCTCATATTTAAGTCTTTGATTTATTTTGAGATGATTTTTGCATCTGGTGTGATTTAGGGTTCAATTCATTCTTTTGCATGTCGATACGTCCAGTGTTGTCTCCATTTGTTGATAAGACTATTTTTTTCCTATTGAATTTCCTTGCCATCCTTGTCAAAAATCAGTTTACCATATATGTTTGGGTTTATTCTGTACTCTCAATCTATTTGATTAATCTATATGTCTATCCTTATGCCAGTACCACAGTGTCCTAATTATTTTAGGTTTGGAGTATGTTTCAAAATTGGGAAATCTCAGTTCTCCAACTTTGTTATTTTTTTCAAGACAGTTTTGGATATTCAAGATAACTAGTGTTTCAAAATGAATTTTAGAATTGATTTCTCCATCTCTGCAAAAATCACATTTGGAATTTTGATAGGGATTACATACTGAATCTGTAGATCAAATTGAGGATATTCCAATTTTAATAGTATTATGTCTTTCTGTCCATGAAATTAGTATGCCTCTCCATATTATTAGGTTTTCTTTGGTTTCTTTCAACATGTTTAGCAGTTTGCAGTGTACAAGTCTTACACTTTTTTTGGTTGCATTTAGTCATAACTATTTTATTATTTTGGGTGTTATTTTAAAATGATTTTTTTCTTAATTTTAATTTTAGATTATTTATTGCTAGTATATAGAAATTGGTTTTCATATATTTGTTTATCTTGCAACTTTGCTGAACTTGTTTTCTCTCTCTAATAGATTTTGTGTGTGTGTATGAAGGGGCTATGTGTGGATCCTTTAAGGTTTTCTATAGAAAAGATTATGTCATCTGCAAATAGTGATAATTTTATTTTTTTCAATCTGTGTGTGTGGAATCCTTTTATTTCTTTGTCTTGCCTAATTGCCCATGCTGGAAACTCTAGTACAGCATTGAACAGAAGTGGCAAGAGTAGACATCCTAAGAGATTAGACTTTTAGTCCTGATCTTAGAGGAAAGTTCTCAGTGTTTCACCATTAAGTATGATGTTTTCATGGGTTTTTCACACATGTGCTTCATTAGGTTGAAGAAGTTCACTCCTAATCCTAGTTTGTGAGTGTTGTTATTATGAAAGGTTGTTGGATATTATCAAATGTTCTTTCTGCATCTATTGAGATGATTGTGAGTTTCTTTTTCCCCTTTATCCTGTTAATATAGTGTATACATTGATTACTTTTTGTATGTTGGAACAAACTTGCATTCATGTAATAAAACTCACTTGGTCATGATGTATAATCCTTTTAATATGTTGCTAGATTTTGAATTGGTTTGCTAGTATTTTGTTCAGGTTTATTTTATTTATTTATTTATTTATTTATTTATTTATTTATTTATTTATTCTGGAGATGGAGTCTTGCTCTGTCACCAGGCTGGAGTGCAGTGGTGCAATCTCAGCTCACTGCAACCTCCACCTCTGGGTTCAAGCAATTCTCCTGCCTCAGCCTCCTGAGCAGCTGGGACTACAGGTGCATGCTGCCATGCTCAGCTAATTTTTTGTATTTTAGTAGAGACGGGGATTCACCATGTTGCCCGGGCTGGTCTCGAACTCCTGAGGTCAGGCAATCCGCCCCCCTCAGCCTCCCAAAATGCTAGGATTGCAGGCGTGAGCCACTGCACCTGGCTCAGGTTTCTTTTTTAAAGTTTTGTTTAAACAGTTAATTATTTATGATATTTAAATAAGAACATATTATATATTTACCTTTCATTATTTGGAATCTACATGTAGATTCTCACCTGTTATTATTTTTCATGCCTACAGATCTTCTTTTAGTATTTCTTGTAGTTTGGGATGGCTAGGGATGATTTTTTTTTTTCAGCTTTTGTATATCTGAGAAAGACTTTATTTTACATTTGCTTTTAAAAGTTATTTTTGTTGGCCAAATAATTTTAGATTGACAGTGCTTTTCTTTCAATATTTTACATATATCACTTCACTGTCTTCTTGCATTTTTTTCTGATGATAAATCTGCTCTCATTTTATCTTTGTTCTTCCGTATATAATGTGGGATTTTTTTCTTTGCCTTTAGGAGTTTTGTATTCTCATTCTAAGCAATTCGTTTAAAACATTCTTGATGTGATTTATTTATATTTCTTTTGCTTGAGGTTCATTGATCTTTTTGAATAAGTGAGCTTACAGTTTTCATCAAATTTGGAAATTTTGGCCATTATTAATTCAAATAATTTTTCTGTCCCTTCTTTCTTGAAGATTCCAGATACACACATATTAGGTCATTTTGAAGTTGATCCACGGCTTGTTGATGGTCTATTTATTTATTTCTGAAATTATTTTTTTCTTTGTTGCATTTTAAGTATTTTCTCTTGCTATGTTGTCAAGTTCACAAATCTTTTTTCCTACAATATCTCATATGCCATTAATTCCATCATTGTATTTTACTTCATAGACATGTTAATTTTTATCTTTAGCAGTTTGATTTTTAAAATATTTTCCATTCTTCTACTTGTTTAATGGTTTTTCTAGTTTGCCCAGAGACTGCAGTTACAACTGTTTTGATGTCCTTGTCTGATCACTCTAACATCTGTGATAGTTCTGAACTGGCTTAAATTGATTAGTTTTTCTTCTCAAAATGGCTTAAATACTCATGTATATTTCCTCTCTCCTTCCTGGAAACACTTGATTGAATGTCGGGCATTGAGAATTTTACCTTTCTGGTGCTGAACGTTTTTGTATTTTCTTAAATATTATTGAGCTTTGTTCTGGAATTCCTTAGGTTACTTGGAAACACTTTGAAGCTTTTGGGACTTATCTTTAATGTTCGTTAGGCAGGTGATCAAGTTTGGATATTTGCCCTGCCCAAATCTCATGTGGAAATGTAATCCCTAGTGTTGGAGGTGAGGCCTGGAGGAGGTGTTTGGGTCATGGGGGCAGCTCCTTCATGGCTTAGTGCTGTACTTGTGATAGTGAGTTCTTGTGAGATCTGGTTGTTTAAAAGTGTCTGGTACTTCCCCTACCTCTCTCTCTCTCTTTTCCTGCTCTTGCCTTGTAATGTGCCTGCTCCTGCTTTGCCTCTTGCCATGAGTAAAACTCCATGAGGTCTCCCTTGAACCCGAGCAGATGGTAGTGTCATGCTTCTATACCCTGCCAAAATGTGAGCCAAGTATACCTCTGTTCTTTATAAAGTACTCAGCCTCTGGTGTTCTCTATAGCAATGCAAAGAATGGCTTAACACAGTAGGATGTTTAATATTTGAAAATCTCATTATAATGTCAATTATTCCTCAATCATAAGGTTAGATCCGTCTGAGTATCCTGCCCAATTCCCTTTGAATTATTAAGTTTTCCATTCTAGTTAGTGGGAACAGGCACCACTTTTAGCTGTGTGTAGGAGTACCAGACACTGTTTTCTCTCACCCTTTTATGTGATGGTTTAATGGTTCTGGTTTAATGGCCAGATGATTTAATGGCCGTGTTTTTGTGGCCTTCAGTATTTTCCATACCTGCATGAGTTTATCAGAACTCTCTTGTGTACTCAAAGATGACCCTCTGTGGTCTCTAGGGTTCTCTGTGCAGACCTCTAAGCCCTAATACCCACTCCTGGGAACTCTAACCACCTTGGTCTCTCTCTGTCTAGCACCATCTCAACCCTACTTGGCTCTGCATAGGTTCACTCCCTGGGACATGTCCCCAAAACTCTGTGACGGTTCTAGGTGGAAGCAGTTGCAAGGCTCACCTCTCGTGTTTCCTTTCAGGGGTTGCTGTTTGATAGGCAGTGTCTTGAAAGGTATTGTTTCAAATATCTTTTTCTCTGTTTGTTTTTTGTTTTGTAGTTGTTCAGCCAGAAAGGTAAATTTAATTCTTGTTGCTCAATCTTGACCTAAGTGGATGTCTCTCTTGTTTGCATTTTAACATAGGCTAATTCTTCAGAAAGATTGCAGATTACTCTATAACACTCATTTTCTTTCATTCTGTTCTCACAGTTCTGTAACACAAAAGATCCACATGTTCATCCCTCTCTTTATAGTGCATTGCCCTCCTTTATTACTCATCCCCAAATGTCTCTTTCCTGTTTGATTTTCCCTTACCACTGTGGTGTATAGTAATTTTCACTCTGCTTAATGATGTGTTCATCATCTTCAGTGAACTCTCAGCTCCTTGCAGGCACAGATTGTGTCTTATTCATCTCTAATATTTCTTCCACTTATGAACAGAGTTGGTTTTAGTAAATATTTTTTGAAAGGATGAATAAATGAATGGAAAGAAATTTGTGAAATTATGGTTATCAGACATTGGCTAGTATCTGAGGGACATTTTGGAGTGATAGTGCATTACACTCTGGGTGCTTCAAGAAGCAGACACCATCTCAAGAGAGATATAAAGGAGATTTTGGGAAAAGTATCTGTGAAAGGTAAAGAAATAGCAGGAGAAGAGGAGAGACTTCCTACCATGATGCCACCTGACACTTGTGACAGCAGAGAGGACAGGAAGGATTAGGTAGAAAGCTTCTGATTGAAATGCAGCTTTGAAAGAGTCTTGCCCAGGTTGATAGGAAGAACTGAAGCAAATAGTGCCTGTTGCAGGAGACTCGCATCAGACAGAAATGGCCTGGTGTTGGTAGCCCTGTGTCCAGTCTTTGGCTGGAGCAGCCCTGGGGAATCAGGGCCGCAGCAGGAACACAATGGCAGATCCAAAGACATTGCCTTGCAGGCTGCCAGTAAGCTGTGCTCCCCATGGCAGGTTTTCTTGAAGATCTGAGGGTGTAAAACTATGGCTACCACAGATGGGCAGGAGGTAGGACAGGGAGTAGCTGTGGTGATTCAAATGTCTGCTGCCCACTTCTGTGACTCCTCATGACAGAATCCTGCCAGCTGCTGGAGCCAACCATCGGGGCATTCATGGGCAGTCCATCTCTATAAGCATGCAGGTCTTGCAGTTGATCTATAACTGCCTGCAGCCCAGGTTCCAGCTGTCTCTCTAAATCTACTGGGCCAGGGCAAAGAGTCTCATTGCTTATTGAAGAATTTCTTTATGAGCCTCCTGCCTTGAGTGCTGGCAGATGTAATTTGTTGCCTTTATTATCTTGTAAAGATGTTAATCTCCAACCACAGCGAGGGGTTGCTTCTGTGATTGATTTTGCTTTGCTACTTGACAGGTTGAAGAGCTTGCAGAATCTCTGTGCCACGCTTGCCAAGGTTCTTGCATCCCTCATCTGTCATAGAGAAAGTGGTGGAGATAAAATTGTGCCAGCAGCACCTTGTCAAACCCCTGCTACAGGCATCCATTGTGAGTCATGGGATAAAGGATAAGAGAGCAGCCAGAGGCTTCAGCATCATATGTCTGAGTTCTGCAGAAAGGTTTGGAATCCACAGACTTTCACTACACTGTTGCCACTAAGTTGCACTCTGCCCCCAGCACAGGAAGATCTGGTCCAAAATGTACATAAAACAGCAAATGGGATATAGAAGTTGGGTTCTGCACTTGCAGACACTTCCTGTTTCGTACTATGGCCCTAGGCCAGCTCTTGTTCCTATCTGCATGTTCCGCTCACTCAGATCCATAGTCCCATCATGTGATTCTAGTTCTAGTCACCTGGTCTTCTCATAAATGGAGCTCTGGAGATGGGCACTGGGGTGACACTGTCTCTGAAGCCCGTGCTCTTGATCACTGTGTCTCATCCCATTGCCTCTGCCAATGGCTGGCTGGAGCAATGAATGCTATGAAGCTGACAAAATCACAATTCTGTACAGAGATCCACAGACACATACAGAAAACAAAAACTGAGGACATTTAGAAATAGAGGCTTAGCAAATATATCAAAGACTGTATTTGTTTCCTTTTGCTGCCATAACAAATATTTGCAAACGGAGCTGCTTAAAACAACATGCAACTCACTGTCCTGTAAATCAGAAGTCTGGGAGGAGCATGGCTCATCTGGGCTTCCAGGCTAAAATCCAGGTGTCAGAAGGACACTGTTTCTTTCTGGGGTCTCGGGATGATTCTGCCTCCAAGTTCCTGCAGGTTAGCAGAAGTCAGTTCCTTGTGGTTGTAGGATTGCGTCTCTGTTTCCTTGCTAGCTGTCAGCTGGAGGTGATCTTTAGCATCCAGGTGCCACCTGTGTTCTTTGGTTTGTGGCCTTCCTCCTCCAGGTTCAAAGCCAGCAATGATGGTGAAGTCCTCACATTTCAATTATTTTTTCCTTCTGCCGTAATTCTGCCATCTCTTCTTTTCCCAGATAGCTGGAGACAGTTCTTTGTGAGGGCTCATGGATTAGGTTAGGCATACCCAGAAAATCCAGGATAGTCTCTCAATTTTAAGGGCCATAACTTAACTCACATCTGCAAAGCCCATCTTGCCATGCACTGTGGTAATTCATACATTCTACAGAGTGGGATGTGGGCATCTTTGGGGGGAGGAGGAAAGAGATGGAGATGAAAGCACATACAGTCCTGGAGAATAAAAACAGGGAATTCGGAGGAGTTAGAAATGAGAACGCTGTTGCAGGTAGTGAAAGTGACATAAAGATTTTGCAACATAATTTAAACAAAAATATCCATTTTATTACCTTTGACTTGAAGACAACAGGCCCACAAGGTCCCACCTTTTCAGTCTTTTGGACCCTCGCACTTACATTGTGACTTGAATAAAATATTAATTACTTTTAGATATCAAAGGGTAGGTGAGTCCAATAAGTGTTGGCACTGAGACAATAAATGATGGATCTTTCTAAAGTTTTTCTAAGTTTTGTCTTCCTGCGTCAAATTGGAAGGGCTTGTATGGAATTGTTAACTGAGGGAAGTTGAAGCCAATGCACACATACCTGGGAGAACTGGGGGAGTTAGTCAGGGTAATCTTCTTGCAGCTTGACATTTTCCAGTGTTCAACCCACATCTGGCCTCGTGGAGTCATTATTAGGGGAAAGGGCATGCATAGAATGTGGGGCCAGAATATCCGAGTCAAATCTGGATGCTAGAGTTTATAGTTATGTTATCTGGAGCAAGCTACTTAGCCTACTGGGGAATTTGTTTTCTTAGCTGTAAAAAGGGGGTATCACATCTAAAAGATTATTATAAGTCCTCAATAAACAGCAGTATAACTTGTTGTTAAGCATCTTACACTTCTCATATTTTTCCAATTTTTCCTCTGGATTTTTTCCAAATGTGTAGGCCACAGAAGTTAGTTTAGTATTCATATCCATGTAATGGATCTTTTCACAGTAAATAATTGTCCAAGATTCCACAGAGTGGCCTCCAGCCTGAAAAGGATGGTGAAGGCCTGCCATGGAGGAAGAGTCGAAGGACTTGGGGAGTCTTACCTGCAGAAGAGAAGGCCCAGGGAGTCATGGGTTGAAGCATATGAAATTGATGATATTCAGCCATTTTGACCTAAAAATTGGTAATTTCATAAGACTCAACATAATAGATGAAAACTTTTCCAGGCATCCTGCAGCCTGTCACGGGAAACATAAACTGAGTCAGTATATACATCAACAAAATAAAGACCTATCAATTAATTAGTGGGAACTTGCTTGGAAACAGCCAATGTAAGGAAGGATTTCAGCACAGTTAAACAGTCTAAAGATGCAATAAGCTATTATTAGAGACACCATTTCCTGTCAGTGGAGATGTTCAAGAATAACCTGGACTACCACATGGTAATTCAATCCTCAAATATCAGTTTTTCACTTTACAAATTTTAAGCCCCCTCTCACCCCAAGATTTTGAATTTTAGACTTAAATAGTCTAAACAATTATTATTTAGCATTCAAATCCAGTGTATGTGATATATAAACTTTTAAAGGTTATTAATAGAATGTGGAAAGTTAATTAAATACATAATTTATCTTGTTTTACTAGGTTAATATTTATTCCCTATCTATTTCCAAAATAGCTAAGGTAGATTATTAACCTAAAATGTAAAAGTAGGAGTAAACACATCAGAAGAAATATAATTTATAATCATTTTGCATTACTTAAAAGTGCATCTCATAATTCTGTAAATTATAAAAATCATTTAGCTGATCCCTGACATGAAAGCCCATTGAGTTCCTTAGTTTTCTGCTAATTTAAAAAAATATATTTTTTAAGTATTTATTTTATTTTATAGAGATAGGATCTCCCTGTGTTGCCCAGACTAGTATCAAATTTCTGTCCTCAAGGGTTCCTCTTGCCTCAGCCTCCCAAAATGCTGAAAATACAGGTGTGAGATACTGTGTCTGGCCAGAAAACAAAACAAAACAAAAACAAAAACATAACCCCAAATTATTATTTTATATTATTAAAATATTCAGAAGCAGCATTGTTTTCTGAAATTCCTCATTATAATTATATATTCTGCCCAGTTTATAGGCCATTATAATGTAATGTAAATTTGTGGATTGGCTTTTTATTTTTCTTACAAAGAAAAACTTAAACATTTCCATTAAGTCAGTCTTCCTCCTCCCGGGCCTGGCTCCCTTCTCCACATCTGCTTACCAGGGTGACCTCAGTGTCTTGGGATCGAGCCTTTCCATGACAGCCCTCATGTAGAGACCTCCAGCCTAGACCCAGGTGGGTGCAGCAGTGATCTCACTGGCTTGCTGAAGGATTCTCGCCTTCCTGCAGTCTAACAAGCTCTCAGAAGGCTTTCAGCCAGAGCTGGGCCCATGGTAAAGAGAGCAGCTCAGGAAGCCTGGGTCTCGCCTGAAGTGCTAATGCACCCCAGAGATCCCATTCCAAAAGACAGGGAGCTGGTGGCATTGGCCTTTCCTCAAACTCTCAGACAAAGCACCCCACATATGACTCTGGGCTAGGGGTGAGTGCTCTCTCTGTCTCTCTCTCTTTTTAACTAAGCAAGATAGAAAAAATATTAAGATAGACATGAATACAGGTTAAGAGAATGGAGTATTAGTCTTGGCTCTCTCTAGATTCTCTTGTTCATTTTCCCATTGAACTGGGAAGAATCGGGTCAAGGAACAGGAAGCACCAGGGCACCGAGAGCAGCATCTTCCCTGGACGTTTCTATCATAGATCATCCTAACGAGAGTTTTCTTTTGTGATAAGGAGGATGATAATAATGTCTTCTTCCTGTGATCTGAAACCCCAGGGAGGGAGAGTATTCCATCTGCACCAGCTTTGTAGATGAACAGAAGGTGGTGATAAACATCTCAAGAGAAGGAGTTAGGAAACGTTTTCATTTTTGTTTTGTGTTCTCTTTCTCTCCTAAGTTTGAAAGTTTGAAAAAATTACCTTGAAAGGTCAATTCAATTTGACAGTCCTCTTTTTTTTTTTTTTTTTTTTTTTTTTTTTTTTTTTTAAATGGAGTCTCACTTCGTCGCCCAGGCTGGGTTGCAGTGGCGCGACCTCGGCTCACTGCAAGCTCCGCCTCCTGGGTTCAAGCCATTCTCCTGCCTCAGCCTCCCAAGTAGCTGGGACTACAGGTGCCCACCACCATGCCCGGCTAATTTTTTTTATTTGTTGTACTTTTAGTAGAGACAGGGTTTCACCGTGTTAGCCAGAATGGTCTCGATCTGCTGACCTCGTGATCTGCCGGCCTCGGCCTCCCAAAGTGCTGGGATTACAGTCATGAGCTGCCGCGCCCGGCCTTGACAGTCCTCTTTGACAAAAAGCGAAAAATAATATTCTGCAAATTATTGCAACTTTGTCACTAAAATTTCAAAAGTATTCACATTAAGGTACACCATACCCAGATTTTAGTGTTTACCTAGTGATTTGCATCTATGTTTTCTTTTTCAAGTTTCTTTTTTTCTGTTTCAATTCAATTAAACAAATATCTGTTGACACCTAACAGCCCCTGGGGTGATACAAACATGTTTGAGATGGAGATTCTACTCTCCACCATTTAAAATAAGAAAGCCAGGTTAATAAGCAGTCTGGATTTTAAAAAATGAAAATATCAGAGAAAGCAAGAAATAAAGGAGGAAAGAAGGACGAGAAGAAAGGAAGGAGGAAGAAAAAGGAAAGAGAAAGGTATTGGATATCATATCTCTGCTATCTCCTTCCAGTGTTGGCTCAGTTTTTCGTTCCCATTTATCCTAGGATTGTGGTTAGCATTGTGTCATTTATCAATGGATTTAAATTCCACCTCTGCCCATTATCATCTGTATGATTTTTTAAGCAAGTTATTTAAGCCTCAGTTTTCTCATCTATAGATTGTTAACCATCATTATTACTAATGCCTATCCACATGCAGAAGAATGAAACTGGATTCTCACCTTTCAGTATATACAAAAATTAACTCAAGATGGATTAAAGGTTTAAATATAAGACCTCCAACTATACAGATCCTCGAAGAAAACCTAGGAAATACCCTCTCAACACTGGCCTTGGCAAATAATTTTTGACTAAGTTCCCCAAGGCAATTACAATAAAAACAAAAATTGACAAGTGGGACCTAATGAAACTAAAGAGCTTCTGCACAGCAAAAGAAACTATCGATAGAGTAAATAGACAACCTAAAGAATGGAGAAAATACTCACAAACTATACATCCAACAAAGGTCTAATATACAGAATCTGCGAGGAGTTTAAACAAATCAATGAGCAAAAAACAAATAACCAAATTAAAAAATGGTCAAAGGATAAGAATAGACACTTTTCAAAAGATGACACACAAGCAACAAATTAATGTTAAAAAATGGTCATCACCACTCGTTATCAGAGAAATGCAAATCAAAACCAACACAAGCGACCATCTCATACCTGTCAGAATGTTTTTATTAAAAAGTCAAAAAACAGCAGATGCTGGAGAGGCTGTAGAAAAAAGGGAATGCTTATACATTGCTGATGGGCATGTAAATTAGTTCAGCCACTGTGGAAAGCAGTGAGGAAATTTCTCAACAAACTTAAAACAGAGCTACCATTCCACCCAGCAATCCCATTACTGTGTACATACCCGGAGGAAAATAGATTATACCAAAAAGACACATGCACTTATATGCTCATCATCATGTTATTCACAATAGCAAAGACATGGAATCAACCTAGATGCCCATCAAGGCTGGACTGGATGAAGAAAATGTAGTACAGATACACCATGGGCTGCTATATAACCGTGACAACAACAAAATCATATCCTTTGCAGCAATGTGTATGGAGCTGGAGACCATAATCCGAAGTGAGTTAATGCAGGAACAGCAAACCAAATACTGCATGTTCTCGCTTTCAAGTGGGAGCTAAACATTGAGCACACATGGACAGAAGGGGGAAAGGAGGGAGGGGGCCTGGGCTGAAAAACTACCTGTTGGGTACTTTGCTCATTACCTGAGTACAATATATCCATTTTACAAACTTGTACATGTGTTCCCTTTATCTAAAAGTTGAAATTTAAAAAATATATATTAAGGCCTGTATTAGTCCGTTTTCATGCTGCTGATGAAGACATACCTGAGACTAGGCAATTTATAAAGAAAAAGAGGTTTAATGAATTCACAGTTCTACATGGGCTGGGGAGGCCTCACAACCATGATGGAAGGCAAAAGGCACATCTTACGTGGTGGCAGAAAAGAGAGAATAAGAGCCAAGTGAAAAGGGAAACCCCTTATAAAGTCATCAGGTCTCCTGAGACTTATTTACTACCCTGAGAACAGTATGGGGGAAACCATCCCCTTGATTCAATTATCTCCCACTGAATCCTTCCCATGACACATGGGAATTATGGGAGCTACAATTCAAAGTGAGATTTGGGTGGGGACACAGCTAAACCATATCAAGGCCTATCACTGAGAATGAATATCTAGGCCAAGTGTGGTGGCTCACACCTGTAATCCCAGCACTTTGGGAGGTCAAGAGAGCAGGTTCAATTGAGCCCAGGAGTTCGAGACCAGTGTGGGCAACACAGCAAGGCCCTCTCTCATACAATAAATAAATAAGAAAAAAAATGAGAGTGCGTACCTATGGATATGTTTGTCATTACCTCAGCATGGCCAATTATGCTATTTTTACATCTGCATTTATTTTCCTGTATTTTATATTTCACTTAAAGAACTTTTAAGTCTTCTTTTGCTTATTATTTCCGTTTCACCATCTTTGCTTTCTAAATTGTGATGCCATGCTATTTAGCAGGAAAAGAATTAAATCATTATAATTTTATTGTGGAACTTCATTAAAAATTTAGCAACTCGATCATAGGTAATATGTTTTATCTTACATTCCACTGCCTTTAAAAATGAAAAGGCCTGTCTCTTTTGCTTTTGGTTAAATTGGCCTGGTGTATCTATGATCATTTCATTTCTCCCTCTGTCTCCTTATATTGGTCAATCTGTTTACCTTTAGCCGTTGTGTATCACTTTTCTTAGGTCAGTCTTTTATAAATATTTAGATTTTTTCAACTAATTACATATTTTTTTAAACCATTAAGTTTGTCTTACTAGATTTTTTTTTTAAAAAATATAAGATCTTTTTAATGCTAGATTGAATGTTTGACTCTTATAATTCAGTAGCCGAAAATAATCTTCCCTCCTTCTCTGCTTCTCTCTCTTTCTCCCTATCTCCCTTCCTTCTTTTCTTCCATAAACACTTGCATGACACAGTGCAGAGTTCTAAGTGCTTTATAGGTGTTAACTCATTTAATCCTAATCAAAACTATGTCATGGAGGTAGGTGCTGTTATCACTTCCATATTGCAAAGGGAGAAACTAAGGTACAGAGAGACAAGGAAACCTTTCCCATTTCATAGAGCTCCTAGTGCCCCACAGAGAACTGACCCTGAGCAGCCTGGCCCTTAATCCCAACACTCTCCTCCACAATCAAACACACATGCTTTGGTCCAGGAGATAAAGTGTCAGAGTGGACCCTGTGGAGGGATTCTGGGAAATGGTTTCTCTGATCCATGAAGGTGCCTGCGGTCATAACCATTCCTGACCCAGAGCTCCTGGATGCAGCCAGGGCCACAGCAGGTGCAGTGGTTATAGTGAATGGAACATGTGGTGCAGCAGCCTCCACACCGAGGGGGCATGAGTGAGGCCATGCTAGCAGGAGTGGAGAGCCACATTGGCCTGTACAATGGTCCAAAACAGGAAAACACCAGGGAGGACTCATATTTATGCCCTACATTTTTAGAGAAATTTACACAGAGGTCCTGTGGCATCTCAGCCAGGCCTTGTTCTGAGTACTTGTCCTTAGGCAGAATGATTGACAGCCCGATTCTCCATCAGCATGCTGTGACTCAGTCTTCAGAATAGAAAATTCATTCCTTCTGGTTATAGGGAGATACATAAATCCATGAAAACTCTATAGATGTAGTAGTTAAAGAAGAAATTGTTGTGTTGGTTTTGCTGTTGTAAATCTGTGAGATATAGTATTCAGTACCAATTTAAAGTAAAAGATTATAGTGTATTTTTTCCATTAAAGTTTTAAGTGTTTAAAATTTAGCTTTTCAGTAACATTTATTTTCAACTAATTTAATGTGGTAAATATTTAATGGGTTGCTATAATTATTGTAATGTTTGTATAATATTCTATTTCCCTATTTAATTTACAAAACTTCCAAATCCTGATATAACTAAACTGTGTTTTCTGCTAATATAAATGACACTACAGTGAATAATCTTTAGACATGCGACAGTTTGCCTAGAATAAGTTAATTACAGAGAAGATTACTTTGTTGAAAAGTATTAATCAACATGTAACCTATGTTACATGGTATGTGGATTTACCACAAATATAAGGAGTTAACCACAAATGTAAGCTCTTAATACTTTTCAGAAAGTTTGTGCTGTTATAATGCTTCCAGCGGTTCCTAAGTGTACCAATTTTACTACAATTTCAAAAACGTCATGTTCGTTCATTTAGTGGCTACAAAAGTTGCCTTAAATCTTGCTTCAATTTGCATTACCTTCATAACTCTTAAGCATTAATCTTATTGAATATTGCTTGTTATAGAGTTGTCTTTGTATAGGAATTGTTGACAGTACATTAGATGTCCACAAAGGTTAATTCTAAATCTGATGGACTATGTATGAACACCTTCTAATCCGGGATATGTCTATAATAAAGAAAAAGGTCATTTATGTTGGATTAAACCATTAGATAATTATATATTTATGCACACACACATGTATATATAAATGATAGTGAATGAAATGATAGCTAGTGTGGAGACCTTTGAAGGAACAAGAGTGAAAACAGAGATACTTTTAAAATAAGCTATATAATAAACTTTCATCTGAGTTGGTAATAAAAACTTTGAAATAAAAAATGCCATAAGCTGGGATTTATGTGAAAGTTGTGGAGATTTTAAAGAAAGCAGAGATTTATGTGAAAGTTGTGGAAATTTTAATGAAAGCAGAGATTTATGTGAAAGTTGTGGAGATTTTAATGGGAAATATGGCAAGGAGAAGAAGTAAATAAATTATATTTTCCTTCTTTATTGTACAATTTTTTTGTATTATAAATTATAATTAATTGTATTAATCATTAAATAAATGAACATTGCAATTAACAATTCAAAGATTAAAGTGACACATATAAACAAAATAGACAACAAAAATATATTGAAAAGCTATGAAGATAATATGGAAAGATTAGAACAGTTCCGAGATATGACTTTCCACTGAATGAAATTAGAATGCTATTTTCTTGTAGCACTCTATCCCACTGCGAAGAAAAGAAGATTTAAGAAGAGATCTCACATAACAACAATGGCTATCAACTAATCACCACATTTTTCAATTATTTTAATCCATCAGTTTTTAACCTGAGGTCTATGAATGTCTAATAACCTGCATTTGGGGGCAGTGAGGTTCTGTCTTAGTCTTCACATGGCTGTAACAGAATCCCACAGGCTGGGTGGCTAAAAAACAATATGGATTTATTTCTCACATTTCTGGAGTCTGGCAGTCCATGATCAAGATGCTGGCAGATATGGTCTCTGGTGAGGGTTTGCTTCCTTGCTCACAGATGGTGCCTTCTCACTGTATCCTCACAAGGCAGAAGAAATCAGGCAGCTCTTTAGGGCCTCTTTCATAAGGGCACTAATACCATTCATAAGGGCTTCATCCTCATGACCTAATCACTTCCTAAAAGACCTGCTTCCAAATATTTTCACATTACAGATTAGGTTTCAATACGTGAATTATGAGGTTGGGGCACACAGATACTCAGTCTATAGCAGGTTCCATAGTTTTTACAAAATTCTTAGGGTGATCTATATTCAAATGAAGGACGAGAAGAATTGATATAATTCCACAAATAAGCATAAAAAATTTAACAAAGCATTTTATCATAGAACTTTATAACCGTAATAGTCTAGAAAAAGAAGAATCCATGAGTTCATTCAATCCACTATTATCTGTTTTGCTTTTTACTAGGACCAGGCCCAGAAGACTCCTGGCTTCCACACATACCCATGAATCACCTGATTAAGGCCCACTCTCAGGATTATTCCCCTATCAATGCACTGAATCTACTTTCAACCAAGGTACCAAAAACTTCATTGCTCAATCTAATAAACTCCTTTCAATGAAGTCCTACTTGTCCTGTGTCTTCTGACAGTGTTGTCAATACCGTTTTAAAGCCCATGTTCTAGTTTTCCTTATTTTCTGTCTCTGGGTCTAGGTTCTTCGTTCACTTACTTCCATTTTTTCTTAAAAGAGTTTTCACGTAACTGGTCTTTTCCCCCTGCCTCCTTTTATTTCCTAAAGCATAAAAAGAACTCTGTCATTATCATATTTACAAACATATAATGCCCTCAAAATAAAGTAAAAGACAAATTCACTTTTGTGTAAAAATAAACTATACTTTTTTAATTGGCTTATAGAATTTTTCCAATTTTCATCCCATTTTCCCTCTTCCAGCTCTCACACATTGTAGCTTACTCAATTTTTATTTACTGATAACTCTTTGTCAGAAAGTTAAGCTCCTTGAACATAGTGAGGAAAACAGTAAATAATTGTGTAAAATCTAGTGGATGAACATGCAGTTTATATGTTGAAGTATTTATATTATGTTGATTTGCATAAAATTGCTGATATTAAATCACTTTTGAATTTCAAATACAGCAAAGTCATGTGTTTCATCTAATATTATTATATGTTGTGACAAGTTCTGTGAAAGTCAAAACAGTGTTTAAAGGTTATTAGCAGTTTCTTAGTAAGGAGTTGATTTAATACCAGACAACAATATCTATTTTCTATATCTTGCTAATTGCAAGAATATGTAGTAAATCGTATAGAGTTCTTACTCATAAAAACAAAAACAGAATTTTTTGAAAAGATACCTAACTCTCTCTATATAGGTTTAAATTTATATAAAGTTCTTGCTTTATGTTGAGGAGATGGGGAGATTATAGCTCTCTGAAAATAGCTGTTTCCCGATTGGGCTAAATCAATCATTTAAATGTTCATATCCATCTATGATGTCTCAGGCAGGATTCTTATTTGCAAACATTAGAAAATGATTGTTCTGGTCACTTCCAGAACAGTAGAGCAAGGACTTCCAGAAACCCACTTATCTATAAAAGCAACAAGAATACTGGCAAAAAAATTGTCAAAATCAATATTTTCAGAACTCTGAAACTTGACCAAAACTTGCAACAACCCAAGGAGTGCCTATTCAAGAAAACTGTATGAATATCAGTAAGAACAGAGAGCTATGTGGCATTGTTTAACTTGCCCTATTCCTGTGACCTTCTCTAAACTACAGGAGAGCATTTAAACCTGATAGCATCATAATCACAGTAGCCATGAAAATGAGCCCTGAGCATCTATTGGGGGGAACAAAACAGGATTGGAGCATCCCAAAGCTTCATCTCAAGATGATTGTCAATATTTGACTTATCTGACTGTCAAAAACAATCAGTGGCATTATTTAACATTGCATAAGCCTGAGGCAGTGTTGATATGCAGGTCAAAAACCTGTAGAAAGAGAAGTATTCAAGGGGCTTTACAAAGCCTAAACATGTTCCTGGGAATTGAAAAAGCCATGTGCATGTAGAAGACTTGTGCATGCTGAGGAAAAAATTGAGATGCCCCTAATCTCTCAACTCTGGCTTACCTTGAGGCTCTGGACAAGCAAGAAGCTTAGGCTAAGACATAGCCATGCAATGCCTGTCAGGATTGAAGACATGCTATAGCATGCATGCAGAGCCTCTCAACAAAGGCTATTCAGGAGACATTGGTTCGAGCTATTTAAGAAAATCTTTGTTCAATCATGAGATTGCATCTAAGCTAATTGAGCAGAAACTTCAGTGACCACACATGACAAAGAATACAAATGATACAGTTTGGCTCTCTGTCACCACCCAGATCTCATGTTAAATTGTAATACCCATGTGTTAAAGGAGTGGCCTGGTGGGAGGTGATTGAATCTTGGGAGTGGACTTACCCCTTGCTGTTCTCATGATGGAGTTCTCCCAAGATCTGGTTGTTTAAAAGTGTGTGGCACTTCCCCCTTCTCTTTATCTTTCCTGCTCCCCAATAGTAAAGTGTGCTTGCTTCCCCTTCATCTTCTGCCATGATTGTAAGTTTCCTGAGGCTTCCCAGCCATGCTTCCTGTATAGCCTGTGGAACTGTGGTCAATTTTCTCTTTTCTTTATAATAAATATACAACTTGTATATAATAAATACACAAGTTATAAGTAAACAACTCTTTTCTTCATAAATCATCCACTCTCAGGTAGTTCTTTATAGCAGTGTGAGAACAAACAACTACAACAAACTTTATAGAACTAGTTCAGGCAAATCACTAAACAAAACAACACAACAAAAACAATCCTGGACATGGGGAGGGGTCTCCTTTCAAGAGTTACCACATTATATTATTTGAAATGTCCGGTTTTTACAAAATTATAGTAAATGCAAAGAAATGAGAAAGTATGGCATATACACAGGAAAAAAAATGCAGTCAATAAAAACTGTCCTCAAGGAAGTTAAGATATTGAATTTACTAAACAAAAACTTTATTATTTATTTATTTATTTATTTATTTGAGACAGAGACTTGCTGTGACACCCAGGCTAGAGTGCAATGGTGTGACCTTGGCTCACTGCAATGTCTGTTTCCTGGATTCAAGCAATTCTCTTGCATCAGCCTCCCAAGTAGCTGGGACTACAGGTGTGTGCCACCATGTCAGGCTAACTTTTGTATTTTTAGTAGAGATGGGGTTTCACCATATTGGCCAGGCTGGTCTCAAACTCCTGACCTCAAGTGATCTGCCCACCTTGGCCTTCCAAAGTGCTGAGATTACAGGTGTGAGCCACTGCACCCAGCCTAAACAAAGACTTTAAATAATCTATTGTAGATATGTTTCTTGTATTATATTTTATTTTATTTTTGAGACAGCCTCTTGTTCTGTTAACCAGGTTGAAGCACAATGGTACTATCATGGCTCAATGCAGCCTTGACTTCCTGGGCTCAGGTGATCCTCTTACCTCAGCCTTCTGAGTAGCTAGGACCATATGGGTACACCATAACACCCAGATAATTTTTTAAATTTTTTTTGTAGAGATGGGTCTCACTATGCTACCCAGGCTGGTCTCGAACTCCTGAGCTCCAGTGAGCCTCCCACTGTGGCCTCCCAAAGTGGTGGGGTTACAAGTGAGTCCCTGTGCCCAGCCTGTAGATGTGTAAAGAACAAAAGGAAAACATGCCTAAACAACTCATGAAAAGTGTGAGTATAGTGCCTTAAAATTATCAATAAAGAAGTAGAGATTATAAAAAAAGAAACAAATAGAAATTCTAGATTTGAAAAGTACAATAAATGAAAGGAAAAATTCACTTAAGCTCAAAGGCAGATGTGAGCCAGAAAAGAAAAATCAGTGAACTTGAAGATAGATCAATTGAGATACTCCAGTCTGAGCAAAAGAAAGAAAAAAGGATAAAACAATATGAAAAGGATGGAGAGTAACTGCTGATGAATATGAGATGTTTGGGAGAGTGACCAAAATATTCTGAAATTAGATAGTAGTGATGGTTACGCAATTTTGTGAATATGCAAAAAAAGACTCAATTGTATGTTTTTAAAAGTAAATTTTACGCCATGTGAATTATATCTCGATAAACATTATTTCTTTTAAAGGGAATATAATTTTATAAAAATGGAACAGGTAAAAAAGCACTTCATGTATTAGTATGCCAGGGACCTCTCAAAATAGCGTGGAAGGTGACAGATACATTGAGCACAGGCCTTGTCTGGTTGGAGCAGTATGATCATGATGGCAGCTGCTATCCCACAGAACCACCGCTGCTCTCTCAGATCCTTTCCTCTGGCCTTCCACTCACTGGCTTCCCAAATAGCTGTCTCGCCAGTCTGGGTCACTGACCAGCGATAGCATCTGAGAAGGAGCGTGTTCTCTGATTTTATCATTTCAGTGGCAGGCCAACTCTTCCTTTCATCAAGAAGCATGAGGAACATCATGCAAACAGATCTCAGGCAGCCAAAAAGCAAACAAGCAAAATAAGTATTTGTCACCCCATGCTGCTATTTCTTCTGGCTAGTCATCCCCTGAAAGGTATGCACAGGCTGAAGATGTCCTCCTCTCCTTTGTGTGTGGCTGGAGTGAGTGATTGTAAAGAACAGGCAGGAATCAGGACCCCAAGCACACTGCACTGTTGTGTTAGCAAAAGAACAAGATAAAAACAAAATCTATCTGACTAGTGGCATAAAGTTTTGGACTTCAAATAGTTTCAGTCGTGTGACAAAAAAGCACAGGATAATTGCTTGTTGTACACAAAAAAAACACCTTATTTATTTATTTATTTTTGAGACAAGGTTTTACTCTGTTACCTAGGCTGGAGTGCAGTGGTGAGACCTTGGGCCATTTCAACCTTGACATCCCAGACTCAAGGGATCCTCCCCTCTCAGCCTCCCAAGTAGCTGGGACTACAGGCACACACCACCACACTGGACTAATTATTAAAATTTTTTGTAGAAATGCTGTTTTGCCATGTTGCCCAGGCTTGAACTCCCAGACTCAAGTGATCCTCCTGCCTTGGCCTCGCCACACTACTGGGAATTTCTTCTTGAAAAGCATGTTTTGAAATTGTACTTTGTCACTATCACTTATAGGTGAGTAAGTAGGCTCAGAGAGATTACGACTTGGGGTGGAACAGAGAGTTTTCTGTTGAGGCAGTTCAGATCATGTAATTTTGGATATTATGTTCTTTTTTTCCTTGAGCCACATGTTCCTTGAACAGCAAATGAGTGGTCCTTAACATTCTAGATGTTTATATTCTGCCTAGCTATGATCCAACTCCAGAGAAGTCATGTTTAATAAGTGAATGACCGCAGATAATTCACCTGATCTACCCACTAGTGCTGCTATCTATGTCTACTTCAGCATTGTAAACTAAAACCTATTTCAGTATCGTAAACTAAGAGCCTTCGTGCAGAGGGAGTAGTGCCTGATAATTAACCTAATTGAAACATAGTCTTTGAAGAACCCATAGCAACCAATAAACATGAGACCCACAGCAAGAAAATCCATCCAAAACTATTCTTGAAAATAAAATTCAGAGATTTAGGAGTAGAAAGAGCACAGAGGAGTCATTCTGATGCACTGGAAAAGCAAAAAATAAAGGCGCATGCAGACTTTTATGTTAGAAAACTAATTTACAAGTTTGTTCTGGGAAAAGGATTCTTTGGACTTCCTAATTCCTATTAGTGGCCTGACAATAAAGCTAGATTGTTAGTTTTAGTTTATCATATTATCTACAACATACGGTAGCACTTTAAATAAAGGTAGGGTGGTATCCTTGATCCTACTAATAAAATGAGGCTGTCTTTTCTCAGACTCTGTGGCACCACTTCTGTACAGTTTAAATCTCGTGACTCGGACAGGAACTTTTATTGGCGCCTACCAGAACAATCTGTGTTTGAATCAATTTCCTGGCTTGCATTATAAACTTTGTGGATTTCTGCACAAGCAATTTAGGAAAAGCAAGCACTAATTAAGTCGCTTGACCCAAAAATTTGTGCAGGTTCAAAGGGAAACAGTTTTCCTCCCTCTGAAAAGCCACCAGCCAGGTTGTAACCTCTCAGCCTAACAGCATTTCATCTTTGGTGAAGGAGGCAGGTAGTACCTGTATAGGACAGAACTCAACTGGGTAAACGTGCTGGCTGATTTTCCACACTGGGGTTTCATTGAAAAGCACTATATAATATGATTATTAAAGACATTTCTGTACAAAAGAAAACACACCCTACTGCTATCTTAAACATATTTTTATATTCTCTTTCTGTTCTTGTATAGATGTAAAAAAAAATTCGAAGCTGTACAACATTAGAGTAGACATAATTTGATTCACTTATCACAGTGAATATAATGAGTATGTAATGCATGGAAGTCTATCTTTAGAAATGCCTCCTGCTTCATCAGATCATTAGACTTAATTACAGGATATATAAGATTTTCCCTTTTTTCGGTTCCATTTAGATGACGCTGAAATAAGGTTTTGCTTCTTGATATTAAGAAAAATTTCTAAGCATATGATTATGGAGGTAGAAGATTGGGATACCTAGAAAATGTTACAATGGAGAATTTTTACTTTTATTATTATGCCTTTGAAAATATGACCAAATTAAACTGTCACTAGAAGCATAAGTATATATTCCTATCATCACATGTTGCCAGCATTTAAGTACTATTATAAACGATCATTTTTTGTAATTAATCCTTACAAAGTTCACATAATTAAAAAATAAAATTTACTAATTTGAAATATATTATTAGTGAGAATAGAGAGTTCCAAATAGTTTAACATTGTTTGCTGATTTGATATCTTCTGTCATCTTGTCTAACAGGGTATACATTTTTCTTCATTTCAATGTGGTTATCTAAATGTTGTAGTAAGTAATATTTTATCTGCTATATTTGATGTAAATATTTCTACTTAGTTATATTTTTACACATTTTAGTGTAATTTATACTGGAACTGGAACTTTAAGCGGTAAATATTCAAAACTGAATTATAAAGGTCATATTTTTATGTTTTATGGCATACATTTTTAAAGGTAAGAACCTTAAAAAACACAAATCAGGCCAAGTGTGGTGGCTCACACCTGTAATCCCAGCACTTTGGGAGGCCAAGGTAGGAGGATCACTGAACCCAGGAGTACCAGATTAGCCTGGACAACATAGTGAGACAAATAAATAAATAACAGCTGGGCATGGTGGAGCACACCTGTAGTCCCAGATACTTGGGAGGCTGGAGCAGGTAGATTGCCTGAGCCCAGGTGTTCAAGGCTGCAGTGAGCCATGATCACTCTACTGCTCCACTGAACTCAAGCCTGGGCAACACAGTGAGACCCTGTCTCAAAAAAGAAAAAAAAGAAAAGAAAAGAAAAGAAAAGAAAAAAAAAATCCAAAGCAAATCTTTACCAATTCTGCCCAAATGTTGAGGGATTAACAGAGCTCTGCAATCTCAATTTTGAAGCCCAGAAGTGGTGTCAGAGATGGCCTTTTCCTAGTCAAGAAAACCTTTTTTGTTTGTTTGTTTTGGTTTTTTGGAGAATATTCAAATATATTAATTGTTCAATGTGTGTTATGCGTTCATTCTGTGGTGGAATTTTGTTAGGTACTGTAAAGCTGCTCGACTAGAACTTTAAATAAAATATATTTAGTTCAAAAAATGGTTGCTTCTTTGAAAATACAATTCGGAGGACAAATATCTTTGTTTTGATTAAAAGAAATATTTTCACTGCATAAATTACTCAGGAATAACCAGGAATTTAAAAAGTCTGTCAGTGGGTAAACTGTTACAAAGAATAATTGCTGGAGAAAAAGTATCAAACTGTCACAAAAATAAAGTATTTTGATACAGAAAAGGATTTTTTCTTTTCTTTTTTTAAAATAGTTTTTAGTTGACAAAAGTTGTATATATTTATTGTGTACAACATGATGTTTTGAAATATGTATACATTGTGGAATGACTAAACAGTGCTAATTAGCAAATGCATTATCTCGCATACTTTTTTGTGTTAAGAATACTTCAAATCTATGCTCTTAATGATTTCAAGGATACAATATATTGTTATTAACTATAGTCACCGTGGCATACAATAGATCGGTTGAACTTATTCCTCCTCTAATTGACATTTTATGTCCTTTGAACAACATCTCCCTGGTTACCCACTCCATACCCAGCCTCTGGTATCCACTCTTCTGTTCTCCACTTTTAGGAATTCAACTTTTTAGCTTCCACATATAAGTGAAATCATGCAGTATATGTCTTTCTGTGCCTGTCTTATTTCACTTAACATAATGTCTTCCAGGCTCATCCATGTTGTAGTATATGTCAGTATTTCCTTCTTTTTAAAGGCTGAATAATATTCCATTGTATATACATTTCACATTTTATTATTCATCAGAAAAGAAACTTTCTAAATGGACAATTTTAAAATAAGCATCTTACATACTTCCAATAGGAAAAAATATTTCAAAACTTTGGAGACAATTTTCAAAACCTATTAGAGAGAATTTGACATTTGTATACACATTTTCAAAGAAACATTGACATCATTTAATTTAGCAGTTCTACTCTAGTCTTAATAAAGTAACAGGGGTGCACACGATGACCTAGGTCCAGAGGTCTTCAAGGCAGCAATGCTGGTGAGGTGAGCAATGGAAACGATGGTCACACTGATTTTGGCATATCTGTATATGAAATGATAATCTGTTGTTAAAATGATATTTTAGGAGAATACTGAATGATCATATTCCAGTTGCCACTCTGCCAGTCTGAAAAGTCATCCAAAAGTTTGCTTTGGCCTGGCGTGGTGGCTCATGCCTGTAAACCCAACACTTTGGGAGGCCAAGGTGGGCGGATCACTTGAGGTCAGAAGTTCGAGACCAGCCTGGCCAACATGGTGAAACCTCGTCTCTACTAAAAAATACAAAAATCAGCCAGGTGTGGTGGCAGGCGCCTGTAGTCCCAGCTACTCGGGAGGCTGAGGCAGAAGAATCGCTTGAACCCAGGAGGCAGAGGTTGCAGTGAGCTGAGGTCATGCCACTGCACCCCAGCCTGGGTGATAGAGTAAGACTCCATCTGAAAAAAAAAATGCTTTTTGTTATTTCAAATCAATCTGCTCTTGACTTCTATATTTTTCAGACCTTAAATCATATCATGACCCAGTTCCTTTTCCTCATTCCTCTGAGTGTTAGTCATAAGGTCCTTGTCTCTTATCTTTACCTTCCTATCCTTTGCTCTGTTACCTCGAGGCTGAGACTGTGCAAACCACATCCCTGCTTTCCCATCTGCTCCCTGTGAGGCTCCGCCAAGACCAGATCTATAGGGGAATTGAAAGGCTGAGGAGGGAGCAGGGACTTGCTACTTCTTGTCTGTCCTCTGCTTCCTGTGGGCTTACCGCTCCTGTGAAATTCACTCAGCAGGACAGCCTCCCTGAAGCAGCAAAAGTTCCTTCTTGTAGCAGTGAGGTAGGAGGCGGGACTCCACTCCAGAGGCAGAGCTTGGACACCAGATCAAATTGAGGACTAGCTAAAACAAGGGTGGGGTGGAAGCAGCTTTCCAAAAGACACGCCCACCAGTGCGCCATGTGAGTTTCCCATTGCCATGGCAACACCCAGGAGTTACTACTTCTTTGCTTGGGAATGACCCAATGACCCAAAAACTACCACCCTTTTCTTATAAATTTCTGCGTAAACTGCCCCTTAACCTACGTGTAATTAAAAATAAGTATAAATATGACCGCAACTCTGCCCTGAGCTGCTTCTCTCAGCACACTACCTCTGGGGTAGCCTTGCTCTGCAGGAGCCACCATGGGGCTGTAACACCGCTGGTGCTGTAAACGGACTCTTCAAGAAAGCTGATTTTTTTCTGCCCTACTACTGGCTGGCCATTGAATTCTTTCCTGGGAAAAGCCCAGAACCATCGGTAAGCTAAATCCCAATTAGGGACTTGCCTGTCCTGCATTGGCGGTAGTTTGGGCAGTCTTCCAGTTTTTTCAGCACCAGCAGCTCCTTCCCCAGAGCTCTGGGTCGCACCCAAGAAGCCCCTCTTCTAAGCTTCTAAGTTTTAATCGTGCCAGCCTCTTCCCTTTCTTTCCCAGCTCCAGGAGTGGCAGCTGTTTTTCTGCAGTTGTGACCTCCACAGTTTGTTAGCGCTCTTCTCTTGCATTTTCACTTCCTATTTAACAACTCTTAGGTTGATTCTTTATGTTGAATTCTCCCTCTCCAAAGAATAGAGGTGTCTGGTTTCAGATAGAAACTGATCAATATACTGCACTGATAAATTGGGTTTAGTTTTTTGACCTTTCTGATAACATATTTGTCATTTAATCTTAATGTTATCTTAAATTTTATCTATGACTTATCCTCTCTCCCTACTAGTAGAGAGGAATATAACTTTTGCATCTTGGTCCCTTTCTCATTGCTTAGAAGAACCCTGTGTAACAACGTGTGTGGCTTTCAAGACCGGAACTGCCTCGTTGCAGGCCTTTCTTGTAAGATAGTGTTTACCTGCTCTGCCTATTCTGGGTACAAGTTTTAATGCAAATGTTGGCTTTGGTTTCGTCAGATAAAAATATCCAAAGTGGCCCTTTAACTGTCAACTTAAAAATTATTTTGAAGTAACTGATGCTTGTGGATGGCCAAGATGGATATAGATACATGCTTAAATGTGAATATAGGAGCACAGCTATCTACAAAAGATTACTATTATCATGCAAATAAAACCATGGATAGCTCTTGAAATGACTGCAAACTCTCTTCACTAGAAATGGGATTCCTTGTAAACCTTATTCATGGGGCAAGATTCTGCCATCGCCTGATTTCTAGCCCTTTCTCTGCCGTCTGGTTTGGTGTCATTGAGTTCTTTCTACAATCCCACAGTAATCTATATGATTAATGTTGAATGGTTCGTTTTCTTTAAAAAAATTTTATTAACAGCTGATAATTCTTCTTTCTGTCAGCACAGCAATTTGTGGAGTTCATAATTTTAAGTAAATATCTTATTGCTTTAACATCTAGGGCATTGGCCACTAATTCCTACTAACAGTCACAGAAGTCACAAGACAGAGTTGTCTTCCTGCCCTTGAAATTGCCCCTTGCATTTGCATGTGTGTGGCACTAAGAACTTACTTTCTCCATGTTTATCCTGTGCTAAGACAATTTCACAATGTTTTTCTGGTTAATCAAAAGTCCTCATAACTCTATGGTTGCCAGCTGGTTTTTCT
This sequence comes from Homo sapiens, assembly GCF_000001405.40. Classification (NCBI taxonomy): domain Eukaryota; kingdom Metazoa; phylum Chordata; class Mammalia; order Primates; family Hominidae; genus Homo; species Homo sapiens. The sequence goes on along the minus strand of NC_000007.14, from coordinate 46,879,961 downwards.
TATCAGCATTTCCTATGGAAGTTAAACGTAGGAATTTTGTTGTTTTAACTGTGTCATATTTACTTATATGTGTCTATTATATCTGCATATTCCAGAATCTCAAAAACTGCTTTTGGCCAGAATTCGAACCCTTTGAAATTGATGCCTAGGCACAGTAAATGTATGGTTTCTTGCTGTTTCAACTTGATGTGTATATAAAAATGTGATAAGCTATGTTGAGATAGCATTCATATCACAGAGGTTTAGAGCTAAAAAGGACTTTAAGGGTCTTTCCATCTGAGATATATGATTAGAGAATTTTAGGGATATGTCCAGAGCTGTGTATCAGAAGTTTATCTCTTTCTTAGGCTGGGGGCCTTTCTATCACGAGAGATGCTAAAAGGTTTCTAGTGCAATGGAAGATCCAGGCAACCCTCTCATCTTTTTTTAGAAAGAAGAGAAATAGATGGGTATCACTAATACTTGTCTGTGACCTGGCCAAGTCATTTGTCTAACTACCTTTCTAAAAAAATGTTATGCATTGACTTTATTTAAATAAGAGGCATACTGCTAGATTATAGTATGTTGGCCTATGCCTCATTTTTTTTGTTGTTTGTTTGTTTAAGTTTTCAGTACTGAGCATGTTAATTGTATTCCTTGACAGATCAGGGAAATCCTACAAAAGATTTTGTTTCCCTTGTAGGTAAATTATACGTTCTGATATCTGGCTATCTGTAAGTGAACTACCATTCAAACATGATTTTTCAAAGACAAATACGACCATGGTTTCTAGGAGTAGCATAAGATCTAGTTCAGTTGGCTTGTGAGCTGCTTGACCTACAACAAAATCTAATGTACTTTCCTGTGGTTTTTTATTTCAAAACGGGAGTTTCCCATGGCTCTATTCGAGGCACTATTGGCTTTTCTATGCCACTTATGAACAACAGCCTGCTCAGTCCTGTGCTCTTTGGTTCTCACTCAGAGGCCATTGTCTCCACCCAGGGCCCCCCGGGATGGGCTGCAGCCTGCAGGCCTTTGTCAGACAAACTTTAAATACCAGTAACATGCAAAATATATAAATAGAAACCTAGGAAGAAATTACCGATAATGTTTGGAGGTTAACCAATGTGATCCTAAATAATGCTTGGGTCAAAGCAAACATCTCAATGGCAATTAGAAAATATTTTGAAGAAAATACAATTTAAAATGATATATATTAACCATGTGGGGTGCACCCAAAAGTGTAGGGTATGTATATGTGCATAGAGAGCCACTTGTAGCATTAAATACATATATTAGAAAAAAGAAAGACTAAAAATTTATGTTTCAAGTATCTATACTAAGAAGCCAAAAAATAGTCTCAAATTAACTTAAAAAATGTAGAAGAATGAAAAGTAGTCAAAAGAGAACAGATATTAGCAAAGTAAGAAATGATCATAAAAATAAAATTGACAAACTGAATAATTACTTTGAAAAGACCGAAATATTACTAAATTTCTGTTAATATTGAAAAAGTGAAAAAAAGATAAGACCTCTGGTGGCTAATTTTTTGTATCAGCTTAGTAGGGCCCTGAGACCCAGATATTTGCTCTAACACTGGTCTAAATATTGCTGTGAAGATAAGTCAAAGATGAGATTGACATTCAAATAAGTATTCTTTGAGTAAAGCACATTACTGCTCATAACATGGCTGGGCCTCATTTATTCAGCTGAGGCCTTAAGATAAAAAGACAAAAGTCCTCTAAGGAAGAGGGAATTCTGCCTCCAGAAGGTCTTTAGACTCCAACTGCAAGGTTGGCTCTGCCTTGCTTTCCAGCCTGCTGGCCTGTCCTGCAGATTTTAGACTTTCCCAGTCCCCACATTTGTGTAAGACAGCTCTTCAAAATAAATTAATTTCTTATTCTCTCTCTTCCTCTCTCTCTCTATACATATATATACACACACATACATATGTATATATACAGAAAATGTCTCCTTTTTATTTCTAAAATTGGCAATTTTACATATAATTGTTATACATATATGTATATAAACACACACAATCCTGTTTATTCTGTTTCTCTAGAGAATTCTGACTAATGCAAGACCTAAATTACCAGTTTTAGAAATTCATCCAAATTTGAATTCTTCCAAATACCTAAGAAAGATACATCACAAATCATACAGAGATTCTTCCAGAGTATCAAGAAAAAGAAAACCCATCCCAGCATTTATTTTAAGACTTGCAAACATTTACACAAACAATATAAGAACATTTTAAGAAAATAAACTACATGCGTATCTCTCTTGTGATTATAGGTAAAAAAAATTTCCCGAACAAATATTAGTGAATCAAATAGTTAGATATAAAAACCGTTACACACCACCAGCCATCCAGGTTTATCCAATAGATGTGGGGTTATTTTGACATTAAAAAACCAATTGATGTTTGCATTGTCTAGACATATAGATCAACAGAATACAATTCAGTCTAGAAACAAACCCATACATTTACAGACAATGCATTTTTGAAGTAACTTTGTATTAGTCCATTTTCATGCTGCTGATAAAGACATACCTGAGACTGAGCAATACACAAAAGAAAGAGATTTATTGGACTCCTCAATAAATGGCTGTGGGGGCCTCACAATCATGGGGGAAGGCAAGTAGGAGCAAGTCACATCTTACATGTATGGCAGCAGGCAAAAAGAGAGCTTGTGCAAGGAAACTCCCATTTTTGAAACCATCAGATCTTGTGAGGCTCATTCACTATCATGAGAACAGTGCAGGAAAGACCTGCCCCCATAATTCATTCACTTTCCACCAGGTTCCTCCCACGACATATGGGAATTCAAAATGAGATTTGGGTGGGGACACAGCCAAACCATATCAAATTTGAACCCTTTCCTAATACTATACACAAAAATTAACTGAAAATGAAATCATAGGCCCAAATTTAAAATTAAAACTATAAAATTCTCAAGAGAAAATATAGAAGCAAATCCTGATGACTGTGGATTTGGCAAAGTCTTCTTACGTATAATCCCACCACCAAAGGTGGTGACAAAAGAAAAACTAGATACACTGGCCTCGGTCAAAATGAATAACTTTTATGCTTCAAAGGACACTATCAGTAAAGGGAACTACAATCCACAATGGGAGAAAATATTTGAAATGATATATCTGAAAAAGGACATATCTAGAATATATAGAGAATGCTGACAGCTCAACAGTAAAAATCCAATTTTTTAAAAATGCAAAAAGTATTTGAATAATTATTTCTGCAAGGAAGATATACAAATGGCCAGTCAATATAAAAAAGATGCTCAGCATCATTAGTCACTAGGGACATGCAAATCAAAGCACAGTGAGTTACTTCTCGGGCACTGTGATGATTATAATCAAAAAGACTATAGCTAACATGTACTGGTGAGAATATAGAGATAATGGAATGCTTATTCCTCACTCTTGTGGGAAAGGAAAATAGTATCCTCCATTGGAAAATGGTTTGGCAGATCTTCAAAAAGATGTACATAGAGTTATGTGATTCAGAATTTCTACCCCCAGATATATATCCACGAGAATTGAAAACAGAAATTTGGATACCTCTATACTAATGTTCATAGTAGCATTATTCGCAATAGTCAGAAAGTGAAAACAACTTTTCAACAGACGAATGGAAAAATAAAAGGCAGCATTTCCATAAAAAGAATATTATTTGGTTATAAAGAATGAAGTACCAATACATGCTACAACATGCATGAGTCTTACAAACATTATGCTAAGTGAAATAAGAGAGTAGAAAAAGGCCACATGTTGTGTGATTCCATTTATATGCAATACCCAGAATGGGCAACTCTATAGAGATAGAGTAGCTTAGTGATTGCCTATGCTTGTGTGGGTTGGTGGGAAATGGAGAGTGACTGCTAATGGGGTGTGGGATTTCTTATTGGGGTGATACAAATTATCCTAAAATTAATGTGGTGATGGTTGCACAACTATTGAATTGTATATTCTGAAAGGGTAAATTTTAGGGTATGTATAGTTAATCATAATAAAGCTGTTCTATAAAACAGCAATGATGCAAAAAAACCCAATATAATTAATTTAATTTATCACATAACAACAAATAGGTAGAAAACATATGATTGTCTCGATAGATATAGAGATATACTTTAATGCAATTAAATGTTTCTTTATATAAAAATATTTTCAACTTAGAGATAAAAAGCAATATCTTTAATTCAAAGTGGCTACAAAAACACTCCAACAAATACCATACATACATGATGAAATATTGAAATATTAATCTTGAAAATGGGAACAAGACAAAGGTGTCTTGTGATCCCAACTTCTTTTTATCATTACACTAAATGTCTCAACTAGTGCAATATATGATGAAAAGGAAATATAATATATAATAATTTAAAAGGAAAAAATTAAGTGATCATAGTCCAAGATGGTATGTATAAAAAATATAATACAGCCAATAAATAAACTTTTAGATTTAAGTTAGTTGAGCAATGTCACTAGATACAGAGAAATAGTAAAACATAATAAATTATAATTCTACATATTGTGACAAAAATAAAAACATGAAATTATAAAAATTATACAATTTTACAATTTGTAAATTATACAATTTTTAAAAATCTTATCTGAAATTAATCAGATTTCCAGGGACAAATGAAAACAAGGATGAGCAAAGAAGACCTAAATAAATAGATTGATATCTCATGTTTATAAGTTAAAAGGTAACATTGTAATTATTCCCAAATTGATTTATAGATTTAATTACTCAGCAAAGTTTGTGAATATATGTGCATTTATGTACGTTTAGAATTTGACAAGGTAACTCTACCTCATATATATGGAAATGCCAATAATGTCCAAGAAAACCTTGAACCAATTTGGAGAATTTAACCAGATTTCAAGACATACTGTAAAGCTACAATAAATAAGACATTTTGGTACTGGCACAAGAAAAACAATATGGGTAAACAGAATTGAAAAGGGATGTCATAAATAGACCCATATCCATTCAGTTAAGTTAAAATCACAATGAGACACCACGACACAACCACCAGATGGCTATGATTAATATATATAAAACCCTTGGCAACCACTGACCTTTTTACTGTCTCCTTAGTTTTGCCTTTTCCAAAATGTCATATAGTTAGAATCACATAGTATGTAGCCTCTTCACGTTGACTTCTTTCACTCAGTAATATGCATTTAAGTTTCCTCCATGTCTTTTATTTTTTATTATTATTTTATTTTTCCAGAAGTTATTGGGGTACAAGTGGCATTTGGTTACATAAGTTCTTTAGTGGTGATTTGTGAGATCCTGGTATGCTCATCACTCGAGCAGCATACACTGCACCATCTGTGTTGTCTTTTATCCCTCGTCCCCCTCCCATTCTTCCCCCCAAGTCCCCAAAGTCCATTGTATCATTCTTATGCCTTTGCATCCTCATAGATTAGCTCCCACATATCGGTAAGAATGTATGATGTTTGGTTTTCCATTCCTGAGTTACTTCTCTTAGAGTAATAGTCTCCGATCTCATCCAGATGATTGCAAATGCTGTTGATTCATTCCTTTTTATGGCTGAGGAGTATAAAGAAACATCAGTTTCTTTATTCACTCGTTGATTGGTGGGCATTTGGGTTGGCTTCATGATTTTGCAATTGTGAATTGTGCTGCTGTAAACATTTGTGTTCAAGTATCTTTTTCAAATAATGACTTCTTTTCCTCTGGGTAGATACCCAATAGTGGGATTGCTGGATCAAATGGTAGTTCTACTTTTGGTTCTTTAAGGAATCTCCACACTGTTTTCCATAGTGGCTATACTAGTTTACATTCCTACCAGCAGTGTAGAAGTGTTGCCTGATTACTAGATCCATGCCAGCATCTACTGTTTTTTGATTTTTTGATTATGGCCATTCTTGCAGGAGTACGGGGTATCGCATTGTGGTTTTGATTTGCATTTCCCTGATCATTAGTGATGTCGACCATTTTTTCATATGTCTGTTGGCCATTTGTATATCTTCTTATGAGAATTATCTGTTCCTGTCTTTAGCCCACTTTTTGACGGGATTGTTTGTTTTTTTCTTAAGGATTTGTTTAAGTTTGTTGCAGATTCTGGATATCAGTCCTTTGTCAGATATATAGACTGTGAAGATTTTCTCCCACTCTGTGGGTTGTCTGTTTACTCTGCTGACTATTCCTTTTGCTGTGCAAAAGCTTTTTAGTTTAATTAGGTCCCCGCTATTTATCTTTGTGTTTTATTGCATTTGCTTTTGGGTTTTTGATCATGAAATCCTTGCCTGAGCCAATATCTAGAAGGGGTTTTCCAATGTTATCTTCTAGAATTTTTATAGTTTCAGGTCTTAGGTTTAAGTCCTTAATCCATCTTAGTCGATTTTTGTATAAGGTGAGAGATGAGGATCCAGTTTCTTTCTCCTACATGTGGCTAGCCAATTATCCCAGCACCATTTGTTGAAAAGGGTGTCCTTTCCCTACTTTATGTTTTCGAGTCCTCCATGTCTTTCAATGGCTTCATGGCTCATTTCTTTGTAGTGGTGTGTAACATTTAATCATCTGGATTTACCACAGTTTATTTATCCACTCACCTACTGAAGGACATCTTGTTTGACATTTCCAAGTTTTGGCAATTATGAATAAAGCTGCTATAAAAATCCATGTGCAGGACATATCAAATGTTGACAAATTTATGAAACAACAGAAACTTCCAAAAACTATGCATGAGAGTGAAAAGTGGAGTAGCCAATTTGGAAAACACTTTAGTGGTATTTATTAATGCAGAACATCCACTTTCCCTTTACCCAGGAATCCTGTAGATAAAAACTATCAAAAATGCTTCACACAAATATGAACAAGAGATACATACAAGAATATTCATAGCATCATTACTTGCAATAGCTGCAGATTGGAAACAAACCAAATGCCCCTTTAGATTGGATATATGAACTGTGGAATATTTATTCTATAAAGACTATACATAAATGAAAAAGAAAGAATTACTATTATATGTACCATTTAACAAGAATGAATCACACAAATGCAAAATAGAGTAAGACAAGTCGGACACAAAAGACCACACACTGTATGTAACCCCATTTGTATAAAGTCCCAGTGAGGGAAATCTCATCTCCAGGGATGTAGTTGCATTAGTTTTTGCCTGTGGGAGGAATTAGTGGCTGGGATGGCACATATGGTTGGTCTCAAAAGTGCAGATCAATGGGAGCATTTACTTTATATAAAAATTATTGAGCTCCACACAAATCAATTCTGTACTTTTTATATATATTTTATTCTTGAATAAAACGTCTACAAATGTAAAAAATCTTGTGCCATATTATTATCTTCATATACTCCAACTCTTTTCTGAATCCTCAAACTTTTCATGTTCTGTACATTCTCCTCTTTAATCTGCTAATTCAGTCATAAAATACAGTGCCTGGTTTGAGTCAGATAATATATCTTTTAAAACAAGTAAAATAAAAAAATGACTAGCTCTTCAAAATTTCTGGCGGAGACATAAAAGTTCATTTTATTTCTTTCTATTATCAGGTTATGTGGAACAACCTGTGCATTGGAATAACTTGCAGGCCCTAACTGATTTGCCCACTGAAATGAAAATGTTAATTTATTTGAGCAGCAATATTTCAAAGCTGTCTTGTAAAAAAAGGAGATACTAGTATGAGATGCCAGCCAGTTCTGACATAAAATAAACATTAACAATTATGCATAATTATATTATGTGACATTACATAATTACTATCTTAGTGTTTTTCTACTGCATTTTATTTGAAAGGCTTAAGATTGTATCTAACATGTAGACATTTTAAAAAATAGATGATCTGATTCATTATTTATTAAGTATCCACTATTGAATGGCAGGTGTGTATTCGCATTAACCTGCTTAATTCTAGCTACTAAACGATGATGTAGATATCATGATTACATATTGCAAAGGAGAAAATAATGCTCAGAGAAGTGAAACTAATTGGTTAGGAGCACAGAATTGGCTTTGTAGCCAAACCTGTGTTTAAGCCACATACCTACTGGGCCAGCATAAGTGCCATTTGCACAGCTTCTCCTTAGTGAGACATTGACGTGAGATATGCACAGACAAACCCACACGACGCCTGGCCCACTCCTGATGAAACAGCTGTAGCTGTTACAATACAGGGCAGAATGGAGGTTGATCAATATGACTTAGACCAAGGACTTAGACACATCATTTTTTCCTGTGCCCGAGGCACAGCAGCATGATCTGTAACTGAGGAATGTTGCTGTCTGTCCTCAAGGTCACACACATCTGCAAATGGAAGGACTAGGGCAGCTGCCACCATGTCAAATAGTAGCTCCTTTAGTTTTTCTGAAGTTTCTATTTCTCTGCTCTGTGGAGCATCTCCTTTATTCATTTGCATAATTCAGGCTTATTTGTATTAGACCCCACTTTCGTTGCCATGAATTATGACTAGAAAGTGATCATTCAAACCATGGCTGGATGTTTCTTGGAAGCACAAGAGCAGACAGTACAGTGATCCCAACAGATTTTCATGGAAGGTTAAAACTTTTAAACCTCCTATCAGCTTTATTCACATGAAGGTGAATGGTGAGGCAGTTAGTGAAGTTAGAGATGAGCAAAGACTTCATCCTCACTAGTAAGAGTACTAACTAGTAATTTGCAACTAAGAAAAACTATTTTATAAAACTATTTAGATCTAATCAGTTAACTCCAGGGTACGCTTTACTTTAATATTATAACAAAAATTATTATAGAAAAATATACAAATTTGGGCCTGGACCTGGCTCTTAACACCACTGTGGTCAGCAGAACAATCTCCTTCATCTCCAAAATGTCCGTGCCCTGGACCTTGGAGCCAGTAAGAGTTAACTTAAATGTAAAAAGAGACTTTGCAGATGTAACAAAGATTAAGGATCTTGAAATGCGGAGATGATTCTTGATTATACAACTGGACCTAATATAATCACGTTAATCCTGAAGAGCAGAGAAAATTTCCCAGCTGTGGTCAGGGAGATAGGATATGAAGGAAGGAGTCTTTTCCCAAACGAGGAGGAAGAGGCCATGAACAAAGAAATGTGGGTGGTCTTCAGAAGCTCGAAATGCAAGGATATAAATTCTCCTCTAGTGCTTTCAGAAGAAAGCACCGTCCTACTGACAGCTTAATTTAGGCCAGTGAGACCCATGTTAGATTGCTAACCTACAGCACTGTCAATCAATTTGTGTTGTTTTAAGCCACTAACTTTGTGGAGCTTATTAAGTCAGCAATAGAAAACAAATATACCCACATTGGAGAAAGACATTAGGCCTTATCCTTTCTTCTACAATGCAATCAGCACAGTGACTTGTTTTAACTATAGTGCTGAAGATACTGTATTATCTCTCATTCTCAACATTAGGATTGACAAACAAATCCACCATTTGTATTTATGGAGTACCATCTTGCTTTTGACTTTGATGTTTCCTCTTCCTGGAATAAGTTTTCCTCTTATTTCTGTGATCTTTCACTGATCCTTCAAAATGCAGAGCAAACACCACTAGGCATAACCAACACAGGCAGATGTGGTCACTGTGCTTACAGGTTTCCTGAGGGACAGCTGAAAAGACCTAACTAATAGTTAAGCTGAATTCCCCAAACGGACAATCCTCAGTCCAAGTCCAGCATCCACAGAGCCTCTGAGTTCTGGCTCTTCCTCTTTCAGCCCAAATCTGCAAAAGCCTAGGAATGTGGTCCATGTGTGGGGCAGGGTCGTGGAAGTCTGGAGGCAGCTCCAAAGAGGGCAACAATGTTCCCCACTGTATACTCAGTACTCAGCCCAGAGCAGGGCAAGGAAGTCTCATCCACAATTACTTGCGAATGAATGAAAGCGGGAATAAAATTAGTGTTTGGGAGAGGCAAAGAGGAAATTCTGTTCACCCTGACTTCCTTATAGATGGGAAGACAAATTACCCTAAGCTCTACCAAGGGCCAAATTAGCAAGGCTGAATAATAATCTATAACCTCTGACCTTCACCTTGATGTCAGTGGTCTAACAGCCAGCCAGACAGTCTGGGAGTCCAGGCTGGGAATGGCAGTAATAATGCTTAGATGGGAGTGTGGAGGCATGCAGAATTGAGGCAGCTGGAAAAAGGAAAAGTAGAGGAATTATGGGCAGCAGTGTTTGATAAAACAGCAGCCTAGATCAAGCCAGCAGTGAACTGACAGCCTGAGAATCACCCATGGTTTAAGGTGCATGTTCAACACCCAGAGTCATATGGGAAGGCTCCCAGAGTGAGTCAGGCTCAATGTTGTGGGCAATAGTTTGGAGTACGATCAGAGCTGATGGCTGGGGGATTTGGGTGCAGGTGGATGGGTTATTGAAAGGCAGAGGCTAACTGGTCTGTCCTGGTCCACCAGGATGAGGCTTGGGTTTAGTGCTTCAGGCCAAGGGGAACAGGGACAGAGAGGGGCTTGTGCAGGAATGGGGTTGGGGTTGGGTTCAGGGCTATGACCAGATTATTCCACATCCTCTATGGAATTAAAGCCACAGACTAGTTCAAAATCCCAGCGTCTTGCAGCAATGAGATTCTTAATAAGTACCTTTCTTTTGCCTGCACTGTCAACCAAACTATGATGGTGGATTGAAGTCCTCGACATTTACAGCTGAGCAGTATTGCAGAAAGCAATGCTTGGTGACATCAACCTTTCAATAAAGCCTTCTCTGACAGGTATTCTCACACTGTGTTCCATCAGCTCTTGGCTCATCCTTCCATGGTGGCTTGTGACATATTTACTGTGATTTGTGTGTGCCTGTGTTGCTCCTGGAGGTAAATATCTTGAGGGCAATGGTCATGCCTAATTCATCTTGCTTTCTCATGGTCATCCACAAGGACAAATGACATAAACTTCATAAACGTTGGCGATCATGATGAGAACATTTTTCAATTCACAAATTGTTCTGGTTTCTTGTCAGCAGCAAAGAAGTATGGATTGTTGTTATTAATTGAGTGTTCTATTGATTTATAAATTTGGGAAATGTTTGTATGTCTCTGTCTGTGCCTTGAGATGGACTTAGCTTATTGGTTGGTTTGTCTGAAGTGGCTATGATTTTATGATAAAAATGTGCAGAATTAAGAGTTACTTGCAAACACAATGAAATTCATTGTTCACTTCTCTAATTTATGTTTCCTTTATTTTGGTACATGCTGTTTCTCAGTTTTTAGGACTTTTTAAAAATAGAATTTTTATATTTAGGGTGGTCTGTTCTCTCATTTCTAGACGTTCCTCTTGGCTAGAAGAGGCCAGAAATATGTAGAAATAACAGCACATTTTAGTTGAGAGTTTTGAAATGTAGAAATTTCAAACTTGTTGAAGTTTTATAGCATTCTGTATTTCTTCAATTAAGGTCTAGAAGGCATTTTTCTCTACGACTGTGCAATTAATGAGAAGGCAAAATGGATGAGTTGAGAAAGTAGAAAGAGAATAGGCATTTACTAGATGGGATGAGTTGAATACTTCCATTCTCACAGGACTTGCTTTGATTCAAAATAAGTCCAACTTAAGTCTGAGGAGGAAAGAAGTACAGGTCTGTCCCTTACCAGATGGATGACTCTGAGCAAAGTATATAATTTCTCCGAGTCCCAGTTTCTTCTTCTATCTGTAAAACAAATGTCCTAAAGTTAAATTGTGAATCTAAACCATGAACAGCCAACATGATACTGAAAGAGAAGGATGTCCAGAGGGCTAATACTGCCTGATTTAAGACTTTAAGAAGTTACAGTAACCTAGACAGTGTGATATTGGTGAAAGAATAGACAAATAGATCAACAAATCAGAAAAGAGAGCCCCAAAATGGACCCAAACAAAAATTCAATTGATCTTTGATAAAGAAGTGAAGGCAACTCAAGGGTGCAAAGATAGTCTTTTCAATAAATGATGTTGGAACAGCTGGACATCCATGTGCAAAATAATAAATCTAGACACAGACCTTACACCCTTTCCAAAATTTATTCCAAATACTTAATAGACCTAAGTGCAAAAATCAAAATTACAACACTTCTAGTATATAATATAGAAAAAATGTAGATGACCTTGGGTGTGACAATGACTCCCTAGATACAACACCATAGGCATGATCCATGGAAGAAGGAATTCAATACGCTGTAGTTCATTAGGATGCACAATTCGCACTCTGAGAAAGACATCGCCAAATGAACAAAAAGATCAGCCACAGACTGTGAGAAGGTATTTGCAAAAGATACATATGACAGAAGACTGGAAAACAATGAAGATAAGCCACAGACTGGAGAAAATATTTGCCAAATACATATCTGATAAAAAGAGCTCGTATCCAAAATATATGAAGGGTTCCTAAAACTTAACAGTAAGAAAACAAACGTCCCAACAAAAAGTGGGGAAAATACATGAACCAACACTTCAGGAGAGAGAATATACAAATGGCAATGAAGCATATCAAAAGATACTCAACATCACATGTTAGGCAATTGAAAATCAAAACTATTATGAGAAACCACTACACATATATTAGAATGGCAAAAATCCAAATAATTAAGAATATTAAATGCTGATGAAGTTGTGGAAGAACAAGGTCTCTCAGTAATCATTGCTTGTGGGAGTACAGAATGGCACAGCCACTTTGGGAGACAATTAGGCAGTTTCTTATAAAACTAAGCATATTCTTAACATATGATCCAGCAATTGTGCTCCTTGATATTTGCCCCAAAGAGTTGACAACTATGACCACAGAAAATCCCTCGCACAGGTGTTTATGGCAGCTTTATTCATAATTGTCAAAATTTGGAAGCAAATAAGTCGTCATTCAGTAGGTGAATGGATAAACTGTGGTATATCCAGACAATGGAATATTATTCAGTTCTAAAACTAAATGAGTCATTAAACAACAAGATGACAAGGAGGGACGTTAAATGCATATCACTAAGTAAAGGAAGCCAATCTGAGAAGGTTACATGCTATATGATTCTAACTACTGACATTCTGGAAAAGGCAAAACTATAGAGACAGTAAACAGATCAGTGGTTGCCATGGGATTAGAGGGGGAAAGAGAGACGGATAGGCAGAACATTGAGGATTTTTTGGGCGGTGAAACCATTCTGTGTGGTACTATAATGGTGTTATAAATGCTGTAACAAATACAACCTATTGGGATTTGAATTGTGAATGTATTAAATTTACAGATCAATTTGAGGTCCATTGACATCTTCTCAATATTAAGTCTTTTAAACCATGACTCTGCTATAGGCCTTTATTTATGTTGGTCTTTTAATTTTTCTCAATAAATTATCTTTAGTGTTTCCCTGATAAATATTTTACATCTCTCATTAGATTTTTTCATAGATATTTGATATTTTAATGCTTCTGTAAATGATGTCTTTATTTAAATCTCATCTTAAATGTTTTGATGGTAGTTAGAAATAGATTTTTCTTCATATTGTTTTTATATCCAGTATCCTGGATATCCTCTTTTTAATTATACTTTACTATAAGAAACACTGGCTTTTTTCCTCTTTTCCAAGGCTTGTAAATTTTTTGTTCTCTCTGTGTTTCATTTCTTTGTTTTCTTTTACCTGCCTTCATGTGTGTTACTTGACTATTACTTAGAATTCTGTTTTGATGTATCTATAAAGTTTTTAACGTATCACTTTAGCGTTTTTAGTGGTTGCTAAAAATATTATATATATGTAACATCATAGTCTACTGGGTCATCATTTGAACAGTTCTATTAATAGTAAAGTACAGAAACTTTACCTCGTTTTATCCTCTCTCCTTAATAATAAAATTATTTAGGTATGTCCTTTAAAAACATTAAAGATATGAGGTAGAATTAGAATTTCTGTTGTTTCAAACATTAAACATGAATTAGAAATGTAAAGGAGAAAACAAAAATGTATTATATTTACTCATTTTTTGCTCCTTTTGTGTTCTTTTATCCTGGTGCTTCTTTTAAAAAAATTATTTTCAGTTTAGAGAACTTTCTTTAGCTATTCTATTAGAATTCTATTAGAATAAGTCTGTTCAAAAGTGTTCTTCATCTGAGAATGATCTAACTACCTTTTCATTTCTGAAGGATATTTTTGTGAAAATAGGATTTTGGGTTGACGATTTTTTGCTTTCAGCACTTAAAAAAGTTTTGTGACTTCCTTCTGGCCTCCCTAATTTCTGATGAGAAAACCACTGTCATTGAACAGTTTTCTCCCTAAAAGAAAGCTTTTCTCCTACCTTTCACTACTTTAAAGACTTTTCATTGTCTTAGTTTTTATGTGTTTGATTAAAATATGTCTTGGCTGCAATATCTTGGGTTTATCCTGTTTGGGGTTCATTCTTTCAAAAATCATCTTCTTTGATCTATAGGATTATGCCTTTTGCCAAATTTAGGAATTTTTTTATCCCTCCACTCCAAATTTGGGACATAGCCATTAGTTTGCCAAATGTCTTGTTAATCTCACTCTTCTTCTCCTCTTTTTTTGAGACTTCAGTGATGCAAATGTTAAACTTTTTACAGAGAGTCTTATGTGACTCTGAGGCTCTGTTTATTTTTATTTTTCTTTGGCCTATATTCTCTCTGTTGTCCAGGCTGAGTAATTTCTGTTGTTCTATCTGCAAGTTCACTAATACTTTCCTCTGTCCTCTCCACTTTTTCTGTTGATCTTGCAATAGTTTAAATGTGGTTCTTTGTGCCCAAAATCATTTTGAAGTTTAATTGCCAATGTAGGTATGCTGGAGGGCGGGGCATGGTGGGAGATATTTGGGTCATGTGGGAGGATTCCTTGTGAATAGATTACTGCCGTTGGGCAGGTGTGAGTATGTTCTTGCTCCCTTGGCAATGAATTAGTTCCCCCAAGAACAGGTTGTTAAAAAGAGTCTGGCTTCCTTGGCTTCTCTCCTTTGCTTCCTCTCTCTCTATTTGATCCCTTCGCATATGTTAGCTCCCCTCTGCTTTCTACCATGAGTTGAAACAACCTGAGACCATCACCAGATGCAGCTGCTCAATCTTGAACATGCCTGCCGCCAGAACTGTGAGCCACATAAAACTCTTTTACGAGTTACTCAGCCTCAGCTATTCTGTTATCACAACACGAAATGAACCAAGATAGATTCCCAACCTCTGAATATTTTATTTCAGCTGTTACATTTCTCACTTCTACAGAATTCATATTTGGTTCTTCTTTACATTTTTGGTTCTTGGCAGAGGCTTTCTATTAGTTTTTGGCATGTTTGTAATAGCTCACAGGTGTTTTCTGATAGCTGCTTTCCACGCTCTTCAGGTTCAGGTTCTTCTAACAATGGCTCATCTCAGCTGTGTTGTCTGTTGGTTGTCTCTTCTCATTTGAGTTGTGATTTTCTTGTTTCTTAATTGGATGAATTATTTTCCATTGAAACCCAGACAATTTGGATATTATATTGTGAGACACTGGATCTCATTTAAATCTTCTCTCATGAATCTTCTGACAGTGCTTTGGTGGGAAACTGGGGACAGCACTGTGTTACTGCCAGGTGGGAGTAGAAATCTGGGCTCCCCACTGAGCCTCTGAGGGCATTCAGCTGGGGGAGGGCACCTTTTCACTGCTGGGTGGGGGTGAAATTTCTGGTTTCTCACTGGGCCTCTGTGGCTCCCACCCTGTGCGGGAAGGACAGGGTGCCTCACTATTGTTCCCATGAGACCTCCACTGACACAGGAAGTAGGGGGTGCCCTGGCAGCCACAGGGCATGGGAAAAGGTCTTGATTCTCCACTATGCCCCTCTGAGGCCACCCCAGAGGGCAAGGGTCACCCCCTTGTTACTACTAGATGTGAATGGAAGTCCTGGCTCCCCAGGTGGCCTCCCAGGGCACAGTGAAGGTGGAGGGTCTCCCACCAGCTGGAAGGGATGCAAGTCTCAGCCCCCTCCCTGGTCTTCTCTGGCACCCCTACTGAGGGTGTCCAGGTTTTCTGTCACAGGTGGAAGTGTGGAGTCCCACTTGGCCTTTGCTTCTATGGTAGAGATGGTGGCCCCAGTTTTCCCATGGTGTTCGGCTAGAGTAGAGCTGTTATTGTCTAAAAGCTTTCTCTCTTGCTAGGCTGCCCCTTTTCTGGTCCTTTTGTTAGAAGGGGAAGCTTTTGATGGGACTCTTGTTGCCTGTGGCTATTGGAGTTTCCAAGTTCCTGACTTCTCCAGCTCCAAGTCTGAGACATAGGAGACAAAAAATAAAACCCCGGGGCCTCATCACCATGTCATTTCCCAGGCCTGGAGATCCTGCGTAGTTCTCTCTTCTCTCCTCCTTTCAGTGTTTTCTCATGTTTCAGCCCATAATACCCAGACATTTGTTTTTTATACTCTAGTGTTAGGAATAGGGAAAAGTGTGTCTGCTCCATCTCTCCAGAACTGAAAGTCCAATGTGATGTTTTTATTGCACATTTTTGTCTTAGCTTAATATACTGCCTAGAACTGGGCTACTTTGTGGGTGAGGGAGTGTGTGTGGGGGGAAAATGGGTGTGTCCATGTGAGAAAGAGGGGGCGGGTGCTTTAGATGATGAGTGTGAGTGTGAGAGGTGACATGTTCAAGGCTTATTAGGGAGGCTTGTGGAAAAGGGGGCTCTGTGTGTGTGAAGTGGTGGGTCTACATATGAGGGGTGTCCAGGGAATAGGCATGGGCTGCATGTTGGGAGGTGTGTGGTGTCAGGAAGTGTGTGGTGTGTGTGTGTGTGTGTGTGTGTGTGTGTGTGTGAGGGATAGCTGTGGACTAGGCTGAGAGAGAATGGTGTGCAGGCCTGAGGCATGTGTATGAAGTATGCGAGAACCTCCCCATGAGGGCTTGTGTGGAAGTATGTATGTGGACATGGGAGGATGGGCAGTGCCCCTATGTGTGTCTAGAAGCAGTGCCCGAGAACACACAAGAAAATACTAGAAGAATAGACAATGGGAGAGAGAAACAGAGAAACAGTGTGAGATGGAGTGGGGTGCAGAATTTAGAGTTTGTGCCTGAGAGATGGTGATGGTGAGCATGTCCTTGCCCTACAGAGGGTGGGACCTATGCACATATATGGGAGTGAACACATGTATACATATTGGATGTGGATGTGACTACACGTGAGTGTGATGCCATCACTTATGTCGGCGTTGGGGGACCATGTGGTGTGTGGGTGTTGGGAGACAGATCTGTTGTGGGAGGGGGACTGGCCATGCACATGTGACTGTGTGGGTGGCTCTGTGTGTCTGGCGACTACACCCCCAGGGTGTGCATGTACACATGTATTATACTATATTGCATGTCACTCACAGGGTTTAGATGCAATCCCACTAATTTTCACTGTGATAATTGTTCCTATGGTGCACCTGGGGGTCAGGGAAGTGCCACTCAGTTTGCAAAGACATATGTTGAGCTATGAGCAAAAATGGCAGGGTCTCTGTTTAGAGGGGTCTAGCTCCTTCTACCTGTCTTCACTATAACTGTCTACATTTGATTAAATTTTTAAAAAGTAGAACCAGATATGTGCAGGAAAATCTCATCTTTCCATCCTAAACCCTTCAGTTCAAATAGTCCCAACATCAACCAACATTTAGTAATTCCAATGGTTTTAAAAAACAAAATTACTAAAACAAAAACAAAGCCCACAGACTGTGCCTCTGGTACTGAACTGTCTTTCTATTTCAGTTCTGCAGAGCTGAAAGAACACAGAGTGACTTGGTGTTTCCATACCATCTTTTCTGTAGTAGGAAACTACATTTGAGACATAAACTGCATGGGGCCGTCTGAGTCGGGCCCCTGCGGGGAAAGGATTAACAGCTTTGGAGACCTGGACCAGAACCAGCCAGAGCCCCTTTCTGACCCTTGGTATAAAACCTTCCTGTTCTTTGGTCTCTCTCATCTTTCTCAGGGGCGGATCCAAAGTGCACTTCAAGCCCCCAAAACTCACCTTCTCCCCTTAACACATGGAAGGGGGCTGGGCTTCTCGGCTCATATAAAAAAACCGAGGTTTGTCAGTGACCAATTCCCTCAAATTCCTACACCTCTTGTACTCACACATTTCTTTCTCCTTTCTTCTTCCCTTCCCTCCTAAATCCCAGAAATGAAGGACATCCTTTCCCCACCCAGGCGGTCCTGAGAGCTATGCTTTTCCAGTCCTTCCTGGCCCATCTGTCTGAACCACCCTCCTCCTCTTAACTCTCACCGGCCTCCTCCCCTTTAAGCATAAATATGCTCACCCCGCCATTCTCAGAGGGCCTCCCTCTAGCCTCTCCTCGGCTTCCATCTAGTCCTGCATCGTCCAGCTCTGTAGCTCTCTCATTGGTGTTGGCTGTCCCCATCCGCAGTCCTCATTGGCTTTAATTCCCTCCCCGCTCAACATGCTCCCTTCCCTGGGTCCCTGTGAAAGCACACTCTGGGCACTGTTCTCAGCAAAAAGAGGACTAGTGGGATGAAAACAATGAGCATCTTACAGAGGAGGAGCCAGAGGTTGGGCAGCAAACATCACATCCAGGTGTGCCCGTTAGGCAGTAATGGCAGGCTGGGCCAGACCCATGGCTCGTATTCAGCCAGGCTTTTCCCATGCTTCTTTGCTGACTTACTTCCTCCTGGAATTGCTCCACAAAGAATCCTCAGGAACCTGTTATCTAATTCCTGCTGAAGAATGGGACCACTCACAACTCACGTGCTGCTTTAGGACAGTGGTTCTCACATCATGGGAGCACGTGGCAATGCGGAGACATTTGTGGCTGCCACAGTTGGGGAGGTGCACAAGGAGGCGGCTACTGGCTTCTAATGGAAGAAACCAGGGATAGTGCTAAACATCTTATAATGCATAGAACAGTTCCCCACCACACAACATGATTTTGAGACCCCAAACATGCAGCTTGAGGAAAACAATAAGAAGAAAGGCATATTTTATGCATTTTTTCTCTTGTCGAGAAATGAAGGGAAGAAAAGGAAGACATAGAGGGAGGGTGAGGTGGAGGAGGGAGGAATGGGGTGAATGAGAAATTGTATTTGCTGGCGGAGATCTAATAGCGGTGGGGCTGGAGAATGAGATCCCTGCCACCTAACCCTCCCATCAAGAGGCCGGCTGTGAAGAAAGACTTCAGAGCAGGCAGGGGGCAGATAGGATCTCAGCTCCTCCGCAGGGTGCTGGGCCCGCTGCCTCCACCACTGGAGTTCACAAACTCTAGAAAGTGCAGAAGCCTTCACTGCAGAATGGAGATGGTGGTAGCACCTCCGCCTGGGGGTTTGAGGCTTAGCCAGGGTGATCAAAGGACAAGGCTGTGTTAAAATTCAGAGCACTATGAACCCATTTGTCAACTTCAGATAGAAGGAAAAGTGGAAAGTTGAAATGGAATCAAGAAGAGGAAGCAAAGAGCAGTTGTGGCCAGTGGAAATGGGTCAGAGGTGGGTTTACGGAAAGGTAAGAGAATGGGGAGAGAGGCAAGACATTGGATAATTAACAGAATTACAAAAGAAGTGGAGCCTTTCATGAGGGAAGGGAGTGAAGGGACGGATGGGAGGGCAGGGCAGTGCAGGACAAGAGGGGGAAATGTAGGGTCAGGAGAGAGGGAGGGAAAGGAAAGCTCAGGCGATGGGAAGGAGGGGCCAGCACGTGTGAGTCAGGGAAAGTTGGCCTGCCAAGGGCCCGGAAATGACATGAGAAATAAGGACACATGTTATCTGGTTTGGACAGAGAGTGATGCCATTAAAGGGGATGCCCAGTGCTGAGACAGACGAACAAAGATAGCTTTGATGAGAGAGGAGCTGGGAAAGGAGCAGGTGGGCAGCTAGAGTGGGAAGGAAGGGGCCTGTGACAGCGATGGCTGTGGGTGGGTGACTGGCAGGGAAAAGGAAGTGAGCTCAGGTTTCCTGGCAAGGAGACATGCTTCCCAGAGGATGAGCTGCCTGAATCAAGCCATTAACAGCTGCCAAGTGATTCCAGCAGACAGTATGCCTCTTTCAATTAGATTTCATATCCATGAGTAATGAGCTGGGTCACATCTTTCCATGCATCAAAAGATGAAGGTTGCTTCATTTTAAGCTGCCCAGTTATATCCTTTCGGAAGGAAATTTCAAACCAAGGAGTTGTCTTCACTTTTTGTTTCTGAAAGGAAAACATCTAGTAACAAATTTTTGCATTTCCCCAAAATCTGGGAGTAAGGGTCGGGGGTGGTGATGGATAAAAACTACACATTGGGTACAGTGTGCACTGCTTAGGTGATGGGTGCAACAAAATCTCAGAAATCACCACTAAAGAACTTATTCATGTGATCAAACACCACCTGTTCCCCAAAAACCTATTGAAATAAAAAATATAAAATTTGAAAAAAAAAATTTTAAATTCTTCAGAAGATTTTCAGAGTTGGAATTCGGAGAAGCTTTAATGTCAGCTGGTTTTGAAATGTCAGATTTACTTACTCTACAGTTGTTCCTGGGCCCACAAAAATAGCAATGTATTTTAACATGTGGGGCTATAGTGGAGGAAATAGTCCCAATGCAGATATTTTCTAGAAAACGGAAGGAACTGAAAGGGGCCAAAGATCAGCCAGTGATAGAAAAGTGTTCTAGAAAGCTTAAATCTATTTCCCCAAGAGTCCAGAATTTAGGAGGCAGTGCTTGGGAAAGCAGTCTTTTCATATACCTGAGAGCCATTTGTATATATTTTTGGAGAGATATCTAGTCACGTTCTTTCTTAATTGGGTCCCATTTATTCAAGTCTCACTCTTTTATGGGCTGTTTGGTCTTTTGTTGCTGTTGTTGCTTTCCTGTTGAATTGCAGGAGTTTCCTTACATATTGTTGATATTAATTCCTTATTAGACATGTGGCTTACAAATATTTTCCACCATTCTATAGATTGCCTTATCACTCTACTAATTATTCTTTGCTGTGTGGAAAGTTTGTAGTTTGATGTAGCCCCGTTTATCTATTTTTGCATTTGTTGTTTGTGCTTTTGGTGCCAGACACATGAAATCATGGCCAAGACCAATGTCGTGAAGCTTTTCCCTATGTTTTCTTCTAGAAGTTTTATAGTTTCAGATCTTACATTTAAGTTTTGCATTTTGAGTTGATTTTTGTCTATCAGGTAAGAGAGGGGTCCAGTTTCCTTCCTTTGCATGTATATATCTAGTTTTCCTAGCGCCATGTTGAAGAGACCATCCTTTCTATGTATTTTTGTCACTGTTGTCAAAGACCAGTTGACCGTATATCCATGAATTTATTTCTGGGATTTCTACTCGGTTCCGTTTCTCTAGATGTCTTTACACCAGTGCCATATATGTTTTGAAATTAGGAAGTGTGATGCCTTCAGCTTTGTTTTTCTTTCTCTAGATTGTTTTGGCTAGTCAGGATCTTTTGTGATTCCATATGAATTTTAGGATTGTTGCATCTATTTCTGTACAAAATCCCATTGGAATTTTGACAAGGATTACATTGAATCTGCATTAAGGAAATGCAAATCAAAATCACAATGAGATACAACTTTATACTTGTTAGGATAACTATTCTTATATATTATATATATTATCATTTTATATAATATACATATATTATATATATTATCATTTTACACAATATACATATATTATATAAATATATATTTATCATTACATTATATATAATATAATATATATAATATAATATATATATATATAATATAATGATAAATGTTAGCAAGAATGTGGAATTGGGACCCATGCATACTTTTGGTGGTAATACAGAATGGTGCAGTCGCTATGAAAAACAGCATGAAAATCCCTCAAAAAGCGAAAAATAGCACTACCATACGATCCATCAATCCCACTTCTGGATATGTATTCACAATAATGGAAATAAACATCTTGAAGAGATATGTGTACTTCCATATTCATGACAGCATTATTCACAACAGCTAAGATGTGGACACAACCTAAGAGTCCACCGATGGAGGAACGGATAAGGAAAATGTGGTACACACACAATGCATTACTATTCAGCCTTAAAATAGAAGGAAATTCTGCCATCTGGATTTGGATAAACGTGGAGGATAAGATGATAAATGAAATAAGCCAGTCATAGAATGACAAATACAGAACATATATGAAGTATCTAAAATAGTAAAACCCAGGAAGCAGAGAGTGGTTGCCAGGGCCTGGACAGATAAGGAAATTTGGAGTTGCTAATCAATGGGTTATAAAATTTCCATTGAGTAAGATGAATAAGTTTTAGAGATCTGCTGTACAACATTTACCTATAGTTAATAATACTATATTGTATACTTAACATTTTGTTGAGAGTAAGCCTCATGTTAAATATTCTTACCACATACAACTTAATGGTCTTAAGTTAGGGGTATGGTATCTAAATAGGAATAACTTAACTAATGTAGAACAGAGTCTAAGCTTGTTTTACAAGTGAGCAATACGGAAACTTGTATTTAGTTGTTATGAAAAGAGAGCTGCTGCTATGTGCATAAATGTCTGATATGTCTGCTGTTATTTGCATAAATATGGGGGAGAGCACATATCCTCTAGGACATTACCTATGGACTACAGAATCATCAACCTACTGAAGCAAATGATGAAACCCATGCATGAAGGATGCCTGGGGAAGTGTATATCCAGAGAGCTGGAGGTAGAAATGGAAGGACCATGGCCTGACTCATTCTAGCCTGACAAGTCGGTCAAGGCTAGCCTAGAATGTTTAGTATATTTTGGTTTTGCAGAATTGTATAAATTAGCTACTACGTGCTGAGTATTTTGCTAGATGCTTAAGAGAT
This sequence comes from Homo sapiens, assembly GCF_000001405.40. Lineage (NCBI taxonomy): Eukaryota > Metazoa > Chordata > Mammalia > Primates > Hominidae > Homo > Homo sapiens. The sequence goes on along the minus strand of NC_000007.14, from coordinate 46,857,221 downwards.
GAAGTGACACAATCCTTGCCGAAGACTTTATGTAGTCCAGTAGAAAAGGTAATACCACTGAGTGTATTAAATGAAGGATGGAAACTCAGAGTGTACCTAAATCTAGAGAAGTGGATCCGCCCTGACCTGCAGGGTCATTTCTGCCTGTCAAAAGAGGCAGTGTCTACTAAATGACTTTGATTGACAGCAAATCTCTGCCAGGCACTCTGTAGTAACCATGTAAGTCAATCCTTACAACATCCCTTTAAGGTGGATATTATGTCCCCCATTTTATCAAAGAGGAAACTCATCTCCAAAAAGTTTAGTGACTTATCCAAGATGATAGGGCTGGGAAGTGGTTTCAGTAAGAACTAGATCAGCCTGGTTTAAGGACCATGCGTCTCCCTCTACATCTTAGCTACCTTAGTCCACAGAAAATCCTGGCAGAAGTTAGGTGGATGTGGAAGTGCTTAGAATGCCAGGGTGCACCTTTGGAGGAGAGAAACAGAAAAATTCAGTCCAAGATTAATATGCTGGCACTGATGGAGAAAAGGCCCTGCAGTAGTAGAAGAGTAGCTATGTCAGAGAAGGACATGGGCATCCAGGATGCCCAAGCTCAGTCCAGTGCAGTAGAGACATGTTAACCAGTTACAAGGAAAACACCCATCATCACTGGCTAAAAGGGTGGGCCTCAGGGGCTGGTTCACCAGAGACACTAGAGCCATGGCTGAGATCAGTACCCACACCCTCCTTATTCCACTCTCCCCCGCGAAAAAAACTGTTAACAAACTGGGGGAACAAATGATACTCAGCTTTGTTTGTTTGCATTGTTCTCTAAATGCCCGATTCATCCAATAAACCAAGAGCCTCTCCAAGGGAAGGAACTATAAATTTAGTAGACTGAATCTGTATTACCTTGCAGAGGTAAAAGGGCTCAGAAGTGGTTCAGTGCATTTTTGTTGAATGCAACGAGGAACCACATCAGAGCAGAAGGATAAGACCACAAGTCATCAGAGTAATGAGTATTGTAACCCTGCCACCCTGCAGTCTCGATTTTTGGAAAGGCTGTTTGTCCTATAAATAGAAATTGGCTTTTCTTGAAGAAGGGTAGACTATTTGTTGACATGGTTCTTTGGAAAGATTTTACATCCACCTCCCGACCAGTGTTCTCTGTAGTCCAGAATAAAGCTGGGAGTATGTGGCTTCCTGAGGCATCTGATGAGGGAAGGAGGGGCCAGAACAAGTGCCCTCGAGGGAACTGCAAAGGGCCAAAGGCGACCAGATGTCCAGGTCTGGGTGAACATTTTGCAAGACCAAGCTTTCTGCCACCACTTTTCAGAGTAGCAGAAAAACCAGTTTTCTTTTGGAATTTTTATATTTTTAGTACTTTTTTCAAGTGAAAATGGAATGGCAACTTTGGTGGGGAAAAAAAAAACATTTTCTCTCCACAGTTTTCTTACTTAGGATTTTTTTTATATATTCTAGAAAAAAAAGAATGAGTTGCAGCATTTCAGAATCTGAAGGAAGTTTCCATTCCAAAGGCTGCAAGTGATTTGCAGATCTATAAGGTTTCATCAGAGAAAAACAGGTTATTTTGCTTATATTCCTAATAGAGAGTTCTAATCCGTCTTTAAAAAGTGTAAAAAGTTAGTAGGAGTAGTAAATATGCTTTTCAAGGCAAAGTAAGCTCTAGTAGTCCCTGGCCCAAATGGGACTAGGGATTTTGACAGAGGAAAACTGGAGATTCAGAGTGGTGAATGCCTTGTCCCAGAGGACTTAGCAAGACAGTGATGGAACTTGCTGGGAGGCAGGTTCCCTACATGCCAGTTCAGGTCTCCCTCTGTGTAAGGCAGATGCATAAGATTTAGCTTCAGTCTTGGGCAATATCTCTTATTCTTTAGTGAAAAATTTGAAGAATGATAAAAATGTGTTTTTCTAAATTATAGGATAGAATTTGCATCATGATCTACAGTTTTTCTGCATTTAAGAGAGAAGGATTTATTTAATAATCCAGTGGATAAGATGATTCATTTTGTGGATACCAGTCAGCTGAATCTTTCCCCAGCCACACTCTCATCTTCCAATGGGCTTATGAACAAAGTGGCCATGGTGGCAGGGATGGAAGTTATGCATGGACTCAGCAACATGGACTTCCACTCACCAAGGCTGACCTGGATATAGTCACTGGTGAGTGTCTAATCTGCCAACAGCAGAGACAAGCACTGCGTCCTCCAGATGGCATCATTTCTGAGAGTGAACAGATGGTAAGAAAAATATGCCACCACTTTGAAAACTTTAATAATTTTTCAAAAGCTTAAGGACACACCTATTATAAAACTTAGTTATTTCATTCCTAAAGAAATCCCAAGAGAAAGAAAAATATGTTATATGTCTGCAAAGGTTTTTACATAAACATTATAAAAGCTCTATTAATAATAGCTAGAAACTGAAAACAACTCAAATATTCATCAAGAAGTGAATGGATAAATTATAGTATATCCATAGAATAGACAACTCTCAGCATTAAAAAGGAACAAACTATTCTTCTTCTTCTTCTTTTTTTTTTTTTTTTTGAGACAGAGTCTCCCTCTGTCACCCAGGCTGGAGTGCAGTGGCACAATCTCGGCTCACTGCAACCTCCACCTCCCGGGTTCAAGCGATTCTCCTGCTTCAGTCTCCTGAGTAGCTGGGACTACAGGTGCGTGTGCCACCATGCCTGGCTAATTTTTTGTTAGCCAGGATGGTCTTGATCTCCTGATCTCATGATCCACCCTCCTCAGCCCCCTACACAACATAGATAAATGTCAAAATCATTATGTGAGTTGAGAGAAACCTGATGCAAAAGAATATGTACTGTATGATTCTACTTATGTAAAATCTACAAAAGGCAAACTAATTTATAGTGACAAAAATTCACAAGTTCAGTGACTGCCTGGGGCCTGGGGCAGAGGGAGAGATGAACTGCAAATCATGACAGAGAATATTCTGGGAATGATTAAAAGATTTGGACGTTTGAATGTAGCAGTAGTTTCACAGAAATATACACTTGCCAAAACTCATACAAGTGTGTACTTTAAATTCATGCATTAAAAAGAACACATAAATTGCACCTTAGAAAAGATAAGGGTCATCTGCGCAATAAGAAAACATAAATTGAGAGTGGCTCAAACATGATGGAATTTAATGTCACAGGGTGATCCAAAGCTGATATGGCAGCTCCACATTGTCTGCAGGGACCTGCGCTACCAGAGCCCTGTCAATATTTTGGCTCACGGTCATTTTTTTGTTCAAGGTACTACTATAACTATTCACGACATGCACGTTCCAGGCTGATGGCAAAAGGAGAGTGAAAGATAAACAGGTTTGTGTCACACCAAGTATACTCTTTGTAATCAGCCTTTCTAGAGGTACATGTGCACATTTGCTTATGTCTTACTGGCGTGATTTTAGTCATACATCAATGCCTACCTGCAAGAAAGACTGGTGATCTGGTAGCAATCTCAGCTGAAAATTGTGATCTATTTTCAGAGAAAGTAAATACTTGGAGTAAAATAGTTTCTGGCCACAGTAAGATTGTGTGGTTAAGAGTTTACTGGCTCTTTCCCAAATTGTGCTGGGAAAAGTGAATATCCACATGCAAAAGAATAAAGTTGGACTTTTATCTCACCCTGTATGTGAAAATTAACTTAAAATAGACCTAAGACTTAAAGGTAAACTTAAAACTCTAAAACTCTTAGGAAAAAAAAAATAGGAGAAACCTTCATGACATTAGATTTGTTAATGATTTCTTGGATTTTTTTGGATGATACAAAAAGCACAGGCAATGAAAGAAAGAAAGATTAAATTATACCTCACCAAAATTAAAATTTTTCATATATCAGTGGGCATTATCAGTAGAATGAAAAGGCAACGCATAAAATGGAAGAAAATATTTTCAAATCATATACCAGATACAGGATTAATATCCAGAACATATAAATAATTTCTACAACTCAACAACACAAACCAGCTTGGTTAAAAAATGGGAAATGGACTTGAATAGATGTTTATTTAAAGAAAATACACAAATGGCAATTAGCACATAAAAGATGCTCGCTATTATGACCAAACAAGGGGCTTATCCTTGATGTGTATCAAAGCTGATCCTATGGCACTGTTTTTTGAGAAAAGCAAAAGCTTTATTGTGAGTCATCCCACAAAAAGACAGGAGACAACACTCACATCTGTCCCTGCCCCCATCTGAGTGGTGGGTTGAGCTTTTATGGCATTTCTAACTAATCCCAGGTGATGGCAATGCAGCCAGTCTGCTGGGACGGTGGTGTTAACAATTAAGTGAAAGCCTTTTCCCATTGTACGAGCCAGGGCTGCATCCATTTGAGCTGGTACTGTGGGTGCAATATCCATAATCATTAGGGAAATATAAATTAAAATCACAAAGAGAAGCTACTTTACACCCATAAGGGTAGCTATTGTCAAAAAGGAAGAAAATAATACATGTTGGAGACGATGTGGAAAAACTGGGATTTTTGTGCATTGCTAGTGGAAATGTAAAATGAGGCAGTGACTGTGGAAAATAGTATTGCGATTCCTCAAAATAGTAGAAATAGAATTACCATACCACGTAGAAATTTCACTTCTGATTATACCCAAAACAATTGAAAGCAGGGTTTCAAAGAGATATTGGTACAGTTCATGTTCTTGGCAGCATTATTCACAATATCTAAAAGATGGAAGCAACCCAAGTGTCCATGGATATATGAACACATAAATAAATTGTGGTGCATTTATACAATAGAATATTCCACACCCTTAAAAGGAAGGAGATTTTGACATTTGTGATATGGACAAACCTTGAGAACATTATGCCAAGTGAAATCACCAGTCGTGAAAGAATAACTACTGTATGATTTGCGTCTATGATGTCCTTAGAGTAGTCAAGTTCATAGAGACAGAAAGTTGAATAGGGGTTGCCAGGAGATGGGGGAAGGGGAATGGGGAGTTAATGTGTAATGGGGACAGCGTATCATTTGGTGAAGATGAAAAGGTTCCAGAGATGGATGGTGCTGATGATTGCACAATGTTGTGAATGGATTTAGTGCCATTGAATGAGACACTTAAAAATGGCTAAAATGGTATATTTTATGTTTTGTAATTTTATGATAATATTTGAATATAAAGAGTTTACTGGCCCCAAGGATAGTTGCTCAAAAGCTGAGTTATCAGCTGGGCATAGTGGATCATGCCTGTAATCCCAGCAATTTGGGAGGCTGAGGCCAGTGGATTACTTGAGGTGAGGAGTTTGAGACCAGCCTGGTCAATAGGTGAAACCCTGTCTTTACTAGATATACATATATTTAAAAAATTAGTCAGGTGTGGTGGTGCACACCTGTAGTTCTAGCTACTCAAGAGGCTGAGATCGGGGGATCTCTTGAATCTGGGAGGCAGAGGTTGCAGTGAGCTGAGATTGCACCACTGCACTCCAGCCTGGGTGACAGATCAAGGAAAAAAAAAAAGCTGAGTTGTTATTATTATCAGAAAACCTGTAGAGGGAATTTCTGTAGTGGGGAAAACAGTCCACTGGAGAACCTATAAACTCCTCTAATCCTGTCTGCTGTGAATGAGTAGAGAGATGAAATACAGGCCCCTCACATTTACCCCCAGACCATATCTTCCCTTGTCCAACATTGCCAGCATTACAGGAAGGAAAGAAAATGAAAAGATTGTCTGATTTTACTATGACAACCTTTCACGAGGTCTGGTCCAGAAGCTTGCACTCTATGGCTGTGTGTTCTCACCTGTGAAAGGAGGATCTGCCTCAGTAAGCTAAGCTTCCTCCCAACCTGACAGTCTACACATACTAGGCCAGAATTTCCTAATATAGACTCTCTTGGACACAAACAGGCTGGATGCTGTTCCTCAGGATGAAGATGGACTGATACCAAGTACAATGGGGAAAGCATAGTTATTGAATTATCTGTAAAGGATCATATTTTATTTTCTGGAGATGGCCACAATGATAGCTTCTTTACCACATTTTTTCTGATGTGGGAATGTGATTCTTCTCGCATGGAATGCTAGGGTTTATGTCACCTCCCTTGAATCTGGGTGGGACTGTGACATGTCTGTAAGCAGTAGAGTGTGGATGACGTGATATTCATGTGTTCTGAAGTCAGGGCAGAAAGCCGCTGATGCCTTGCTCATTGGACACTCCTGCTTGGAGCCCTGAAGGCCCTGCAAGGCATCCAGCTACCCAGAGTCCACCAATATCTGAGGACACAATGCTGTTGGGAAGCCCAGGCATAGGTGCTCCTAGTGACGTTCCTAGTCTCTGACTCCTCCCAGCCCAGATACCACACATGATGAATATTGGAGTCCTCTGATGAATGCAGCCATCAGCCATCGAGTCCCCTCTGAGTCTTGCCCCCAAGTCCTCACTCATCATGAATCATAGGGAAACCGTCTTGCTCTGCTGTGTCTGCGTTTCTAACCCACACATCCATGCATATGACCAAATGGTTGCTGTTGCATGTGACTAAGGTTGGGATTGCTTGCTATGCAGCAATAGTTAACAGAACGTACACACGCACAGAGAAAACTTTCTAAGTCTTAGAGCAAAGAAACATGTTTAACTTTATTTTATAAAGCATATCCTTCAACTACCGATCTCCTTTCTCAGGCAGTCCTTATTAACATTACAGAAAACTATTAGTCTCTAAAACTCATTTTAAAAATAATTTCAGCTTTTATTTTAGATTCAGGGTGTGCGTGTACAGGTTTGTTACATGGGTATCTTGTGTAATGCTGAGGTTTGGAGTATGAATGGTCCTGTCACCCAGGTACTCAATAGTTAGTTTTTCAACCTTTGCTTCCCTCACTCCCTTTCCCCACCAAGAAGTCCCTAGCATCCACTGTTGCCATCTTTATGTCCATATGTATCCAATCTTTAGCTCCACTTTTAATGAGAACATGCACTATTTGGTAAAACTCATTTTAGAAAGTATTACTTCATCTTATGTGACAGAAGCGATTTTTAAAGTGTTGAGCAGGAATCAGAATTTTACACGTATGTTTGTCTACAGGATTCAAACCAGCTGAATGATTTGGGTATTTGGAACAACCTAATTCAGTTGAAGCTGTTGATCTAGGAGCCCAGGATAGGTAAAATTAAGAATTATTACTGGCGAATATTTTGCTTACATTTTGATATTTATATTTTTATGTCTATTTAATTAGGATGGTTTGCAATGTAGTCAGGAATGATAAGTACTGTGCCTTGGTTTCCACAGGTGTGAAATTGGGCTCAGTATAGTTTCTAACTTACAGAACTTTTGTGAGAATTGAATGGGAACAGTATCCAAGCACCTGACACAATGCCTAGTACATAACAGTCACTAAATATGTTACCATTTATTAATAGAATATAAAAAATCCTTTACAGTGAAAATAGTGTTATTAATGAGTACTTATCAGAACAATAGCATTGGCTGGATCACTAAAATCAATATTGTCCCATCAGTGAGTCATCCCATAGAATAGAAAACATAATAGAGAATAGAAAAGAAAAAGGATCAATGCTTTGAGAGACCAAAGCGGGGAGAATCACTTGAACCTAGGAGGCTGAGGCTGCAGTAAGCCATAATTGCACCACTGCACTCCAGCCTGGGTGACAGAGCAAGATCCTGTCTCAAAAAAAGAGGACCAAAAAATGAGGAATACAAAAAAAAGTGAAGCTATGGCATTAGAATTAAAGCAATCCAGATGGAATATGGACTGTAATGAATTTAGCAAGCACCAATGCTGTCAACCTGGGAGAGTGAAGTAAGCAGGAATGTTTAAATTTTTTTAATAATTACTTCTACATAAATGAAGAATGTTGTTGGGGTATAACTATAGCTTCTAGGAGAGTGGTTTTCCCTTCAGTATAAACCAAAGCATCTATGTTTTTGCTTATCCAAAGACTGAATAAATAGGAAGTTTATAATTTCCTTCCAAGAGGTTGTAAACTTCCTTAAGATAAATACAGCAACCAACTGTGTCATCTAATTGCAGGATGTTGTAGGCATGCTAACAGGCCTGAGAGACTCTGCTTAAAAGCAGTTCTCCTTGTGACATGTAGCGTGGGAAACCCCACATTTTTTGGCAATTGTTCACTAAACTTCAATTTGAGGCTCAATAAAGAGTTTTTAAAGATCATTGTACTAACAAATAAGTAGTGTCACATTTGGGGATACATCTGTTCTTAATTATCTTTAACTTGGCCCATAATTCAGAAGGCGCCAAATAGTCCAGGAAAACTTCAAACATTTACCACCTTGGACAACTCCATCTTGTTTTCTAACTATACTGGCGAATGATACCCACAGAGTAGGGCCTGACCATAGAAACACCTTCCCTTCTATGTAAAGTTATCAGATTTGGCAAACAAAAACAGAATTCCCAGTTAAATTTGAATTTCAGATCAAAACCAAATAATTCTTAATATAAATATGTCCCATGCAATATTTAGGACACATATTATTATTTTTTTAATTCTTCAACTGAAATTCAAATTTAACTGAGTGTCCTGTGTTTTATCTAGCAACCCTACATTATGAGTAAGCTGGAATAAAGACTAGGTCAAGCCCAGGTCAGAAATTTAAACCAGGTACAAAGGTTCTGCATGAATATCCATAAGAAAATGGAGGATGATTGTGTAACTGGCAGGACTACCAAGCACCACCCATGAACTGAACAGCTCATGTACCCAAATTGAGAGCTTATTTTTTTTCCTCTCTCTCTCTTATGCATTTGCTTGCTTATGGCAGTCTGGGATGTGTAAGGCAGTGTGAAGTGCAGCAGACCCAGACAGGAAACGAACCATGTGGGTGCTATTCTGTTGGGATGCAGCTTCCCATTGCTGGGTGCCCCTTGTCCAGGCACTGCCTGGATCTCCATATAACCATGCAACAGAAACCAGAGAAGTTCAGGAACTGGGTCTTGGTGACAACAACCAAAGGATTTGTTGAGAATGATAGAATCCACCCTCTGGGAGGATCACAAGGATATATGTTGTTTGCTTTGAACAGTTCATATAAACCTACATGTTTCCAAGACATACCCAATGTATGGGAAGTTGACAAGTTCCATTTCTCCCTCCTCAGAGAAGCTGATGGATGTTCAGCCAGGGGATATTCTCTTTCTAGGTATAGACTCTGCTTGACTCAAGATTTTGCTGATCTGAGCCCCAGGTTGTTCAAGTCCCTAGGCCTTTTGTATCAATAATCTCATGAACAGTCTTTGCTTTTGTACCTGGTGAAAGTTAAAATGTAATTGCTGCATTCAGAACTGTGCAGTGTCTGGTGCATGGGCTTGGGACCCTGCCATTTGAGCTCAGCTCCTGCTCTGCATGTACAAGTTGAACACACTTGTCTTCTCCATTGTCCATTGGTTGTTGTGAAGATTAAGTAATATAACACTTTGTTCTTAGAACAAGTGCTGATACATGGGAAGAGTATATATATATCTCCTATCCCTTGAGCAGGACCCTGGCTACTCTCTGGTCAGACTGCAGTGGCTAGGCAAGGCCATTGCTGTGTGGTTTCTCTCTGAGCTGAGTTCTCCACACTCTCTATGATTTTGCAGGCCACTGGTTCTAAGCATGGTTCCAGAACATACTAACAGTTTTGATTAAGTAGTCTCAGATGGCACCCAGGCCATAGCATGTTTTAAAAACTCTGCAGATAATTCAAATATCCATCAAGGGTGAGAAACATGGGTGTAGAAAACACTTTTGTTTGGGAACAGGATATGCTTGATTTATGCTAAGATGGAAGCAATTTCCCTGTCCTTAATCTGTACCCACACAAACTCCCCCATCATAGACAAATTCTCCACCAGGAGTTGACTCATCTTTTGCCTGCGATTGTCATAGGCCACATAAGTACTCTAAGAGTAAGAATAACTCAACTGAAAACTGTCTTGGGAAGTGATTTGGAGTTAGTACCCTGACAGCCCTGTAAGACATCCCAGAAGACGTTGGTCTAGAAAAGGCACGAATCACAGCATTCTCCACATTTCTGGTTTGGCCTCTTGGAGCAGAGACCCTGTCAGTTGATGTGCAACAACTTGTAGGTATTTAAGCCTTAACTGAAGTAGACCTGTCTGGGGCTTTTTTGTGCTTCTCTCCATCTATCAAGTCCTTTTACTCTCCAAAGAACAGCCCAGATCCAGGGGTGATTCGATATACAATAGGGTAGTTTCTGGATACAGTTTACTTTTACCTGTCTTGGATACCCAAGTTAACCCATTTCAAAGATGGGATAGGGAGCATCAGAGAGGGCAGAATTGCAGCCATGCTCCACTGCACTCCCCAGAATGAGGTCAAGTGCATACTGATGGGGCAGCTTTGCACAAGAAACTTATCAACAGAGACGGGAACCGCTAACTAGTGTCTCATACCTTCCCAGGTTCTGCTTAGATAAAACAGCCCTTTTATAGAAAGGGTTAGGTTTTAACCAATGCCTTATAAGCCACAACAGATGTTCCTCCTAGATGAGTGGCAGAAGGCACCAATCACCTTGAACTATTTCACATGCACAAATTTAGAGCCAATGCAAAGCATGTTTTAAATATTTAAGACAGACCCATCTAAGAAGTTTCAACAGAAACTGTATTAACTAGACAAAACACAAAACCAGAGTTTATAATGGCTTACAAAAAAAAGACCTCTTAAAAACAATTAAACTAATTACATTTGGCTATTTTTAGACCAATCCCACCAAACCAGTATCCAAATCATCAATTTAAAACAATTTGTTTACAACTGTAGTATGTGTGCTCATGGCCTCTGATGCCTGGGGGAGAGAGAGGGGGCAGAGGAAGAGGGAAAGTATCATACAGTTCCTAATTGCAGGGGCGGCGAAGAAAGCCACAGCTGAGGGGGAGGTTTCCAATATGGCCCCTGGACACCATCCACTGTAGATCATGCCAAGATAAGACTAAATGTTTTGCTGTACCTTAAAATTCACAAACACACTTGACATGAAATAGCCCATGTGTTTTCGTGGGAAAATTAGGGTCTTGATCTTTCCATTTCAAAGATGAGAAACTACATGCAGCAAAGAGTCCATTTTTCAAGACTTGTTAGCTCAATTGTATTCAGGTATTTCCTCCTCCTCTTCCTGTCTCAGGGCAAGGTAATACTAGTGAAAGATAGCAAAATATGTCACCTCAAAATATGCCATTTGGGCATAAGGATCATTTAGACCTGAAGGTAATTGAAAAGAAGCAGATATAAGGAGATATTTGCCTAAAAGCAAGACATAAACTTACAAAGCTGTCCTTCCCCTCCTCCCCCAGAAAGGAAAAACATCGACCACCCGAGATGACCTTAGATCCTTATCAGCCTGGAGACACCAGAGGAGCCTACCTCACAGACTTTACTAACTTGTCTATCTACCATGAGTTTCCATATACAGTATCGTCTTCCCACAATTTGCCATCCATGAAGACTCGAGGGGCTTTTCTTTTGCCCTGTCACTTGCCTCAAAAATGCATTGTTCTTTGTTGAAGATGCTGTATAGGTTGGAGTTCAAAGCCACCTCTGTTGTGTGAACCCCTATTAGCCTCAATAGGGAAGGCATCCAGTTCAAGAGGCTAAAGAAGAGACCCAGAGACAGTAAACAAGACGTGGGGTTTTATTAGGAGATTACATACAGGAGAGAGAGTCCAGTGGCAGAGGGCTGGCTAGGAGGACTACCTTATGCACAGAAATGGTCCAAGGGCAGTGGGCTAAACAAGATATCTGCCTTACACACAGTCCAGTGACAGTGGGCCGGACAACATATTGCCTTACATGCAGTCCAGTGGTGGTGGGCTGGACAACATATCCTCCTTACACACAGTCCAGTGGCAGTGGGCTAGACAAGATAACCACATGGCCCAGTGGCAGTGGGCTGGGCAGGAAAACCACAACTGCTTGCAAACAGCATGCAGTTTATGGAGCATTTTCACTTAACACCCTCCCCATAACAACCTCCACCTGGCAACCCTCATTGACCCTAAAACTTACGGCTTCAATCCCCTATATAGCCTGTGTTATGCAAGATGGGTCAGGGGGGCTCGGATGTTTCTCATAGATAAGAAACAAATCTCTGGGTTGGCCATGCCCAGATTTCCTGGCTTGGAACACACATTCAGGTGCATCTATCAGCGTCGTTCTAAGGATGTGCTTAAGTTATTGCTGTCAGTGGCATTTACCCTGCAACCTCACAGAGAGTTTTTTTTTTCCTTAGTTTTCTCCCATGTATATATAAAATACACATGTTAACAAACTTCTGTTCATTTCTCTATTGCTAATCTGTCTTTTGTTAAAGGTGTCCCAGCTTAGAATTTAGAGGGGCAGAGGGAAAATTATATTTTCCTCTCTTCCTGTTTCTGGCATCCTGTGCCAGGTATATTCTGAGTAATCTAAGCCAATGGTTCTCAAGCCTGGATGAGAATAGAATCATCTGGAGAAATACTCAGGCCCACCTGAAACCAAAATGATTCAGAATTGTGGCAGGGCCTGCAAACCACCGGACGCTGGGAGTGAGGCCAGGAACAGAGCCTGCCCCAACATCTGCAGAGGGAGCATGGCCCTGCCAACAGCTTGATCTTGGACTTCCAGCTTCCAGAACTTTGACAATAAATTCACTTTGGGAGGCTGAGGTGGGAGGTCACTTGAGCCCGGGAGTTTGAGACCAGCCTGGGCAACATAGTGAGACCCCCATCTCCACAAAAATTTTAAAAATAGCTGGGAATGGTGGTGTGTTGTGTGCCTGTAATCTCAGCTACTTGGGAGGCTGAGGTGGGACAATAGCTTGAGCCCAGGAATTGAAGGCTGCCATGAGCTGTAATCACACCACTGCACTCCAGCATGGGTGACAAAGTGAGACCCTGTCTTAACAAAATAATAATAATAAATAACAAGAAATTCCTGTAGTTGAAGCCACTCAGTTTGTGGTGTTTTATTGCTACAACTCAAGCAAATTCCTGCAGGTGGGAAGACAGGTCTGCCAGCAGCACCTTAACCTCAGCCTGGCCATCTGGCATCCAGGGCAGAATGGAACCTGGGATTTTAATCCTCAGGGGGCATGAATCTCACTGCTTTGCCCACTGGTGTCTACAGAAAGCCCAGCTGGCAGCTGAGGCTCACAGAAGACAATGAAGGACCTGCCTTTCTCATGGGCTCTTCCAATCACAGCATAGTGTATAGTTTAGAGCTCCAGGAAGGGACAGAGCAGGGCCTGGCAAACTTAGCAACCTCATTGAGTTGTAGTTGGACGTGAGGGCCTGGTCTATTTCCAAGATTCATCTTGTATGCATTTGAAAATTATTTTTGCATTTGTGATAAGACTAATGTCTTTGTGAAAGGTCCTATGTGATAACTTCTCTTTAGAATTAAATTCCAGAAAAAGATTTCCACTTAAGGAATTACCGTATAGCCTTTCATCAGATGGTGACAGTCAGGTGACCCATGGCTTTCCCCTAATGCTTTGGTTAGAAATACCACAGTCAAATTTAACTATTGGTCATAGTAAATTAGTGAATTTATACCTCCCTCTGCCTCTCACGTGACTTTTTTTTTTTTTTTTTTTTTTTTTTTTAGATAGGGTTTTGCTTGGTCACCCAGGCTGGAGTGCAGTGGTGCGATGTCGGCTCACTGCAACCTCCGCCTCCCGGGCTCAAGTGATTCTCCCAACTCAGCTCCCCAAGTAGCTCAGATCACAGGAACATGCCACCACACCTGGCTAATCTGAGTATTTTTTGGTAGAGATGGGGTTTCTCCATGTTGCCCAGACTGGTCTCAAACTCCTGAGCTCAAGCGATCTGCCTGGCTCAGCCTCCTGAAGTGCTGGGATTACAGGCATGAGCCACTGTGCCTGGCCTTTCTCGTGTGACTTTTGCATCACATTCTTATTGAAATGCCTCCATAGTGCTATGTGATTTGTTCAAAAGTACCTGAAATATCATACTTATGCACTATTAACAGTGATTTATTGATCCCCAGTTGGCTTAGACAATTTGGCAAACCTCTGTTTTTCATCCCTTTCATGTCATATCATTTTACGTAGTGATTAGTGATGAGTATAACTATCATAGCAATTATTCGACTCCAATTTTCCTTTTGATAATACACTTGAGAACTTTTGTTGCTCTGGTTGTAACTGTGGTTGCTTTTAAATCTTAGAAGTCTCTGTCATTTATTTATTTATTCATTGTAAATAAAATATAAACTGTGAGTGAATTGTATAACCTGTTGAAAAAATAGACTTGATATCTCCTCAGTTTCCTCTTATTTCAGGTGGTAGATTGACATGGTTTAGGCTAGGCAGAAACTACATGGTTTGGTGATCTGGGAGAATTCTGGGCCTGAAAATGAGTGGAGGTTTGGGACAGAGAAAAAATACAGAAAGTCATTTATGGAAAGAATATGACTGACGGGGAGGCAGGAAATTGATGTGTTTTATTTACCAATTTTGGAAATATTTTTTTAAGCCTGTCTGCCAATTTCTATTGGGGTTGCTGGATGAAGGTCCAGTTCCCTGAAGAAAATAGTGGCATACGTGCTAATTGATGCGTTATCAGTCCTTGACTTTGATAAAAGCCTCAGATGTAACACGTAGAAAAGAGTTGTGTTCTCCCCCCACTTTCATTGACTGTAACTTGGCCCATGGTAATTCACTGGAATGGACAAGCAGGCATGCTGGACATGAGGGGGGTGAGATCCCACCACTGTCGGCACCTGACCGACCTCAACAAAAGCTTTCCAGCCTCAGTTTCAGTTTCCAAATGATTTTCTTTTAGAAAACCATTTCCAAAAGAATGAGATAAAATGCCACACATAAAGCTCTCTGTCCCTGCATGACGCCTGACATTGGCTTCTTTTCTTTCTCCTCTTTTGAGAACAGCGACAGCCTCCGTTCTCACAGAGGAATGAGAAAGTGGGACCAGAATGCAGCAATGGGCCCTACTGAGGCAGGAGAACAGGGTCTGGAGGCAGGGAACCTAAGGCCAATTTATACTGACTTCCTAGAAGTAAATCAAAAGGAAAATCCCAACTTTTCATGCCCAAGTAACAAAAGGACCAGAGACTATGCCCTTTACTACCTTCCTATCCCTCACTTTTCTGTGTGGCCGATGAAAAATTGAAAGTACCTCTAATTAGTCCCCTCCCGCAATCAATCAGACCGGTCTCGGGCCTAGTCTTTATTTGCGTAGGAGTATAACTTCGTAACTTCAGCCTCTGATTAATCCCCTCCCACAACCTATCAGATGTTTGCATAGGGTGTAACTTCATAACTTCACTTCAGCCTCTGATTTGTTGCTTTCTGCAACGAATCAGACTGGTTGCGGGCCACTACTTCATTTACATAGGGTGTAAACCAAGTAACCAATGGAGAACCTCTAGAAGGTATTTAAACACCAGAAAATTCTGTAACAAGGACTCTTGAGCCACTTGCTCAAGCTCCGTCTCTACGGAGTGTACTTTCCTTTCAATAAATCTCTGCTTTTGTTGCTTCATTCGTTTCTTGCTTGCTTTGTGCATTTTGTCCAATTATTTGTTCAAAATGCCAAGAACCTGAATGACTCAAGTCAGGATCCTTCACTGGTAACACTTTTGCTTCATGGGACCTCCATGGTGGAGCCTCCTGGAGGAAATGTGTGCTCTCCTCTGTTTGTAGTGAGTGATATGCGGGACTCCCACCTCTCCAGTTTGTGAGCTCAGCCATGGTGATTACTCAGATTCCAGCTGACCTTGCCCTGGTTTGCTGATGCGGGCTTTTGGAACACTGCAGTATATTCCACCAAACTCTCCTGGGACCCCCAGTTTCTCACATGCCTACTGTCATCCTCAAATGAATTGCTGGCATGCCGGGAACTGTGACTCTAACAATACACACTACCTCATCTGCACTAATTTCATACATCACTTTGGCCAAATTCCCTTCACTAAGGCCTTAGTTTCCCATCACTAAGCAGGGGCAGGGTCTTAACAAAACGCTTACATTCTGTTCCTGGAATGCATTTCATTACCTATCTGTAAACACCAACGTTTGTTGTACAGGTGTTCTTCTATCCCAGGCATGAGAGTGGTTGTGTTGGTATTAAGCTAGCATCAGTCTTAGTTCTCTCATGCCCCAGTGATTGTCCATGTTGAAGTAAAAGCCTGGTCTGGGGGAGCCGCACCCATGAGGTGTGTCCTTAGAATGATTCATCTGGTGCACAGACCTATGCACCATCACTGACAAATGGTAGCCATGAGCATGTACATCAGTCCTAGAAATCATACTCTCTCACTCTCTGCCTCATCAGAGCACAGAGAGCCAGTGTCAGGGCCAGGTGACTTGGGCTGGGACTTCTGTCTCACCAATTCATTAGCTTTGGGCTTTGGGAAAGATCATTGAACTCTTTTGTATCAGTTCTTGCATCTTTATAAAGTGGAAAATGGCACAATAGTACATCATATTTCTGTGAGGAAAGTCAATGATGAGTGTGAATAGTCTCAAAATTTGTAGGCAGGCACTTAGCACTTTGACTCTTCCATGATGTGAAGCTGGGTTTCTGGGTGGGTATTTAATGATGGTAAGATCTAAAACCCATCCCCTATATTTGCATTCTTGCTCTTAAAATAAAATATCAGCTCCTAGTGATTGGCCTGATGTCTATTATGGAATCGGCTCACTGTGGAGGAAGACACTCCAGAAGATCCAGGTTATAATCTCAGCTCTTTCAGTGACTTTTGGAGCAAACTTCCAAAGTGGCTTTCTCTGTCTTGATTATGTTTTCTCACATAGAGTAGGTGGAGAGGTGGAGTGTGGAGGGAGGTAGATCACAGGATATTCTAAGCATTTTTTAAGAGGATTTTTAAAAAGCTTTTTATGATAACAAATTTCACAAAGCAGTGATATTATAAATCTATATGCCCACCACTCATCTTTAAAACCATCAATAACTTGCCATATTTTTTATAGATTAAACTCCCACCTTTCATAACTGGAGGATCATTCAGTTTTGTCTGCATGACCTTCAACATGCGTTTACAAAAACACTAAGGATTTTTTTTTTTAACCATGGAACAACTACCATACCTTATAAATCTAATATAATTTCTGAACGTCACTGAATATCCAGTCTATACTCATGTTTCCCTGAGACTCTCCAAAATGGCTTTTTACAATTGGTGTTCTCAACTCATAGTCCCTTCCTCCTTCCCTCCCTGTCTTGGCATTAACTTCTTAAAGAATCCGGATCAGTTGTTCAGTAAAAGGTCCCACATTCTAAAGTGGTTAATCTCTTTCTCATGATGTCATTTACTTTTTCATTTTCTCCCATTTCCGGTTGCCTGGAACTTATTTTTTCAATGCTAAGATCATTAACTGACTCAGTTATTTCATTTGAGGCTGACGAATCATGATTTCCTAATTTGTTATTTCCTTGTGTATTGTTTAGGTGGAATTCTCCATAGAAAAGCCTTTCCTCATCCTGAAATATAGTTTACATCAGAAAAGGTGGAAAGATGCTTAATCTTTTCTCACTATTTATGGGTATTGTGAGTCCTGATGGCTACCAATGGTGTCCAGTAGGTTATGCCCACTTTCTTTTGTATCATTATGGATTCATGGATTTTTATATATTCAATATATTTTAATAATTTACAGTTATTATTCTTTTTATTGCTCAAATTATTTCATTTTACACACATAAGAGTTCCTTCAAACTTATTCCTTTGTTATTTCTTCACTGTAGGAATCAGTCTCTTCTATTTTTATAGAATTGCACAAAATGTACTCAAAGGCCCTTTCTCCCCAACATTTCTAAACTTAGAAATATGTGTTCTATCTTTTACAAAAATGCAGCTAGATGTTATTTAATTTTGCTAAGTAATTTTGCAAACCCACATATTTTGTATTTTTAAATTGTTCTACGGTCATTGACTTCTGATTTTTTTCTTTAAGTTATTACTTTTTAGATTTTGGATTGAACATTTAACTCACATGTTTCAGTTTTAGTTTTTATTAATACAGGCAATGAATGCAATGTATTTTCCTCTGAATACTGCTGTGTCTGTGTCATGTACGTTATGATTTGCCTTGTTGATAATATGCTTATTTTCTAGCAATGCTGCAGTTTCATTCTATTCATTGTATTTCCTCTTTAACCCAAGAGTTTTTAAATAAAAAGTTCTTATTGTCCAAGTAAAGGGACCTTTGTGCTTCAGCCAGTGTATGCTTGTGTGTATATACATATATGTATGTTATTGATTTCTAGTTGTCTTAGTTTGTGTTCCCTCTAAAGCAGACCCTGAGCAAAGGGATTTGGGTGCAATGCATATATTTGGAAGACGATCCCAAGGAGATACAGTGAGAGACTGTGGATGTGGTGCAGGGATAATGAGTGTGTTATTGCTCCAAGCAACAGAGGCTCAGTTCCACTGGGTACCCTCCGAGAAACTCTGGAAAATGCATCTCAGAAGGGCCCCTTCATTCCCACCCACTGTGGAGTTGAGGAAGTTGCGACATTCATTCACTTCTTTTTACTCCTCATTGGTTGAAGTTTCCTCCTGAGGCACCACAGACTGTTCTCACAGCTGACAGAGGGAGCTCCCTTATTCGCTGGAGGCTTCACGCAGAGAGAAATGTCAAAACCCAGAGTCAGATCAGTCTGAGCACACGTGTCTGCTGGTAACTTTCTGTGGAAACCAGGGGTAAGGGTGAATGTACTCACAGCATCTGCTGCACAAGTTTTATTTCATGTGGTCAGAACATGCTAACTGTATTATTTCATTGTCTTTTCCTTTTAAAAAATATTATTGGCTGGGTGCGGTGGCTCATGCCTGTAATCCCAGCACTTTGGGAGGCCTAGGCAGGAGGATTGCCTGAGCTCAGGAGTTCACGACCAGCCTGGGCAACAAGGTGAAACCCCATCTCTACTAAAAATACAAAAAATTAGCCGGATGTGATGGTGTGCGCCCGTAGTCCCAGCCACTTGGGAGGCTGAGGCAGGAGAAATGCTTGATCCCAGAGACGGAGGTTGCAGTGAGCCGAGATCGCGCCACTGCATTCCAGCCTGAGCAACAGAGTGAGACTCCATCTCAAAAAAAAAAAAAATTATTATTATTAAGGAGTGCTAAATTTTGAAAATGTTACATATAAACTAGAAAAATTATCTGTTATCTGATAATGGATTTTAATAAATATTGATTGGTTAGATCTATATATTAATTTTATAAGGTCTCTTTAATTCATTTTATTTTTTTAGGACTGAGAGAACTGTGTTGAAATCTCCTGTTATTAGTATCTTTTTGCTTGCATAACCTGCAATTTCTACTGTTGCTGTTTTATTAGGTGAATAGATCTCAATAACTTACATTTTCATTGTGGATTATAGTCTTTAGAATTGTTAGTTTCATTCATTGCCTCTCAGTTTTTGAACTTTTCATTTTGCAATAATTATAGATTCACAGGAGTTTGAAAAGATAGTACAAAGAGATCCCACATGCCGTCGGTACATTATGTGTGTGTAGTTCTATATCGTTTTATCACATGTGCAGATGCATGTAACCACCGTCACCACTGAGATAGAACTGTTACAACACCACAAAGACCCTTCCTGCTACCCTTTTAGAATCCCACCACTCCCTCCCCACAACCATCCCTCACCCATGGCAACCAGCCATCTCCCATACCTATACTTTTGCATTTTCAGAATGTTATATAAATGGAATCACATGCCATGGGGACTTTTGAGATTGTCCCCTTTTTTTTCATTCAGCATAATTCCCTTGAGAGCCATAAAAATTATTGCATGTATAAATAGTTCTTTTTTTAATATCTGAGTCTTTTTGAGTAGTATGTGTGTGCTCCAGTTTGTTTAATCATTCACCTATTATAAAACATTTTGCTTGTTCCAGTTTCGGCTATTACAAATAAATCAGCAATTAATAAACATGTTGAGCTATTTATGTGAACACCCATCTTTATTTCTCTAAGTTAAACACCTGGTAGAATATTTATTGGGTGTTTTAGCAAGCACATGTTTAGTTTTGTAAGAATATGCCAAACTATTTTCTAGGGTGGCTTCTCTGCTTCACATTCCTATGAAAAAATCAGAGATCTAATTTCTATGCATCCTTGCTGCCATTTGGCATTGTTGAT
This sequence comes from Homo sapiens, assembly GCF_000001405.40. NCBI lineage: Eukaryota > Metazoa > Chordata > Mammalia > Primates > Hominidae > Homo > Homo sapiens. The sequence goes on along the minus strand of NC_000007.14, from coordinate 46,837,065 downwards.
ATTTTTGAATTTAGCCATTATAATAGATGGATAGTGACATGTCACTGTGGTCTTCATTTGCATTTACATTTCCATAATGGCTACTCACTTTAAATATATTTTAATATACTTATTTACATTTATCCTCTGTGAAATGCTTGTTCATACATTTTACACATTTTCTAAGATGACTGTTTGCTTTTTTATTCTTGAAATATATGGTTTTTGTTTGTTTGTTTGTTTTTTTGAAACGGAGTCTCACTCTGTCGTCCAGGCTGGAGTGCAGTGGCGCGATCTCGGCTCACTGCCAGCTCCACCTCCCGGGTTCACACCATTCTTCTGCCTCAGCCTCCCGAGTAGCTGGGACTACGGGCACTTGCCACCACGCCCGGCTAATTTTTTGTAATTTTAGTAGAGACGGGGTTTCATCATGTTAGCCAGGATGGTCTCGATCTCCTGACCTCGTGATCTGCCCGCCTTGGCCTCCCAAAGTGCTGGGATTACAGGCGCGAGCCACCAGGCCGGCCTAGATTTTCTCAGTTTTTAACCAATATTTTTTCCCTGTCCCAGGATCTCGTCCAGGATGTCACATTGCATTTAGTTGGCATGTCTCCTTAGCTTCTCTTGGCTCAGACTTGTTTTTTATGACCTCGACAATTTTGAGAAGAATTGGCCAGGTCTTTGGTGGAATATTTCCCTATTTGGATTTATTTCATTTTTCTCACAGTTAAATTGGGGATATTGGTTTTGGAAGAAAAATCAAAGAAGTAATGTGCCATTTTCCTTCCATCATATTAAGGGTATACAATAATTAGTTAAACTTCATAGGTTAAGGGTACAATCCTCGATAAACACCACCCACTTCAAACACCATCCTAAAACTTGGGAATCTCCAAGCCACCCTCACTTCTGATCATCTGGCTACAAACTTGGGGTTCTTATTAACCCCTCAAATTCAATAATTCACTAGAAATGCTATATTTACTATTACAGTTTTATTATAAAGGTATCAAATCAGGACCAATGGAAAGACATATAGAAAGGCCTTTGTGAAGGTTCCAAATGTGAAACTCCCGTGTCCTTAGGACAAGGCATCCTCTGTGCACACTAATGTGTATCACCAAAGAGGGAAGCTCCCCACAGCTTCGGCGTGCAGAGTTTTCATTGAGTTTCCTTATCTTGGCATGATAGATGGAATGTGATTGAATTCAGTCTCCAATTTTCCTCCACTCCCCAGAGGTTGAGCTGATATCTTGTGGCTTAAAGCCCTATCACATTGTTTGACTTTCTGAAACAACCAGGCCTCCATATGAAAGCTATCTAGGTCCCACCATGAGTCACTTGATTAGTATATATTCAGATGTGGCTCCCAGAGCCTAGAATGAATAGCAAAGATATTCCTTTAACTCAGGAAATTCCAAAGGTTTGGAAGATTGTCTCTCAGGAACCATAGATAAAGATCAGACAAGTTCATTATTAAATAACAGATACATACTATTAACATGATTAGCATTAACTGTAACTCTTGATATTGACCCGTATTACCTGGCTGAGGTAGGTTTTGTTAGATTTCATTGCTCTGAAGTTACTTTTTAAAAAAATTTTTAGGGAGAGAAAAGACCGTTTACTCACTAGGGAGTTCACAAACAAAGTGGATTTAAAGTTACTCTTTTTTTTCTCTCTCTCTTTTCCACACTGTACTCTTTTGAAATTTCACTCTACACACCCCACACTTAGGGAGTGGGGAGTAATGTTTTAACAGTTTGGTAGGCATCTACATAAATAATGTTTGTTTCTTCTGCATAAGAGATTTTTCTTCTCCCCTACATTTGTTTATTTATTTAATCCTTTATTTATATTAGTATGAACTCATGGATATTTATTTTATACTTTGGGTTATAATCCAATGCTGCTTTATTTATTTCGTGGTCAAATTCCTTCGGTTTTGACCATTGTACGCTCTTTCAGTTGGCATCTGTGTCCCTTGGACGTGCCCTCATCACCGTAGGTTTGTTCTGTGGGTGAGGTAAGAACTTTACTTTCTAGAAATATGAGATGTTTCAGGCTGATCTTGTGTATTTCCCATAAATAAAGAGATCTGTCATTTCTCTGAGAGGCCTTGGTGTCTACTGCTGCAAAATGGTATTAGTAAATAAGATCTGGGTACTTGGTATGCTCATTAGTACAGCAGTATCCTTGCTTCTGGTTCTCTCAGCTGATGGAGCAAGGAAAATCCATGGTATACCAACCTGTGTGTATACATATATAGCTAAAATTTATATATGTGACTATCTGTAGTATATTAAACTAACTATAAGTTTACACTGATGTCCTCAATGCTATTAGTCCATTTCTGCCACCTCCCCCTGCTTATTTGCATACTCCCACTCCAATGGCAAGTAGCCTGGTTCTCTCATCATCTACCATCCATTCCCTTAATCATTCAATTCCAATTTGTGTATAGAAGTATCCAAGCTGCTCACCAGTACCATCATGGGATAAAAATTGTTAACTGGTGCTTATGTACAGTTTCTATTGCCTTTGATATTAGAGATTCCACTTATTTCCAATGTTACTTAGGTCAGCATCTTTTCCCTCCTGCTTCAGTGAAGTTGTTTCATACATTTATAGTGACATTAGATTGCCACAATCTGCATTCTATCCTGAAATCCACTCACCTCCCAAATAGTTTTGTAAATTTACATACAGCCATTGAAATAGGCTGGAGCCTAAGACACAAAGTGACAGGTAGCATTATTTCGTCTGAATGTGCTTACTCTCAGGGGAATTTGTCATAATAAGAGGAACTATTCCATAAGACCCTTAGTCATCTCAACTTTTGATTGCTTGGTCAGTGATGGGAAACTCCAGTCCCAGAACTGCCTGCCTAGTGTCGCAGATTAGCGGGCCAGTGACTGGAGGCACCCCACATGCCTGTGGAAGACAAAATCCATCATTCTCACAAACATTTTCCTTATCAACTGTGACAACAAAGGTCTTTGACTTCTTAGTCTATCTCTGGGAATAAACTTTTTGGATCATGGGGTCTCCATCTCCAGGGTGGATGATGGCAGGCAAAAAAAATGAGAGCTTGTGCAAGCAAACTCCCTTTTATAAAACCATCAGATCTTGTGAGGCTTATTCACTATCACAAGAATAATACGGGAAAGACTTGCCCCCATGATTCCGTTATCACCCACTGGGTCCCTCCCACAACATGTGGGAACTCAAGAGGAGATTTGGGTGGGGACACAGTCAAACCACATCAATGTACATAATTAAAACAGTATTTCTGTTGTTAATCTGTTTTATGTCAATTTAACTGACAAAGCCAAATAAACTAGGAGAGTGGAGGGAAGTCATTTTTTCCCCCTCAATAACTTCTACTCAGACTTGTAAAGTTATATACATTTTGGCAAATGAATTGTGTCGTGTATGCAGAATTATAATATGTACAGAACAGTGTTATCTAAAAATATTAATACATACTATGTTTCAGCTCTTCAACCTTCCATACCTCCATCTTAACTCTTGGAAGCCACTGATTGTTTAGCATTGCTATAGTTATGCTTTTTTCAGAATGTCTTATAATTGGAATCATCCAGATGTAGCATTTCAGGCTGGCTTTTTATCACATAGCAATACATAAAGTTCATTTATAAAATAGAGTTGGATAGCTCATTATGACTTGATAGCTCATTTCTATTTATTGCACAATAATGTTGCATTATATGTATGTATCTCAGTTTCTTTATCCATTTATCTGCTGAAGGATATCTCAGTTGCTTCCAGTTTTCGGTCATTTGAACAAAACTACTATCAACATTCAGATTCAGGTTTTTGTGTGGACATAAGTTTTTAAATCAGCTGACTGACTACCCAGAAGCCCAGTATCTGGATTGTATATGAAGGCAATGTTTAGGTTTGCAAGAAAGTGCCAAACTGTCTTCCAAATTATTGTACCATTTGGATTCCCACCAGCAAAGCATAAGAGCTCTTGTTGATTGGAATCCTTGACAGCATTTGGTACCATGAAATTTTGGATTTTGGTTGTTCTAAACGTTTTGTACTGAGATCTCATTGCCATTTAATTTGCAATTCTCTAATGTCAAATAATGTGACACATCTTTTCATAGGCTTATTTGTCCTCCGTATATCTTTTATAGTGAGATTTTTATTAAAACATTTGCCCATTTTTTAATTAGGTTACTTGTTTTCTCATTGGTGAGTTATAAGGATTCCTTGTAAAGTAGTTCCCCCTTATCTGCAGGAGATACATTCCAAGGTCCCCAGGGGATGCCTGAAACTGCATATAACATACTATTTTTTTCCTATACATCGATACCTATGCTAAAATTTGACTTATAGATTGGGCACAGCAAAATATTAACAACAATAACTAATAATAAAATAGAACAATTATAAAAATTTCCTGTAATAAGTTATGTGAATATGGTCTTTCTCTCACTCTTTCACTCAATATAGCTTATTGTACTGTATGCATCCTTCTTCTACTTGTGATGTTGTGAGATGATAAAATGCCTATGTGATGAGATGAGGTGAGGTAAATTAAGCAGACATTGTGATGTAGCATTGGGCTACTATTGGCCTTTTGACAATACGTCAGAAGGAGGATGATTTGTTTGGGTGATCTTAGATCACCAAGCCATGACAATGTCAATGGTTGGATGTCAGTGTCTGACATCCAACAGAGCAGATGATGCCAGTAACTAACAGGTGGGTGTGTATACATGGTGGATATGCTCGACAAGGGAATGATTCATATCCCAGGTGGGATAAAACAGGAAAAACATGAGATTTTATCATACTATTCAGAATGGTATGCAATTTAAAACTTCTGAATTATTTCTAAAATTTTTTATTTATTGTTTTTGGACTGTGGTTGACTGTGGGTAGGAAAACCATGGAAGGAAAAACCACAGATAAGAAAAACTACTGTATATTTTGGATAAAGTCTTTTATCAGATACATTTTGCAAGTATTTTCTTTCAGTATGTGGCCTGTCTCTTCATTTTCTTAACAGTGACTTTTGCAGAATTGAAGTTTTTAATTTTAATAGAGTACAGCTTACTATTTTTTCCTGAATTATGCTTTCCATGGTTTATCTCAAAAGTTATCTCCAAACCAACAAAGTCACCTAAACATTTTCCTATGTTATCTTATGGAAGGTGTGTGTGTGTGTGTATGAAAGTGTGTAAGAACTATGCATAGGTTTATTTGTTATTTAGTCTGTAGATGTCCAATTGATCAATCATTTTCTGACAGAGGGATACTGAAATTTCCAAATATAATAGTTGTTTGTCTATCTTTACAGTCTTACCAGTTTTTGCCTCATGTTTTTTGACACTATGATACATTTAACAATGTATATACACAGTAAGAATTGTTATATCTTCCTGCAGAATTGACCCCTTTATTATAATATGATGTCCCATTTAACTTCTGACATTTTTTCCTGTTCTACTTTGTTTGAAATTAACATAACTTCAGATTGTTTAAATTAATGTTAAAATGCTAGTTCTAAAATTAGTGTTAATATAACTTTAGCTTTTTTTGATTAGGTCTATCTCCTTCTATCCCCTTACCTTTAATCTGAATTCATATATATATATATATATGTATTTTTAATTTTTATTTTTTATTTCAATAGGTTTTTGGGCAACAGGTGGTGTTTGGTTACATAGATAAGTTCTTTAGTGGTGATTTCTGAGATTTTGGCGCACCCATCACCCAAACAGTGTCACTGTACTCAATGTGTAGTCTTTTATTTCTCACCCCCCTCCCACCCTTTCCTCTGAGTCCTCAAAGTCCATTGTATCAGTATTCTGCCCTTGCATCCTCATAGCCTAGATTCCACTTGAGAGGGAGAATGTACAATGTTTGGTTTTCTGTTCCTGAGTTACTTCGGTTAGAATAATGGTCTCCAATTCCATACAGGTTGCTGCAAATGCCATTATTTTGTTTCCTTTTATGGTTGAGTCTATCTGTCTATCTATCTATCTATCTATCTATCTATCTATCTATCTACCCATCTATGACATTTTCCTTATCTAGTTGTTGATTCATGGGCATTTGGGCTTGCTCCATATTTTTGCAAGTGTGAATTGTGCTGCTGTAAACACGCATGTGCAGCATGATTTTTTTGAGGATTTTTGCATCTATGTTCATCAGGGATATTGATGTGTAGTTTTCTTTTGTTGTTATGTCCTTTCCCGGTTTTGCTGTTAAGGTGATACTGGCTTCATAGAGTGACTTAGGGAGGATTCCATCTTTCTTTATCTCTTGGAATAGTATCAATAGGATTGGTGCCAATTCTTTTTTGAATGATAGAATTCAGCTGTCAATCCAGCTGGTCCCAGATTTTTTGTTGTTGTTGGTAACTTTTTAATTACCATTTTAATCTCACTGTTTGTTATTGGTCTGTTCAGAGTTTTTAATTTCTTCCTGGTTTAATTTAGGAGGGTTGTATATTTCCAGGAATTTATCCATCTTGTCTAAGTTTTCTAGTTTATGGGCATAAAGGTGTTCATGGTAGTCTTGAATAATCTTTTGTATTTCTGTGGTATTGGCTGTAAGATTTCTTGTCTCATTTATAATTGAGCTTATTTGGATCTTCTCTCTTCTTGGTTAATCTCGCTAATGGTCTATCAATTGTATTTATCTTTTCGTAGAACTAGCTTTTGGTTTCACTTATCTTTTGTATTCTTTTTGTTTCAATTTCATTTAGTTCTGCTCTGATCTTGGTTATTTCTTTTCTTCTGCTGGGTTTGGGTTTGTTTGTTCTTGTTTCTCTAGCTCCTTGAGGTGTGACCTTAGATTGTCTATTTGTGCTGTTTCAGACTTTTTGATGTAGCCATTTAGTGCTATAAACTTTCCTCTCAGCACCGCCTTTGCTGTATCTCAGAGGTTTTGATAGATTGTGTCACTAAGATCATTCAGTTCAAAGAATTTTTAAATTTCCATCTTGATTTCATTGTTGACCCAATGATCATTCGGGGGTAGGTTATTTAATTTCCATGAATTTGCATGGTTTTGAGGGTTCCTTTTGAAGTTAATTTCCAATTTTATTCCACAGTGGTCTGAAAGAGTGCTTGATATAATTTTGATTTTCTTAAATTTGTTGAGACATATCTTGTGGCCGATCATATGGTCTGTCTTGGAGAATATTCCATGTGCTGATGAATAGAATGTATATTCTACAGTTGTTGGGTAGAATCTTCTGTAAATACCTGTTACATACATTTGTTCAAGGCTATAGGTCTTTCTGTCTTTATGACCTGTCTAGTGCTGTCAGTGAAGTATAGAAGTTCCCCACTATTATTGTGTTGCTATCTCATTTCTTAGGTCTAATAGTAATTGTTTTATAAATTTAGCAGCTCCAATGTTAGGTGCATATATATTTAGGATTGTGATAGCTTCCTGTTGGACTCCTCCTTTCATCATGATATGATGCTCCTCTTTGTCTTTTTAAACTGCTGTTGCTTTAAAGTTTATTTTTTCTGATATAAGAATAGCTACTCCTGCTTGCTTTTGGTGTCCATTTGCATGAAATATCTTTTTCCACCCCTTTACCTTAAGTTTGTGTGAGTCCTTATGTGTCCAGTGAGTCTCCTAAAGACAACAGATACTTGGTTGGTGAGTTCTTATCCATCCTGCCATTCTGTATCTTTTTAGTGGAGTATTTAGGCCATTTACAGTCAGTGTTAGTATTGAGATATGAGGTACTATTCTATTTATCATGCTATTTGTTGCCTGCATACTTTTCTATTGTGCTGTTGTTTTATAGATCCTGTGAGATTTATATGTTAAGGAGATTCTTTTTTGGTGTATTTCAAAGATTAGTTTCAAGATTTAGAGCTCCTTTTAGCAGTTCTTGTAGTGCTGGCTTGGTAGTGATGAATTCTCTCAGCATTTGTTCATCTGAAAAAAACTATATTTTTTCTTCATTTACATTGCTTAATTTCGCTGGATACAAAATTCTTTGCTGATAATTATTTTGTTTCAGAAGGCTGAAGGTAGGACCCCAATTCCTTCTGGATTGTATGGTTTCTGCTGAGAAATCTGCTGTTAATCTGATAGGTTTTCATTTATAGGTTACCAGATGTGCAAAAGCATCTTAAGATTCTTTCCTTCATCTTGACTTTAGATAACCTGATGACTCCCAGGTGTTGGTTGAGTTTCTTGTTTTTGAATATCCAGATCTCTAACAAGACTGGGGAAGTTTTCTTCAATTATTCCCTTAAATATGTTTTCCAAACTTTTAGATTTCTCTTCTTACTCAGGATCACTAATTATTCTTAGGTTTGGCCATTTAACATAATCCCAAACTTCTTGGAGGCTTTTTTCATTGTTTAAAATGATTTTTGCTTTGTCTTTGTTGGATGAGGTTAATTTGAGTGCCTTGTCTTTGAGCTCTGAAGTTCTTTCTTCTACTTGTTCAGTTCTATTGCTGAGATTTTCCAGTGCATTTTCCATTTCTCTAAGTGTGTCCTTGATTTCCAGACATTGTGATTGCTTTTTATTTATTCTATCTATTTTACTGGAGATTTTTCTACTCATATCCTGTATCATGTTTTTAATTTCTTTAAGCTGGGTTTCAACTTTTTCTAGTGCGTCCTTGAATGGCTTAATAATCGACCTTCCAAATTGTTTTTCTGGCAATTCAGAGATTTTGTATTGGTTTGGATCCATTGCTGGTGAGGTAGTGTGATTTTTACAGGTGGTAAAAAACATCGTTTTGTCCTATTACCACAATTGTTTTTCTGGTTCCTTCTCAATTGGGTGGACTATGTCAGAAGGAAGATCTGGGACTCATGGGCTGCTGTTCAGATTCTTTTTTCCGCAGGGCTGCTCCCTTGATGTGATGCTCTCCCCTTTCCCTTTGGGATGGGGCTTCCTGTGATAATTTCCCTCTGGATGTGGCCACCCAGCAGAGCTACCAGGCTGTGGGCTGGTACAGGGGAGTGTCTGCAAAGGGTCCTGTGATGTGATCCATCTTTAGGTCTCTCTGCAGTGGATACCAGCACCTATTCCAGTGCAGGTAGCAGGAGAGTGGAGTAGACTGACTCTGTGAGGGTCTTGGTTGTATTTTTGTTAAGTGTACTGGTTTTGTGTTCATTGGCCTCCAACCAGGATGCACTTTCAAGAGTGCATCAGGTGTGGTCTTATAGGGAGAATCTGGTGGTGGGTGGGCCCACAGATCTTCCAAGAGTTTATGTCCTTTGTCTTTGGCTATCTGGGCTGGTAGAGAAAGGCCATCAGTTAGGGGCAGGGTTAGGCATGTCTGAGCTCAAATTCCTTGGAAGGGGCTTGCTGTGGCTGCTGTGAGGCATGAGGGTGTGGTTCCAGACCAATGGAGTTATGTTCCCAGGGGGATTACGGCTATTTCTGTTGCATCACACAGGTAGGGAAGTTGGGGGAAAGCAAGCAGCCACAGCCCTCACCTAGCTCCCACGGAGCCTGCAGCCCAAAAGGCTGGTCTCATCCCGACTGTGCCCCCTCAACAGCACCAAGTTTATTTCCAGGTAGCCAATGAGCTGGGCTGGGAACTTGCCCCAGACTACAAGCCTCCTGGCTGAGAAAGCAAGCAGACTCACAGTTATGTGAGTCTCACTGTCCTGCGGAGCCTGCGGTGGCAGTCTACCTCCTTCAAAGGGTCTGTGGATTCTCTCAGCTTTCCTGATACATCCCTGTGGTAGTTCTTGGAGCAATAGTTCATGATATGGATCTCCACATGCTGCTCTGTCCATCCAAGTGGGAGCTGCAAATTAGCCCTGACTCCTATTTGCCATTTTTGGCATAAAACTGAATTCTTATATTTAAAATGGGTGTTTTTGTAGGCCACAAATTGTTGGGTCCTGTCTTTTTTTTAAAAAAAAATAAATTCTCTGACAAATTCCATGTTTCAATTGATATATTTAGATCATTCATATTCAAAGTTATTGATAAAGTTGAATTGTATCTACCTTAGAGTTTTTGTCTCTCTGTATATGTTACTCATCTATATTTAAATTTTATCTGCTTTTTCCATTAAAACCTTTAAAATATAACCATAGCTATTTTTAATTCCCTGTCTGATAACTCTAAAATCTGTATTACATTTGAATTTTTTTGACACTTACATTTTTAATTAGGCTGTCTGTTTTTTTCTTACCTCTTAGTCTGTTTCATAATTTTTTCTTCAAAAGAATTTTCTTGGGCAATCAGAACTGAGGTACGAAGGCTTTTAATGTAAAGTTTTATGTTAATCCGCTAGAAGTTGGGATGTGTTTAATGTTTGCTTCAGCTGTAGTTGTCAGCAGCTTCTAATTCCTCTAGTATCTTTTTTAAAAAATTGCCCTTATCTTCTTTGGGCTTCTCTCAGTACTTCTCACCATGAAGAATAGGTGTCTGGCAGCTGTGATATTCTGTTTTTTATACTGAAACCCTATTATTGGTGTGGTAAAATGTTGAGAAGGGAAACATGCTGTAATGTTATAATTAAATCTTCATGTTTCAGTGAGTCTGTGTCCTTGGGTTGTTACTATAAAAAAATGCTGCTCCTACATCTGCTAGGTGAGATAGGAAGGCTTGAACAGGCTGAAGTTAGGGAAATGCCCTTTTCCCTGATGGGAAACAGTTTTGACAATGTTGTGGATAATGTTCTGGGTATATTTAATAGTAGTTACTTTATTCTATCTCTTTGTCAGAGCCAACTGGGGAGTCTTTCTTGGCTCTTCACTGTTAAATTTATTGGGGTTCCTGGATTCAAAATTCACAAAGGTATGTAGGTGTACCCTAAAACTGCAGCATTTGGAGCTTTTCATTTTCATGCTAAGTCCAAAATCAGTCCCCAGAAATTGGTCAATATTACAATTTTGGTGTTCTTACTAGTTTAGGGTTCCAGTGGCTTCTGCTTCAGGTAAGCTGACCTTAGCTATTACTCTCTGGATTTGTGTATCTCTCCAAATTTCCCCTATGGTTGAAATTCACAAATAGTTTTTTTTTTTTCTTTCTTGGTGTTCCAAAATTTGTTTCATTTTATTTTCCTTTATCTTCAGAGAACTTTGGTCAACCATCTTTTTAATGTAGGTATGCTGATGACAAATTCCTTTTTTTTTTTGAGAATTTCTTGATTCTCTCTTTGTTTTTGCAAAACATTTTCGTGGATATAGAATTCTGGGTTGGCAGATTTTTTCTATTGGTACTCGAAAACTGTTGTGTCCCTTCCTTCTGGCCTTCCTGGTTTCCAATGAGAAATTTGCTGTCATTCAAACATAAATATTGAGGTCTAATTTCCTCCTTCTCTCAACATTTTTTAATTCCCCTTAGTTTTCAGAAGATTATGAGGTGTCTTGCTGTGGATTTCTTGAATTTATCTTATATGTGGTCCACTCATCGTTTTGTATATATATATTTTTTTTTTTAAATTTTTTTTTTTTATTATACTCTAAGTTTTAGGGTACATGTGCACATTGTGCAGGTTAGTTACATATGTATACATGTGCCATGCTGGTGCGCTGCACCCACTAACGTGTCATCTAGCATTAGGTATATCTCCCAATGCTATCCCTCCCCCCTCCCCCGACCCCACCACAGTCCCCAGAGTGTGATATTCCCCTTCCTGTGTCCATGTGATCTCATTGTTCAATTCCCACCTATGAGTGAGAATATGCGGTGTTTGGTTTTTTGTTCTTGCGATAGTTTACTGAGAATGATGGTTTCCAATTTCATCCATGTCCCTACAAAGGACATGAACTCATCATTTTTTATGGCTGCATAGTATTCCATGGTGTATATGTGCCACATTTTCTTAATCCAGTCTATCATTGTTGGACATTTGGCTTGGTTCCAAGTCTTTGCTATTGTGAATAGTGCTGCAATAAACATACGTGTGCATGTGTCTTTATAGCAGCATGATTTATAGTCCTTTGGGTATATACCCAGTAATGGGATGGCTGGGTCAAATGATATTTCTAGTTCTAGATCCCTGAGGAATCGCCACACTGACTTCCACAATGGTTGAACTAGTTTACAGTCCCACCAACAGTGTAAAAGTGTTCCTATTTCTCCACATCCTCTCCAGCACCTGTTGTTTCCTGACTTTTTAATGATTGCCATTCTAACTGGTGTGAGATGATATCTCATAGTGGTTTTGATTTGCATTTCTCTGATGGCCAGTGATGATGAGCATTTCTTCATGTGTTTTTTGGCTGCATAAATGTCTTCTTTTGAGAAGTGTCTGTTCATGTCCTTCGCCCACTTTTTGATGGGGTTGTTTGTTTTTTTCTTGTAAATTTGTTTGAGTTCATTGTAGATTCTGGATATTAGCCCTTTGTCAGATGAGTAGGTTGCGAAAATTTTCTCCCATGTTGTAGGTTGCCTGTTCACTCTGATGGTAGTTTCTTTTGCTGTGCAGAAGCTCTTTAGTTTAATTAGATCCCATTTGTCGATTTTGGCTTTTGTTGCCATTGCTTTTGGTGTTTTGGACATGAAGTCCTTGCCCACGCCTATGTCCTGAATGGTAATGCCTAGGTTTTCTTCTAGGGTTTTTATGGTTTTAGGTCTAACGTTTAAATCTTTAATCCATCTTGAATTGATTTTTGTATAAGGTGTAAGGAAGGGATCCAGTTTCAGCTTTCTACATATGGCTAGCCAGTTTTCCCAGCACCATTTATTAAATAGGGAATCCTTTCCCCATTGCTTGTTTTTCTCAGGTTTGTCAAAGATCAGATAGTTGTAGATATGTGGCATTATTTCTGAGGGCTCTGTTCTGTTCCATTGATCTATATCTCTGTTTTGGTACCAGTACCATGCTGTTTTGGTTACTGTAGCCTTGTAGTATAGTTTGAAGTCAGGTAGTGTGATGCCTCCAGCTTTGTTCTTTTGGCTTAGGATTGACTTGGCGATGCGGGCTCTTTTTTGGTTCCATATGAACTTTAAAGTAGTTTTTTCCAATTCTGTGAAGAAAGTCATTGGTAGCTTGATGGGGATGGCATTGAATCTGTAAATTACCTTGGGCAGTATGGCCATTTTCATGATATTGATTCTTCCTACCCATGAGCATGGAATGTTCTTCCATTTGTTTGTGTCCTCTTTTATTTCCTTGAGCAGTGGTTTGTAGTTCTCCTTGAAGAGGTCCTTCACATCCCTTGTAAGTTGGATTCCTAGGTATTTTATTCTCTTTGAAGCAATTGTGAATGGGAGTTCACTCATGATTTGGCTCTCTGTTTGTCTGTTGTTGGTGTATAAGAATGCTTGTGATTTTTGTACATTGATTTTGTATCCTGAGACTTTGCTGAAGTTGCTTATCAGCTTAAGGAGATTTTGGGCTGAGACGATGGGGTTTTCTGGATAAACAATCATGTCGTCTGCAAACAGGGACAATTTGACTTCCTCTTTTCCTAATTGAATACCCTTTATTTCCTTCTCCTGCCTGATTGCCCTGGCCAGAACTTCCAACACTATGTTGAATAGGAGCGGTGAGAGAGGGCATCCCTGTCTTGTGCCAGTTTTCAAAGGGAATGCTTCCAGTTTTTGCCCATTCAGTATGATATTGGCTGTGGGTTTGTCATAGATAGCTCTTATTATTTTGAAATACGTCCCTTCAATACCTAATTTATTGAGAGTTTTTAGCATGAAGGGTTGTTGAATTTTGTCAAAGGCTTTTTCTGCATCTATTGAGATAATCATGTGGTTTTTGTCTTTGGCTCTGTTTATATGCTGGATTACATTTATTGATTTGCGTATATTGAACCAGCCTTGCATCCCAGGGATGAAGCCCACTTGATCATGGTGGATAAGCTTTTTGATGTGCTGCTGGATTTGGTTTGCCAGTATTTTATTGAGGATTTTTGCATCAATGTTCATCAAGGATATTGGTCTAAAATTCTCTTTTTTGGTTGTGTCTCTGCCCGGCTTTGGTATCAGAATGATGCTGGCCTCATAAAATGAGTTAGGGAGGATTCCCTCTTTTTCTGTTGATTGGAATAGTTTCAGAAGGAATGGTACCAGTTCCTCCTTGTACCTCTGGTAGAATTCGGCTGTGAATCCATCTGGTCCTGGACTCTTTTTGGTTGGTAAACTATTGATTATTGCCACAATTTCAGAGTCTGTTATTGGTCTATTCAGAGATTCAACTTCTTCCTGGTTTAGTCTTGGGAGAGTGTATGTGTCGAGGAATGTATCCATTTCTTCTAGATTTTCTAGTTTATTTGCGTAGAGGTGTTTGTAGTATTCTCTGATGGTAGTTTGTATTTCTGTGGGATCGGTGGTGATATCCCCTTTATCATTTTTTATTGTGTCTATTTGATTCTTCTCTCTTTTTTTCTTTATTAGTCTTGCTAGCGGTCTATCAATTTTGTTGATCCTTTCAAAAAACCAGCTCCTGGATTCATTGATTTTTTGAAGGGTTTTTTGTGTCTCTATTTCCTTCAGTTCTGCTCTGATTTTAGTTATTTCTTGCCTTCTGCTAGCTTTTGAATGTGTTTGCTCTTGCTTTTCTAGTTCTTTTAATTGTGATGTTAGGGTGTCAATTTTGGATCTTTCCTGCTTTCTCTTGTAGGCATTTAGTGCTATAAATTTCCCTCTACACACTGCTTTGAATGCGTCCCAGAGATTCTGGTATGTGGTGTCTTTGTTCTCGTTGGTTTCAAAGAACATCTTTATTTCTGCCTTCATTTCGTTATGTACCCAGTAGTCATTCAGGAGCAGGTTGTTCAGTTTCCATGTAGTTGAGCGGCTTTGAGTGAGATTCTTAATCCTGAGTTCTAGTTTGATTGCACTGTGGTCTGAGAGATAGTTTGTTATAATTTCTGTTCTTTTACATTTGCTGAGGAGAGCTTTATTTCCAACTATGTGGTCAATTTTGGAATAGGTGTGGTGTGGTGCTGAAAAAAATGTATATTCTGTTGATTTGGGGTGGAGAGTTCTGTAGATGTCTATTAGGTCTGCTTGGTGCAGAGCTGAGTTCAATTCCTGGGTATCCTTGTTGACTTTCTGTCTCGTTGATCTGTCTAATGTTGACAGTGGGGTGTTAAAGTCTCCCATTATTAATGTGTGGGAGTCTAAGTCTCTTTGTAGGTCACTGAGGACTTGCCTTATGAAACTGGGTGCTCCTGTATTGGGTGCATAAATATTTAGGATAGTTAGCTCCTCTTGTTGAATTGATCCCTTTACCATTATGTAATGGTCTTCTTTGTCTCTTTTGATCTTTGTTGGTTTAAAGTCTGTTTTATCAGAGACTAGGATTGCAACCCCTGCCTTTTTTTGTTTTCCATTGGCTTGGTAGATCTTCCTCCATCCTTTTATTTTGAGCCTATGTGTGTCTCTGCACGTGAGATGGGTTTCCTGAATACAGCACACTGATGGGTCTTGACTCTTTATCCAACTTGCCAGTCTGTGTCTTTTAATTGCAGAATTTAGTCCATTTATATTTAAAGTTAATATTGTTATGTGTGAATTTGATCCTGTCATTATGATGGTAGCTGGTGATTTTGCTCATTAGTTGATGCAGTTTCTTCCTAGTCTCGATGGTCTTTACATTTTGGCATGATTTTGCAGCGGCTGGTACCGGTTGTTCCTTTCCATGTTTAGCTCTTCCTTCAGGAGCTCTTTTAGGGCAGGCCTGGTGGTGACAAAATCTCTCAGCATTTGCTTGTCTATAAAGTATTTTATTTCTCCTTCACTTATGAAGCTTAGTTTGGCTGGATATGAAATTCTGGGTTGAAAATTCTTTTCTTTAAGAATGTTGAATATTGGCCCCCACTCTCTTCTGGCTTGTAGGGTTTCTGCCGAGAGATCCGCTGTTAGTCTGATGGGCTTTCCTTTGAGGGTAACCCGACCTTTCTCTCTGGCTGCCCTTAACATTTTTTCCTTCATTTCAACTTTGGTGAATCTGACAATTATGTTTTGTATATTTTAATGAGTCTTTTGCTAAATATAGAAACATTTTAGCCATTAGTTCTCAAAAGTTTTTTAGTCATATTCTCTTCTATCTTTTTGGGATTTTGATGACACAAATCTGATGTTACATATTTTGTTATAGTTCCACACTTAGTGGAGACTTTGTTCATTTTTTTCAGTCTATTTTCTCTCTGATATTCACAGTGGGTAACTTCTATTATTGTATTTTCAAGTTCACTATTTCTTTTCTCTGTGCTTTCATTCTAACCACATCTATTGAGTAGTTTATTTTAATTACTATATTTTTTGTTCTTAAATTTCCATTAGTTTTTTCTTTAATAGTCTATTTATTTGCTGAGATATTTTATTTCTGTGTATAGATTTAACATTTTTCCTTTTATTTCAAGGATATTTGTAATTGCTTGTTTGCAGGCGAAGGATTACCCAGGTGCCGAGGCAAGAGACTGGAGGCACAAACTGTTGCAGTATAATAAAGAAAATAGTTAGAATAAAGAATAGTTATAAAACAAATTAGATATAGAGATGATCATGGACAATTATCAATCATTAGTATAAACATTATTAATCATTAGCTTTTAATATGACTCTTTGTTGCATTACTAATATAACCTAGGAATAACTGGCAGGTATAGGGTCCGGTGCTGAAGGGACATTTGTGAGAAGTGACCTAGAAGGCAAAAGGTGAGCCCTCTGTCACTCCTGCATAAGGGCCGCTTGACAGCTCCTTAGTCAAGCGGTAATGCCAGTGCCTGGGAAGGCACCTGTTACTTAGCAGACCGCGAAAGGGAGTCTCCCTTTCCTTGCAGGTAGTCATGTATCTCTCTGCTCCATCAGCTTATTGTGGGAGGCTAGATATTATCCACACCTGCCCACAGTCATCCGGAGGCCTAAACCCCTCCCTGTGGTGCTGTGCTTCAGTAGTCACGCTCCTTGTCCACTTTTATGTTCCTCCTGTACTCCTGGTTCCTCCTTGAAGTTCTTAGTAGACAGCAGTAGAAGAAATAGTGAAAATCTTAAAGTCTTTGATCTTTCTTATAAGTGCATAGAAGAAAATGCTGACGTATGCTGCCTTTCCTCTCTGCTTCGGCTACCTAAAAGGGAAGGGCCCCTTGTCCCATGATCACGTGATTTGCTTGACCTTATCAATCACTTGGACAACTCACCCGCCTTACCCTGCCCCCTTGTCTTGTATTCAATAAATATCAGTGTGCCCAGCCATTTGGGGCCACTACTGGTCTCCGCATCTTGGTGGTAGTGGTCCCCCAGGCCCAGCGTTTTCTCTTTATCTCTTTGTCTTGTGTCTTTATTTCTTGCAGTCTCTCATCTCTGCACACGAAGAGAACACCTGCAAAGCCCCGTAGGGCTGGTCCCTACACTTAAGGAAGCATGTTTTATTATGGGCATTTAAATTTCTTGCTAGATAATTATAAGACCTGTGTCTTCTGAGTTTTGGCATCTGTCAATGTCTGTTCTTATTTAAGTGGTGATTTTCTTGAGTCTTAGTAAAATTAGTGATTGTCAGTTGAAATGTGTATTATGTTTTGAGACTCTTAATTTTTCTTAAACCTTTGATCACAGAAGGTCTCCTCTGACACCATTTTAGTGAATAAAGAGAAACATTATCTTAGTATTTCCAGGTTGAGGTGAAAGTCCAGGTTTGTGACTTGACCTCTGTTGACACCAGTGGGTGAGGGACCCTTCACTACACTTAGCTGGGGTTGGGAGCTCTGGCTTTCCACTAGGTCTGTGCTAATACTACTTTGACTTGAAGGGACAGGAATGATCTTACTAGTCCTGATGTAGCCTCTGGAGGCACTGTGTATGGTGACAAAGTCTTCATCGCCACTAAGCCTCCTCTGATGCCACCCCTGCAGGGAAGGATAGGGGCATCCTCTTACAACTCAGTAGGTATGAAAATTCAGTCTCATAATGGAATCATCACCGACTTGGTGCAGAGAGGAGGAACATTGTGACTGCTGGGCAGTTACGAAATTTCTGGCTTCCACTCTGCCTTCTCTGACACCATCCTAGCAGGGGATAGGATACTTCATTGCATTTGCCTCCCTACCCTAACTTTTCTGGCTAGGATGTGAGTGGGACTGCAGTTTCTTCTGTGGTGTTTGGCTGGAATGGAGAAGTTCTTGTCTAAGTTTTCTGTCTTGTTAGGATGACCTATTGCATCCTTTGGTAAAGAAAGTAGCGTGGCTATTCTTGGGGTTCTTTTGTCTGCCCTTATCGAAATTTTCATTTGCCAGCTTTCCCAGCACCCGATCTGGAATATGTGAGGTAATAAAACTCTCTGCTGTGTTGTTCCTTGGGAAGTCCCTGGCTCATTTGTCTGCCTGCTCTCCACTCTCCAGGGTCTTCCCATGATTGATGTTTATATATATATATATATATATATATATATATATATATATATATATATATATATATATATGGTGCCCAGCTGTACTTCACAGGTAAAATAGGGAAAAATATGTTTAGTCTATGTTTCCAGAGGCAGAAATATACCCTCTTTAATATAAGTATCTAGTTATTTTTACCCTATGTATAAAATGTTTCATATGTGGGGCTTTTCTCCTTTTTTCCCATTTTGGGTTTTTAAAATATATATATATATATATATATATATATATATATATATTTAGGAAGGATTGTGTAGCAGGTTTTGTCAGTTTCTGTACAATTAGATGGCTACTTCTTGCAGGCTCCTGTGACTCTGTTAATAGGGGCTTTCTCTAACTACAGGAACATGCACAGAAAATAGCAGAAGCACTATTGTAGTGATGCCCTCAAGAGCAGCTCTCAGCAAAGAAGGAATGGAAATAGATGGATAAATACTCCAGCTCCCTTACCATTTTTGTAGGTTAACTCTTAGGTATGTTCTACATAATCTACCAAAGATGCCAATTGTGATTAAGCCAAAATTGCCTGCAGGATTAGTATGCTAATTAATGCACCTTATATTGGTGTCTTTCTCTTTCTTATATTACTTTCTCATTCCCATACCAGATCTTCTGGGGTCACCTCCCCCAGAACTACCCTCTCTCCAGTCTTGTCTTACAGTAGTCTATTTTTGAGGCAATTTATGCTAAGACAATTTATAACTCTAAATCAGTGTAGTTATAATATTCATAGTGCTTTTCTTTTGTCATTCTCTATTCTTTTACTAATGTGAGCAATAATGGACTTAGATAGTAAACTTATTTTTATTCGGCCTTCTTCTTCCCTCTTACTAATTTCTTTTAAGTTTAGCTAATACTGTTGAGTTAATCTATGAGCCTATTTGTCTTTCAGTCTACTCTCTGTATTTCACTTTCCTTTTTGTTAATTGTATTTTTTTTGCATTGTCAGCCTATCTAATATTACCCAATATTTTGTAACCCATTTCCTGAAATATTAGTCTTAATTATACAATTAAATATACTCCATCCTCACCCTAGATATTATGGCAAATTTTCCTTAATTATTTTTTCATTCTTGCTCTCTAATAAGTTTTATAGGAAGGGCTCATGGGAAAAATAGTCTCTATTATCCTTTAATTTTTGAACTCATTTGTTTGCAGTCTTTAAGAATTAAAAACTTTTTGCAATATGTTAAATTCCATGGTTATATTTTCTTTCCTTTGACATATTTAACATAATTCTATGTGACTTCTGCTATGCAATGTTGGTATTGAAAGGCTAAAGCTACTCTCTTTCTAGTAGGATAACCTTATAATTTATTGTTCAAAGTAAGACACTTGAGAATGTAAAAGAAGGAGCTGTTACTAATAAAAATAGGACAACAGCTCCCTTTACACACACACACATATTCATTTCAAAATGTTTACTAGACTTTCTCTCCACGTGGACCACACCGCATCAAATTTTGTAGGTACACAATGGACCCTTTCACTAGGTGTCAGCTTGCATTTACAAGTCTTTTATTTCATGAAAATTTTCTTGGACTATAGTTTTAAATGCTTGTTTTTTCCATCACTTTCATGTTCTTCATTGGGGAAGCCAATTATCTGTATGTTAAATGTCCCTTGCCAGTCTTCTATAGCAGAGATAGACAGATATTTTCTGAAAGTATTTTAGGTTTTGCAGGCCATATATTATTTCTTCTTTTTCTTCTGTTTCTCCTTATCTTCCCCTTCTTCTTCATTTTTTCTTTTTTTAATTTTTCTTTTTCCTCTTCCTTTTTCAAACAACTCTTTAAATATGTACAAAATTATTTTATGATTAGTAATTATACAAACACAGGATACAAACTAGAATTGACTCATGATCTGTAGTTTTCTGACATCTATACTTACTAAATTTCTCTGAAAGATTTTAAAAAATTCTCTTTCTTTATTTCTGATACTTTTGTCTCTGGCTTTTTAAAAAAAATTATCTACTTTTTGTACCATGTTTTCCATGGTGTCTTAGCCACCTTGGACTGTGATAACAAATTGCAGTAGGATGTGCGGTTTAAACAACAAATGTTTCTTTCTCACAGTTGTGAGGGTGGAGAAGTCCAAGATCAAGGTGTCAGAAAGGTAGATTTCATTCTACAGCTTCTTTTCTTGGTTGGTAGGTGCCTGCCGTCTTGCTGTATGTTTATATAACTGCCTCTCTGTGAGCTCGTTGAGAGAGAGAACAAGCACAGGCATTCTGGTTTCTCTTTTTATAAGGACAGTAATCTCATCATGGGCACTGTCTCCTCATCATCTCATCTAACCCTAATTTCCTCCCAAAGGCCCTTTCTGGATACTACCACATTGGGAATTAAGGCTTCAACATATGAATTTGCATGGGAATACAAACATTCCGTAACAATTGCCATTCCATAACAATTGGTATTTATTTTCTCTTGAGTTTTTAAAAATTGAACCTTAATTTCTGAATATTTTTCTAGTTCCTTGCTGTGATTCTTTCTCTTTCTATTCATATACTATTGTTTTGATCAGGGATTGGAAAAGTTTTCTGTAAGGGGCCATAAGACCACTATTACAAAGATGAATTCTGCTACTGAAGCACAAAGGCAGCCATAGACAATATGTGAACTTATGGATGTGGTTGTGTCCCATTAAAACTTTATTTACATAGACAGGCAGCCAGCCATAGTTGCTTTTTAAAATATGCCAATTCTTTGTATAAACCTTTGTGTTTCAAAATGGAATCCACAGACAGATAACATCCATATCACCTGGTAGCTTGCTAGAAATACAATATCTCAGGCCTCATCCCAGACTTAGAGAACCAGAACCTGCATTTGCCAAGACCACATTATGATCCCTAGGCACATTAATGTTTACAGAGTGAGGGTCTAGGCATATTATTTCTGAACTTTTTTTTTAAACTATGCTGTTCATTCATCGATTTTTTTTTTCAATTTCTTAATTCATTTTTATTAATTTAAAAATGTCCAGTGTATGTAAGCCATTTCTTTCCATTATCTGTTAGAAGGTATTTTGTTTAATTTTTTTCTTTTTTTCTTTTTTTTTTTTTTAGAAGGAGTGTTGCTTTTGTCACCCAGGCCGGAGTGCAGTGGCATGATCTCGGCTCACTGCAACCTCCGCCTCCTGGGTTTGAGTGATTCTCCTGCCTCAGTCTCCTGAGTAGCTGGGATTACAGGCACCTGCCACCACACCCAGCTAATTTTTTGTAGTTTTAGTAGATATGGGGTTTCACTATGTTGGCCAGGCTGATCTCAAACTCCTAACCTCAGGTGATCTGCCTGCCTTGGCCTTCCAAAGTGCTGGGATTACAGGTGTGAGCCACCATGCTTGGCCTATTTTTTTCTTCTTATAATAAATTTAAATATGTTTTGACTGTAAGCTTATTTTGTTACCCATGCTTAAATGAGACGGATTTTCCTAAACTACCAGGAGAACACTGAGGGGAGGTTGGGATAGGACAGGACTCTTTTCCAGCTTTACAAATCCAGGGCTTCCTCCTCTATTATTACTATGAGGTGCTCGGGTACGTGCACTTTTTTTTTCTCTTTTTCTTTTTTTCTTTCTTTCTTTCTTTCTTTTTTTTTTTTGCCACATCTGTATCTCTCAGGGCTAAGCCTATTTTGGAGTTCACTTCCCTGTAACTTTGCATTGTCCAGATCCCCATGGACCTTGCTTTCCAAGCTGGTGGCATTGGCTGTAAATTCTCTGTTTTGCAAAGTTATTACTTCCAGAGATCTACCTCTTCTGAAACCAGTGTCTGAATAATGTGTCTCTTCTGTACCCACAGTATCTCTGACTTCAGCTCCTGGCAGTATATCTTCAGAGAGTGTTGTGCATTATTTCTGGAATGCCCAAGAGCTTAAGTCGTCGTACTGTTTGATCTTTTCACAGCCCTTTTAAGATTTTTCATGCCCTTACACAAAGTGAGAGCCTCTGGCAACTTCTCCCAGTTCAGTATGTTATTCACACAATCACTTGTCTGTGTACCCAATTATAGAGGAGATGTCATATCCTGGAGTCTGTAGCTTTTGAGGTTAGTTAGCACTTGCCTGTTTCTCTTCCTCCTGCTTCCCCTACACATCTTCTGGTCTTGTGTAAGACTTCCTGCTAGCATGTTTGGTTTGAACTACCATATTCAGGGAACCATATGATTTTGTATTACTAAGTTGTATGCAGTTATTATAGGTGGGTTTTTTCATTTTCTACCTTACTTGTGTATGTATTTTTTATATGTATATGTGTATACATATAAAATGGACTAGTTAGTCTCTAAGTTCTAACCAAGGGGCTGAACATTGCTGTAATGTTGCATTTAGGGAGAATCTGCAGCTCATATGTTATCCTTTTATAGGACCTGCCCCAGGGTGCATTCCCAGAGAGTTCAATTTTCTCCTGGGCACACAGGTAGACACCACTTCATGTTGAGTGTGAGTGGAAGTGACATGGTCATAGATGCTTCAAGGCCTGCAAGAAGCAGCTGTTCATTGTCCATCCTCTTTTCCCAATGACTTGATGTATGCAGATCAAAAAGTTGCCTCAGCCAGTCATGGAATCACAAGATGAATAACAACTCAATCCCTGAATCACGGGTATGCAGGGAAACACCTGTACACCTACAACGTACACCTCGGACTTTCTGTGTCCAAGAAACAAGAATAACTCATTTATAAATCGTCTGATATTTTAGTCAAAAAGTTAGACATTTTGGGATCTATTTGATACAAGTAACGTTATACTAATCAAACATCATGCTTGCAGGCTTTGGGAACTCCCTTGTCTGACATGCCTTAGTTTATGCTCAGGAAAGACAGACCATATTAAATGGGAGCCTAATTTAAGCATAATTAAGATCCTGTGTTCAGGAGTAAAAATCAGGAAAAAAAAACTAACAAAAACTAATAAATCAAACTTTTAATTAGATTAAGAAATGATCACTTTAAAATTATTCCATGTTTGGAATACTCCAGTTCATTCGTGGGTAGTCAGAAAGTGTGTTCATTAGTTGAGGCGTGGTGGAAAATGGTTTTGTTGACATTTCTTCCTGAGGATTATTAAATCCCATGCTAGTCTTACCAGGGGAAAAATCAGGACACCAAGGGAAACATCAGAGTTCTAACAAATATTATTTAATTTTAAACATATCTCAATTTTCAAGTTATAATAGGATGTCTTGGTAGCCAGGCTGGTGGGAAGCTAAGAGAAGAAAACGGCAC
Organism: Homo sapiens; assembly: GCF_000001405.40. NCBI lineage: Eukaryota > Metazoa > Chordata > Mammalia > Primates > Hominidae > Homo > Homo sapiens. Next base: position 46,813,518 of record NC_000007.14, on the reverse strand, counting down.
ACAACAGTTAAGGGTTTACGCTTATGCACTTACTATCAGTGCTTTGCTCAAGTTTCCGAGAAAAACTGAGGAAGCTTCTCCACCACCCTCAGAATGCTGGTTTTACCTTTTCCTTTCTTTTATGCAAGACTTTTTCCTGGGGTTCTCAACTTCCAACTTAAAAACTAACTGTAGTTATGTTCTAGGTTTTGTTTAGCTATTGTATGGTTTTCCTCTTGTTTCTATCAAGTTGCTTTTACGTTTACTCTTCCTGGGCTCTGCTGGTTTCTTGAACAACGACTATCTCTCTGGATGTCTTGCCTGAGCTTCTGTCGAGCCCAGATCAAGCCTCAGAGCCAGTGTCAACAAGGAAAACTGGTTCATAAGCTTTGGATGTGCTATCTTCCTCTGCATGGTCTGCAAGGGGACCATAAGTCCAGGGCCTCCAGGATCACCGAGACCATCTGCATCACAGCCCTGGAAGCTAAGGACCCATTCAGTTCCAGAATGTTCCTTGAAGCTTCTGCTTTCATCAGAAATGTTTCTCTTTGAACATATGCTGATTATTGAATCTGAGTGATCCTGACCCTCCCATTCCCTTGTCTTTTACAGGATCATGAGAATAGGCTGCTGGAAAGAATGGAAAGGCTTCCTCTTCTGAAACTGTGTGTGTGTGTGAGTCCTAGACAGACCCAGCCTAACTAAAAGTCTTCCTTTATCTTTTAAAAAAATATTCTTAACAGTCATATATATATCTATATTATATAATATATAGGTAACATTATTGTCTGTTTCCGTGCCCAGGGTAGTAGCCTTAGTAGTAGTAGTAACAATTATAAAAGTAATTAGCATTTGTTGTGGGCTGATGTGCCACACTCAGAGTTGTTCTTCACATATAAGACAACAAATTTTGCTTTTGAATCCAAAACAAAATAAATGCTTTCAAACTTTAACAATTTAAATTATTTTGCTCTAAGCTTGGTCAAAGCTGAATACGAGAGGCATTCATCATCAGCCTGTCTATGTTATAAAAGTGAAGTCAGTTTCTGGCAGGGAGTGAGGAGTGTTGGAGGGTTATCTCTGACTTGGTCTAAGCGGAAACATTTCTTAACGATATTTTCAGCTTAAGAAGAGATTTAAGCGATTTCCTAGTATCTGATTTTTTTTTCTGACCTAATGTAGTGTCAATACTCTCATGATTCCCTAATTAACTTCACAAAGGCTTGTATTATGTGAGCAGACCAACAGATGTTTCTCAGAAGTGACACCTCCCTCTCCCGTCCTTACAAAGGCGCATGTGCTGTGTGCCTGTGTGAGGACAGGTTATAGAGAGATGCTCACTGCTTGTTACCAGCAGCCAATTTTGGGAACCTGAAAACACTGAAAACTCTCTAAGAGTACCCATTATGCCCACTCCTCCACAGAAGGTGCAACCCGACCAGACAGATCTGCTTTTCCTAGAATGCCTCCGCTGCTCCCCTCTTGGTGCCTGAATGTGGATCTCATTGGAGGGGGGTTTCCAAGGTACCACACCAGTAATTGTTCTGTAGATCTTTTACTGTGAGTAAGCTGCAGTTAACAGTTGCCTCATGACTTTTAATTAGGGTGAAATCGAATGCAGCCCCGATTCCAGACCTTCCCACAATATCACCACCTCTCCATAATAGAGGAAAAAACTGAATGGTACACAGGGCTGCTCAGCCCCTCATACACATGGATTTTCTCCAGCTCCTTGCAGTGATCATCAGCCCTTGGGACCTTGTGGTTTGCCCATCCCTCCGGCTTCCATCTGGGTGATGTCATCCTGCAGTCCCCCACAGCTCTGAGATGCGCTGGATGATGCTATTATTAGCAAGCCTGAGCTCAAGGCCAACTGGCTTGTCTGTTGGCCTCACACTGTCATGAATAGGCTTAATTGCTCACACCCTTTCAGTGGGTTTTTTGAATAGACATTTTTATTAACTTAGCATTCTTCCCAGCTGTCTTGAAGCAAGAAGTGAGGGTGAAGAGCAGTGGGAGGGGTACCCTCAACCTCCTCTCTCCTCAGACAGATAAAAGAGCAAGGTGGGCATGGGGAGGGAGAGCCTCTTACTGGCCACGCTTAATAGGGATGTTTGGCCATCTCTAGGGTGAGAAGCCCTTTTGAGCCCACAGCCCAGTAAACCTGACTTGTCTGAACAGAGGGGACATTGTACCTGAGGTCACCGTGGCCAAACAGCACGATGAGAGGAGGCACTAGGCAGCTTCCTTCCTGGCAACCTTGATTTCAGGGCCACATGGAGTCTCACACTCTAACTCTCACTCTGTGTCTTACTCTTCCTCTAGCCAATTGCTAGAGGAAAGGAGGATTACATGTTCTTGGGAAATTTAGCACATGTTCTTGGTTTTCTGTGGCTGTACACTTATATGATGAATGAAGGGCTGTCTCTTATCTGATCAGTTCTGAACCTTCCAAAAAGGCAGTGATATGAACAGGAGGCAGGGAGATACTGGGTAGACGAAGGCAGTTCCCTGGCAAAGGCCCCACCCTTAAGCCTGGAAACCCGCTGCCCTGTATGGGAAGAGGCGTTTCTGTTTTCATGCCCAATTTTTGCCTTTTGGCCCACCACACTCCCCCATCCTGTAACCATATAAATCCTAAACCCCAGGCTCCACAAGCAGAAAAGCAGAGGAGCAGTAGAGTGACAGAGCCACAGAATGGCACAACAGAGAAGGAGAGAAAAGAAGGAGCGTATGAATATCGACAGGAGTTTGGCTGGAGATGGTTGGAGAGGAGGTTGACCACAGGACAGTCGAACTTCAGGACATGATCATCTTCCTACTCCATCTTCTCTTCAGCTCCCTATCCATCCCACTGAGCGCCACCTCCACCACTCAGTAAAACCCCTGCAGTCACCAACCTTCAAGCCTGTATGTTACCTGATTCTTCCTGAACGCCTGACAAGGATCTGGGTACCAAGAGGACACAGAGCTGGTTCACGCTTAAGCTGTCTGCGGACAGCAGAGCTAAGAGGGTACTGTAACATGCCCACTGTGGCTTCGGGAGTTACAGGCCTCACTCCTAGATGCTACTGTGGGGACAGAACCCAAAAGCGCTCACCAGGTTCCTGCACCTGGTGGTCTGTGTGCTCCCCTTCCGGTAAGGGGTTTAAGTCCATGGCAGTGGATGAACAGACAAACCACACCCCTGTCACATGTCCCGCGAGGGGGTCAGAGAACTCTCCCATTTCAGCAGGAAAAGTCTCCAGGGCCTCTGTTGGGTATCGAGTTTGTAAAAGTCTGTATTTAAAAGCCATTATCCAGTAATCCTTGGAGAAAAGGTGTGTTGTGCTTCTCTCTTGAACTTCACTGGCACTGATGTGGGTTTTTGAAATTCAAACCCTTTCTCTGGCGACATAGATCCATGCTGAGCTGCTCCTTATACTCAGGCTGCTGTTGTCTACAGGCAGGCCAGGAGTTCCTAAGGCCTGGGGCAATCAGGGTGAATTGGGCTCCCTCCAGTTGAGGACAACTTGTAGTGCAACTTTAGGAAGTATGTAGCTCACGGGGATGCATTTTAATTGAAAAACATATTTTTCCCTCCAAAGAGAACCGAGAAAGCTGCTTTCCTTAAGTCAAATAAGACTAAGCTACTTTACTTAAGTCAAAGCTACTTTCCTTAAGTCAAATAAGACTAACTTCTTGACACAGCAAAATGACAATTTATACATTTTAGGAGCCTCATCATGCACAAGAGAAGCCATGAGTCCCAGCAGCAACAGGAAAAGAATAAATTCGGTCAGGTCAGAAGATGTTGGCAATTGAACATGGAAACAAAAGCCTTTTAGCCTGTGTCCCTGAACCCAGGAGCAAGTGCAAAAAGAGAGTGGGTAAAAGCAGCCCTGAGGTTTCAAAGTTAGTTAATATCATTGCATAAGCTTGGGCATATACTATTTAGGATTTCTAGGCCAAACACTTGAAATGTAAATGTTTTCCACAAACGTAGATGGATAAGGAGAAAAGAGAGACACAGGGAGACAGAAGAGTGGAGGTGAGAAGAAAAGGGGAGAGAGGATGAGAGAGGCAGAGGGGAAAGTGGTGAAAGGAAGGGAGAAAGGGAGACTTAAGGTTCTCATTTCACCTAATTCTAGGAAGGCTGGAAATACTGGCTTCTCTCTACTGGGGCAAAGGATGGCTTCTTACCTCCTTCATCTCCAGGGCTCTTTCCTTAGTGTGGCAACTGAAGAATGAGGATGACAGGCTCATAAATGTGGAGAGGAGAGCTTTGTTTCTCTTAAAGGGTTGCAGCCTGCAAGGTTGTCATTCTGACAGGCTGGGAGCATAGCCTCTGGCCAGAAGGGGCAAAGGGAACAGAAATTAATGCTGAATAGGGTGACCAAATATACATATTTAATAAGTCATAGAAGAAGTCATAATTTTTTTTTTAACTTTTAGTTTCAGAGTTACATGGGCAGGTTTGTTACGTAGGTTAATTGCATGTCATGGGGGTTTGGTGTATAGAATATTTTGTTACCCAGGTAATAAGCATAGTACTCAATAGATAGTTTTTGAATCCTCCTCCTCCTCCCCACCCTTCACCCTCAAGTAGGCCCCTGTGTCTATTCCCTTTGTGTTCACACTTATTCAAAGTTTAGCTCCCACTTATAAGTGAGAACATGTATTTAGCTTTTTTGTTCATGTGATAGTTTGCTTAGGATAATGACCTTCAGCTCCATCCATGTTTCTGAAAAAGACATGATCTCATATACACAATGGAATACTATGCAGCCATAAAAAAGAGTCATGAATATTTTTGAGAGGAGGAATGCACAGGCAGTTGCATTTTTACCCTTTCACAGACAGCTTCCATGTACAAAAAATGCTAAATCAGAGGGTGGAATTTTTGGCCCTCTGACATCAAAAGGTGAAGCAGAACATGCAAAAACCCTCACTGTGCATTCTCTGTAGTCTGGTCAGAACCACTCCATGGCTGGTGGTGTCAAATCAGGTAAAAGAGTAGGGGAAGCATCAGGAGACTGGATGATGTCAGCGGTGGAATCTTCTTAAAGGGCTGGTGTCTGTTTAGCCCTTAAGGAAGAAAAGCTAATGGTGGTTAGCGAGGGAGGAGGCATGAGGAGGCCTGTCTGAGCTCAGTTCATGGAGGAGAACTCAGTTTTCAAGGTTACTCTGGGGTCCCACTGGCCAAAAGATGGTCCGTTCAGTTGGTTAGGAGGTTTCGAATTAATTTTACTTCTCAAGTTTTATCCTCAGGCTACTTGAAGAGGTTCACTATGCCCCAAGCCCACCATGGCATTTACAGGGGGTCCTGGTGCGCTGCTTTGCCCAGCTTTTCACCTCTACCAGCGTCCTGCTGGCCAGCATACCCTTTCAGCTCCATTGATTCCTTTGTCCCATTTTCTTCACTTCCAGCCTAGGGTTACGGATTGCTTTTTTCTTTTTTTTCTTATTCTTTTTTTTTTCTTCATTTATCCTTGACTTGAAACACATGCTTTTTGTTTTTAAATCTTTTAAACAGTGAAAGTCTGGCACGATGCTCAAAAATCTTCACTTGATATTGAACTAAGCCTTTACCTGACACCTTGTGTTTCAATTATCTATTGACTTTCTCTTCTCCTCCACTTCACTGAGCATAATTTGAGAGCAGTAGCTAGGCTGTTTTACTAACCTGAGTGTGTCCAATTCCTAGCATAGTTCCTGGTAGTCAGGAAATGTTCAACACGTGCTGTTGTATAAGAGATTGAAGGTTTTATTGTGTGTTCTTGATCCTGAAGTACACATTGGCTTACATTTTAATATATCTGATATAAAGGTACGCTTTACAATTGATGTATGCCTTTTTCATCATCTTTTTTTTGAAAAGCTATTAATGCACTGGTTTCACCTTAAAATCAAATTACAACAATAACACTTGTGTAGATACAGGGTTCTCTGAGAAAATTTGAGTGTCTTATAAATTATGAAAATGTTCCAGAAAATTTGCACTGGTCTGAACACATAACAGATTTATATTAATGATCATGGAATTATTACCTATTCTGACTTTTTAGAAAAAACACCAGAACTCACTTCCACCTGGGACAAATTTCTACAATAATTTGGCACTTATCTAACTGACATAACTGGGTTTTTTGTTGATATAAATAATGGAGTGAATAACATAACTATTACGCACTTACTGTTTTGTTACTGCTTAATTGAATAAAGAGGTTTGCTGATTGTTTTCAAACTGAGTATGGACACTAAATCACCACAGACTTTGCAATTTATAATGGTAAGTGCCCTGAGGTAAATATCCTGCCTGCTGGTGGGCTTGGCATCTGGCAAAAGTGATGATGAAATTGGGAATAATGGGTAGCTGTGAATTGGAAGGCACTGTTATGCATTTGGAAATAAGGAGACGCCAAACCCAAGGAACTTTCTGCAGAATGGCGAGGAACACTCCAGGGAGAACAAGAATAAATGTTCTGGATTGTGTTGGAGTGGTTTGCAGGGTGTGGGATGGAAATGAACCACAGGAAACTATGCAATGAAAAAAAATCAAAACTGGAAGAGGAAGGGAAATAACAACAATAACCACATGAGTAGAACTTGAAATTAGTTCCAATACCCATTCAAAAAGAAATGATGCACATCCAGTTTTCCCGGGGAAAAACAAAGACAACAAAATAACACAGGAGTATTGTTTACCAAGCTGCTAAGGGATATGGAGTAGGGAAGCAATGTATAAAAATTCACAATCCGAGAAAAATTAAACTAGAGCTAACCTAGGCTCCTTGAAAAAATCTGTCTGCCATAGTGCTGAGGGGTGTCACCTACAAAGGACAGAAGGCATGACAATAATAAATCAGAACTTGCCAGAAATACACACCCAGGAGATACTCAAAACTGGAAAAGTAGTGAGGTTTCTAATTTCTATTTTTATGCTATATTTTCTGTTATAGACGTGTCATAGATTTGTGGGGCATCCTCTTAACATTTTGGCAATTTGAAAAACGCCATGCTAAAATGAAAGATAAAAGAAATGATTAAAAAAAAAAACTCTCAAAAACCAGCAATTGATTTGCAAGGTTATTGTCATTCTGCATAATCTTATTTTGACCTTACTATAGAAGGCAACTGTTCCAACCAAAAGAAGAAAAGGTTGCCAGTCCTGACATAGTCAACCACAGATTACAGTAACCAATTTCTTGCCCTGTGATACTCTCAGAAGCCCACCCAGCTTCTCAGGAATTGGCATATGTCCCTAAGAGAAAAAAATAAAAACAAAAACAAACAAACAAAAACTTTATTAACCCTTTGATTTTATCTGTATCTTGATTTGATAGTTCTTCATTCTTATTAGCTTTTCAATACCTTTAAGAATATTTTTAAAAAATATCTTTTCCAACTATTCTCAGTGAAAGGATTTGGTAGAATTAGCTAGTTATGTACACTATTAGGAGAGGAATTTTTATTTTCCTATTTAAATTTATTGAATGTCTACTATGTCCAGTTACTCTTCTAATAGTGAAAAACAACCAACCAAACAAACAAACGAACAAGAAAAGATAAAATACAGCCTTCAAGTAACTTATATTCTAGAGGAAGGTCAGAGAATAACTATCAAAATTAAAATGTGTGGTTTGTAGATGAGATTTCCGCAGTGGTGATGTGAGGAGCTTGGAGAAATCTCTTTCCCAAAGAGACATCTACTAATCTGGCCAAAATTAAAAAGGACAAATATTTAAGGTCTTTGGAGACTATTCAAAGAACTTACATGAAACTGAGAAGCATTTGTTGAACACAATCTCTAAAAACTTGGTAAGAATATGAGAGGCCATGACATTCAGTCTAGCGAGAGCCTCCTTCCCTGCAGCTCTTTGTTATGGAAGAGCTGTTCCAGTAAGCTCAGCAGTTCCTGTCTCCTCAGCTCCCTGGTGTAGAATAAGTGTTCTAGTTGAATTCAGTCACCCATTAACATTGATGGGTTCCATTTTTCCTTGATAGGCAATGCCTATATTGAATGGGAACAGGCAGTTACTATTCCCCTATCTCTAACTCCCATTTGTAAGGTGTAACTGAGTGGCGAACGAATAAAGAGTAAGATCCTCATGTCCTGCATGAAAGCTGCTCCAATGGGCTTGGCAATGGAATGGTAGCTCCTATATACTCCACATTCCTGGCTTTGGGGCTTTGGAGAGCTGTTTTGAGTGGATTCAGTAGCTGGTAAAAATACACAGATCTTATCCCCTCCATCTTTGGGCTGTGGAAGATCGACATTGGATGGTGGTGACAACCAGGTGGTGTCATCCCCTTTCCCCCAACACAGCACCTGCTCCATAGGAAAGATCAAAATAAGGCAGCCAGTGAAGAATAAGTTACTCATTTCCCCAATCCCTTGTTCTAGAATGCACACATTCTGCCCAGGGGAGCATAGGAGCAAGCCACAAAGACTGGTAATACTCTGGCCCCACCAAGGGGCCCACGAAGGAGATCAAAACATGGATAAATCAGCTAGTAATTGGTGAAGACGAATGAGTAGGTGTAATACCAATAAAGGCAGACCACCAATAAGTTTAATAAAGAAATCAAGGGAAGAAACAATAAAAGAGCCCGTCTAGAATCACGGTAATTAATTCCTTTTGCTCAGGATGTGTGTTTATGCCCAAGTGCACCTTCCTCTGAGGAGCAAGTGGAGAGGGACCTTCTGAGTTATAAGTCCCTGGATAAACATGGGTCAAACTCATAATATCCCCAGACAGTGAAAGCAACCTCTAAGCCACACATAAATCCAACAGGCAAAAGTGAAAACCTGACTGGTTTAGGAGGCTTACGCAAAACTTCTGACCAATCAGTGGCTGATCACTAAGTGATTTTGACCCAGGTACAGCCCCTAAGAAGCCAGGTTTAAAGATTAAAAATGAGGAAAAAAATGTTGAGTGGGGACATCAGAGGATGCATACTGCAAGGGAGGTAGGCTTCCCTCAATCCATTCAAGTCAATAAAGAAGAAAACCAATGAGAGAAAGCCCCGGAGTGTAGAGAAAGTTAGTATATAGCATTGCTATAATGTTATTATTTTAATATGACTAAATAAATTTTCATATTATTTAAAGTGTTCAGTTTTAAAAACTAAATTATGAAATATGGAAAGAAACAAGGTGTTACCCATACTCAGGAAAAAAAATACAAGCTACATAAAAAAGCTTTGAGAAGACTCAGTTAGTGTACTTAGCGAAGACTTTGAAGCAGCTATTAAAAATGTTTTAAATTAAAGAAAATTATTTTTGAACAATTAAAGATAAGATAACAATGCCTCAAGTAGAATATAATAATAAAAATATAGAAATTGTAAAAAATGGGCAATGGGAATTTTGGAGTTGAAAAGTAAAATACCCCAATTTAAAAAAATGCAAGCCAGGCGCGGTGGCTCACGCCTGTAATCCCAACACTTTGGGAGGCTGAGGTGGGCGGATCAAAAGTTCAGGAGATTGAGACCCTCCCAGACAACATGGTGAAATCCCAACTCTACTAAAAATACAAAAATTAGCTGGGTGTGGAGGCATGTTCCTGTAATCCCAGTTACTCAGGAGGCTGAGGCAGGAGAATCACTTGAAACAAGGAGTTGGAGGTTGCAGTGAACCGAGATTATGCCACTGCACTCCAGTCTGGTGACAGAGCGAGACTCCATCTCAAAAAAAAAAAAATGCATTAAAGGGTTCCAGCAATATGCTTGGACTGGCAGAAAAAAGGATCAGTGAACTTGAAGATAACTCAATAGAGATTATGCGATCTGAAGAACAGAGAGAAAAAATAATAAAGAACAATGAACAGATTTGGAGAGATATGTCAGGCACTATGTATGCACAAATATACACATAATGATAGTGCCAGAGGAGAAGAGACAGAGAAAGGAGTGGAAAAAATTTGAAAAATCATGGCCACAAATAACCCATATTTGGTGAGAAACAGTAATCTGCACATCCGAGAACTTAGTAAACTTCAAAGAGGGTAAAAACAAAGAGATTCATGAAGATATGTCATAGTCCAAATGTTGAAAAGTAAAAATAGGAGAGAACCTTGAAAGCAAAAAGGAAAAAAAAAAAAAAAGACAGTGTGTACTGTCATGTACAAGGTAATGCCAATATGATTAAGAGTAGATTTCTAATAAGAAACAATGAAGAGTTAAAGGCAATGGATGGCATGTTTAAAATGCTGATGGAGGATAGAAAACCACATTTGTCAATGTAGAATCTTATATCTAGCAAAATTATCTTTCAAAAATGAAAGTAAAGGTATTTCTGGTTTTGGCTTTAACAGGTGAAGTTTTAAATGTTATCAGTCTATTATTATGACAAATAAAATGGAGAACAGAATGAAAATCAATCAATGACATTCTTAGATTTAAGAGAGAATCGAGGTCCCAGCAAACGTCACCACCCAGAAATCTGGAGTGACACACAAATACAGAGAAACATAACTGACACCAGCTTACCAGGAGCAGAAGCCCACAGAGCCATAAACACATAAGTGGTAATTTTGTAAAACAGCTGGAGACTGAGGGTGGACAAACCTGAGTGTGAGAAACTGCTGAGGGCCACAGACAGGGAGCCTTCTCTTTTTTTTTTTTTTTTTTTTTTTTTTTTTGTGGGTTTTATCTCCAGGAGCCATCAGGTTCTCATGGAGAAAGATCCAAGAAAAATCACCTTGTGTCTTTGGCAGAGGCTAGGGAAAAGTAACTCATTTGGAATATGCCCAGCGCCTTCTCCATCACAAAGGCCTAAAGACTTTACCATAACCTTATCTGACATAGGAGGAAGGAAAATTACTCAATTCTAGTAGCATCAATTCTTTCCGTCCCACTTAAGAAGTGGGGCTGGAGAAGGGCAGTGAATGTAGGAAACATTTATGAAAATCCCTCTCCAGGAACACAGGACCACTAAGAGCCTGAGATTTATTCACAGGATTATACAGTGTGTCCTCTGCTCCATACTATGTTGTCATACATCATCAGGGTTTCAGTACAATAGCATTGAATTAAAGCTGAAGAAGCTGCCAATACCCAGAGCCTATTTAAAAAGGAGTTCTCAGGAAAACATTTAGACAACAAGAGAGACAAAAACAAAGACACTGGGGAAAACTAAAGCCTCTGGCACCCAGGGCCACAGCAAACATTAAACACAGCCGAACTCCTAGCCAGATTAACATAAAACCTCACACTAAAGGCCAATTTACTTCATTACCTATCACACAATATATCATTTTCAGGGTTCAAGATGATTACAAGACATGTAAAAAGCAGGAAAAAATGCAGTGAAAAAGACAAAACAAGCATTAGTACCATATTGAGATATGGCACAGATTTAGGGATTATCAGACGGAGAATTTAAAATAACTGCAAAAGTATAATAAGGGTTCTAGTGGAAAAATGAGATAACGACAAGAATGGATGAATAGTTAATAAAAGCGGAGGGATGGAAGCTCAAAGAAAGGCTCAAAGGAAGTGATAGAAGCAAAAAAAAAAAAAACCCACTGTACATAAATGAAAAATGTCTTTGGTTTCCAGCTTCATCATTCTCAGCAAACTATCGCAAGGACAAAAAAACCAAACACCGCATGTTCTCACTCATAGGTGGGAATTAAACAATGAGAACACATGGACACAGGAAGGGGAACATCATACACCGGGGCCTGTTGTGGGGTGGGAGGAGGGGGGAGGGATAGCATTAGGAGATATACCTATTGTTAAATGAAGAGTTAATGGGTGCAGCACACCAACATGGCACATGTATACATATGTAACCGACCTGCACGTTGTGCACATGTACCCTAAAACTTAAAGTATAATAAAAAAAGTCTTTGATGGGCTCATCAGTAGACTGAGCATAGGTAAAGAAAGAATCAGCAACCTTAAAGAGATGTGAATAGAAACTTCCCAAACCAAAATACAAAGAGAAAAAACAGAAAAATTAAGAGCAATGGAACAATTTAATCAGTGAACATATATGTAATTACAATAAAGAGAAGCAAAAGAGAATAAAGCAGAATAAATATTTGGCACAATAATGGCTGACAACTTTCCAAATTTAATGTCAGATACTAAACCACAGATTTAAGAAGTTCACTAAACACCAACCGAAATAAACACCTAAAATATCAATACCTATTATATTCCAAATTGGAAAAACCAAAGACAATATGAACATTTTGAAAGAAGTCAGGTAAAAAATACAGTAAAACATTTACAGTACTGAAAGAAAAAAAAGTCCTCTATGAAGAAAATTTTTCTTCAAAGCGAAAGAGAAATGATAATTTTTCTGACAAACTGAGACAATTCATCATCAGCACAACTACCATGCAAAAAAAAAAATTAAGTTCAACAGAAAGAAGGAAATAATATAGGTCAGAAGCTCAAGTATACAAAAAGAAAGGAAAAGCACCAGAGATAGTATAAATAACATAATAAAATCTTCTATATTTCTTTATCAGAATTAATATAATAGATTCCGATATCTGTTATTGGATAAGTGACACCAAAGACAACTATTTTATCAGGAATAGGAGGGAAGGATTGAGAATATTCTGTTAAAACAAACCTGAATTACCCATATTGTTTCATTTGAAAGTGTATTTGGATTACTCGTAAATGCATATTGCAAACTCTAAAGAAACCACTAAAAAAGAAAGTATAGTTGATCTGATAAGAGGGAAGATGGAATTACATAAAATAATTAAAACCAAATTAAGGAGAAAAAAACAAAGAATAAAAGCAATGAATAGAAAACGGTTTCAAATATGGCATATATATTTCCAACTATCTGAATACTTTTTAAAATATAAATGTTCTAAAAGCACCATTTAAAAGAGAATGACAGAGTAGATTAAAAACTATGTGTGGGCCGGGCACGGTGGCTCACGCCTGTAATCCCAGCACTCTGGGAGGCCGAGGCGGGCGGGCGGATCACGAGGTCAGGAGATCGAGACCATCCTGGCTAACACGGTGAAACCCCATCTCTACTTAAAATACAAAAAAAAAATTAGCTGGGCGTGGTGGCGAGCACCCATAGTCCCAGCTACTCGGGAGGCTGAGCCAGGAGAATGGCGTGGCGTGAACCCGGGAGGCGGAGCTTGCAGTGAGCGGAGATCGCGCCACTGCACTCCAGCCTGGGCGACAGTGCTAGACTCCCTCTCAAAAAAAAAAAAAAAAAAAAGAAAAACAAAAAACAAAAAAACTATGTGTTGTGCACCAAATATTTACTTGAAATATAAAGGCATTGATATACTAAAAGTAAAAGAGAGGAAAAGAAAATACAGTCCTAACAAGTAGCTATATTAATTTCAGGCAAAGCAGACTCAAAACAAGGAAAATTATCAGGTATAAAGAGGGACATTATATAATGATAAGGAGCCAAATTCTCCAAGAAGTCATAATAATTTTAAATGTATAAGCAACTAGGACAAAGCATCAGAATACATGAGGAGAAAAGTTGACAAAACTGCAAAGAGAAATAGACAAAGTCACCATTTACAGTTGAAGACATCTCAAGAGTAAATAACACCATGGAATACTATGCAGCCATAAAAAATGATGAGTTAATGTCCTTTGTAGGGACATGAATGAAATTGGAAATCATCATTCTCAGTAAACTATTGCAAGAACAAAAAACCAAACACCGCATATTCTCACTTATAGGCGGGAATTGAACAATGAGAACACATGGACACAGGAAGGGGAAGATCACACTCTGGGGACTGTTGTGGGGTGGGGGGAGGGGGGAGGGATAGCTTTAGGAGATATACCTAATGCTAAATGACGAGTTAATGGGTGCAGCACACCAGCATGGCACATGTATACATATGTAACTAACCTGCACATTGTGCACATGTACCCCAAAACTTAAAGTATAATAAAAAAAAAAGAGTAAATAACAGATCATGTAGACTAGAAAGTCGGAACGGATAAATTTGACCTGAAGAGCACTATTGATCAACTTGATCTAGTTGGTATTTATAGGATGCTCGACCCAACAACAGCAGAATACATATTCCTCTCAGACTCACATGGAACACTCACCAAGGTAGACAACATCCTGATCAATAAAACACAACTAGACAAATTTAAAATAATAGAAATCCTGCAATGTGTACTCTCAGACCACAATAGATTTAGATTAGATATAAATCACATAAAGACAGCTGGAATTTCTTCAAGTATTCAAAGATTAAACAGCACACTTCTAAATAATATGTGTCAAAGAAAAAGTCTGAAGAGATATTACACATGATCTTTGATTTAATGAAAATAAAAGTATAACCTATCAAAATTTTGTGATGCAACAAAAACAGTGATTAGAAATGTATAGCGTTAAATGTATATATTTAAAGAATGTAAAAGCCATAATCTAAGATTCTCCTTAAAAAGTAGAGAAAGAGAAGAAATTTAAGCCTAAAACAAGCAGAGGAAAAGAAATAATAAAATTTAGAGCAGGAATCAATGAGATTGAAAACAAGAAAACAATAGAGAAAATCATCATAATCAAAAGTTGGTCTTTCAAAAAAGATTGATAAAATTGATAAACTACTATCCAGGCTAACCAAGATCAAAAGAAAGAAGACTAAAATTACCAATGTCAGAAATAAGAGAAGGATGCTTCCTGCAGATCAGCTAGATATTAAAAAAAAGTAAAGGATTGATGGGTACAACACTGTTTCCCAAAATTTGGCAACTGATATAAAATGAAGACACAAGCTAACAACACTAACACAAGTATAAATAGATAATCCAAATAATCTAAATCTATTAAACAAATTAAATTAATAAATACTAGCCCTCTGAAAAAATAAAGCTACATTGTTTCACTGGTGAGGCCTACCAAATATTTAAGGGAGAAAAACTAAACAAAACAAATCCTCTCAATATCTTTCACAAAATTGAAGCAGAAAAACTGCTTTCTAATTCTTTGAAGCCAGCATTATTCCATCCTAACACAAAAAATAGATAAAGACATTATGAGAAAGAAAAACTGCACTGCAGACCAATATCTTTTTTGAACACAAATTTAATAATCATCAACAAATTACTGGCAAATTGAATCCAGCAATGTTTAAAAGAATTATTCAACACAATCATCTGGAATTTATTTCAGGTATACGAGTCTTCTTTAAACATCAGATATGAATTAATTTAATCCACCACATGAACAACCTGAAGAAACAAACATTATGATCTTATCAATTGACATGGATAGAAGTATTTGACTAAATTCAACATGTATTCATTAAAAAAAAATCAGCAAGCTAAGAATAGAGAACTTCCTCAACGTAGGAAGAACATGTCCAAGGAAACTGCACTTAACATCATACTTGATGGTGATAAACTGGATGCTTTTCTCTTAAGATCGGGACAAAGGCAATTTATATGGTTTGGCTTTGTGTTCCCACCCAAATCTCATGTAGAATTGTAATCCCTAATGTTAGGGGAGGGACCTGGTAGGAGGTGATTAGATCATGGGGGCGGATTTCCCCCTGGCTGTTGTTGTGATAGTGAGTGAGTCCTCATGAGATCTGGTTGTTTGAAAATGTGTAGCACTTCCCCCGTCATTCTCTCTTGCCCTCTCTCTCCTGCCCCACCATGGTAAGACTTACTTTCTTCCTCTTCACTTTCCACCATGCTTCTAAGTTTTCTGAGGCCTCCCCAGCTGTGCCTCCTGTACAGCCTGTGGAACTGTGAGTCAATTAAACCTCTTTTATCCATAAATTACCCAGTCTCAGGTATGTTGTTTCAGTAGTGTGAGAACGGACTAATACAGCAATGATGTTCCTTCTTACCATTCCTATTCAACATGGAAGCCATAGCTAGTGAAATAAGACAAGAAAAGGAAAATATAAAATGTGGACAGATAGGGCATGATTGTTTATGCAGCAAATCCCAGACTTAAGAAAAATACTCCTAGAACAAATAAACCTGTTATAAGATCAAATATTAACACTGAAAGTCAATTGCTTTTCTATATACCAACAACAAATAATTCAAATTAAAGAGTAAAAACATAATAGCATTTACATTAGCAGCAAGGATATAAAATATTTGGCTATAAATCTAACAAAATATACACAGCATCTGTATAGAGGATGCCACATAATTCTGGTGAAAGAAAACAAGAAAGATCTAAATAAATGGAAACATTCTATGTTCACAGAGTGAAAGAATCAATATTGTTAAGATGTCAATTATTTCCAACTTGATTTATAGATCATTAGCAATCTCTATCAAAATCTCAGTAAGCTATGTTGTAGATATTGAAAAAGTTGTTTCAAAGTTTATCTGAAAAGGGAAAAGACTCAGAATAGCCAATACAATATTGCAGGAAAAAAAATTGAAGGATTGACACTACACAACTTCAAGACTTGTTGCAAAGACACAGTAATCAAGATACCATGGTATTAGAAAAGAATACACACACAGGATACTGCAACATAATAGAGAACCCTGAAATGTGTCAACAAAAATATGTTCACCTGGTCTTGACAAAGCAGCAAACGCAATTCAATGGAAAGTAGGCTGTTTTTTCCACAAATGTTGCTGAAAACACTGGACTTGTCTATGCCAAAAAGAAAATAAATAAAATAAGCTTAAACATAGGATTTGCAACTTTCACACAAACTATCTTAAAATGGATCATCACCTTAATGTAAAAATGCAAAGTAAAAATCTAAAAGGAAACAGGATAAAATTCATGTAACCTTGAACTCGGTGATGAGGTTTTAGATACAACACAAAAAGCATAATTTATGAAAGGAAAGGAAAAAAAGATTAGTCAGACTTTGTTAAAATTAAAAACATCTACTCTGCAAAATAAACTATTAAAATAATGAAAAGATATAGCACATATTAGAAAATAATCTTTGCAAAACATAAGCCTAGTAAAGGACTGATATCTAAAATATACAAATCACTCTTAAAACTAAAATAATAAGACAAAATACAATCCAATTTAAATGGGCAAAATAGTGCAGAGACTGCACCAAATAAGATACACAGATGGCAAATATGCATATGAAAAGATGCCCCAATTTATCCTTGGACAATTGCAAGTTAAGACAACAGTTAGATGTGAGTACATACCTATTAGAAGGGCTAAAAAACTGACATTATCAGTTGCTGGTGAGGCTGTTGTTCTATGAAAATTGTTATTCATACTGGTTAGTGGGAATGCAAAATGGTACATCTACATTGGAAAACAGTTTGGGAATTGCTTACAAAGCTAATTATTACTATATCATATCATTCATATATTGTTTTCCTAGATATTTACTGAACTGATTTGAAAACTTATGTCCACATAAAAACTTCATGTGAATACTTATTGCAAGTTTATTAATAATTAACAGAAAGTGGTAATAACCAAAATGTCCTTTAATAAGTGAATAAATTAAAAAAACTATGGTGCATCCATATAGTGGACTATTATTGCATGATAAAAAGAAATGGACTATCAATATATGAAACACCATGGATGAAACTTAAGTGTATTTATATGTAAAAAAAAAAAGTCAAAAAGGCTAAATAGCATATTCTTCCAATTATATAACAGACTGGAAAAAGCTAAACTACAGCAACAATAAAAATTCAGTGGTCTCTGGGGCTTCAGGGTTGAATAGGTGAAATACAGGGCATTTTTTGGGATGGTAAATCTATTCTGTATAATACTCTAATGGTGGATACATGACACTGCAATTGTCAGAACTCATAGAACTTCAGAGCCTGAAGAATAAAATGTATTAAATAGAAATTTTAAAAAAATTAGAGGTCAATAGATCCCCAAATTGAATGCAAACTGTGAGAAAACAATCTAACTCTATTTTAAATGTATAAAATAATCTTATTGAATGGGTGAAGGGAAAAAGTTCTGATCTAAGTAACTGTAAAAATGAGTAAAGATTGTAAGATGAAAGACAACTAGAGTGTATTCCATGAGGCTCTGGGTCAACAGTTCTGAGACAACTAAACATGTATCCTGGCTGGGACAGAAGAATTAAGTCAATGGCTGGCAGGTGGTGGGAGGAGGCTTCTTGCAGTTGGAGTGGAAATTCACAGACTGGTAAGGGAACGGGGTGAAGAGGACCCATATGGTAATGTTTAGGTTGTTGACATCAGCAAGAATTCATGTTTAACTTAATATAGATACAGGTTTTTACACAGAGAAATGTTTATAGATATGCATACTTATAGGGATGAATATACTCACATTTATTTTCTTTCACTCTCAGCTTGGGGAGTGTAAAAGCTGAGACTCTCCCCCTATCCCCACCACTGATGCCCAACACTGAGGACACCATTAGCCCAGATCTTGCTTTCAAAACCCTTACTCCAATACAAAGAACTGGGACTACCTGGAGAAATGGGTGATTCTAGGACTTTAGGAGGAAATCTATAAGATGAGCCTGAAACACCATGTGGCACAAGAAAGTGAGAAAGTGCTCCCAAAATTTAAAACCCCACCATGATTAGGGTATGTCAAATGGACATGGGAGCCAATTGAAAGAACCACCATAGGCCAAAACTGGAACAATTTGAGCAAGAAAGTAAAGTAGTATTGGATTATAACTCAAATTATAGGATAAATATCCATGAGTTCATACAGATATGATCAAATAAATAAGTGGGGGAAAAGAGGCCAATATCCTATGCAGAAAAACTAAAAAAAAAATTATGTAAATACCCCATTGTCAAAAAGAGGTGCACTTTCTTCTTGAGTGTGGGCTGTGCATAGTAATTTTCTTCCGAAGAGTATAGTTTGTAAAGGGAAAAAAAGCTACTTGACAGTGAAGAAACCTGACCAACACAACCTCAGCTATGTGACTGAGATCAACATCAATAGTGTAAGTCATGTTGATAGCGTGTACCAATTCCATGATGTGATGAAAAGGCCCGTTAGCCTCTGTTTTCCACTATAAACCTGTAACCCAAGGAATTATGAGGAACATCTCAGACAAATGTCGGCTGAGAGACATTGCACAAAATTCCTGACCTGTCCTCCTCAGAACTTTGAAGGTCTACAAAAAGAAGGAAAATCTGAGGAACCGTCACAACCACAAGGAGTCCCAGGAGATATAACAGCCAAATGTAATGTGGCATCCCAAGTGGAATCCTGGAACAGAAAAATTACTAGGTTAAAAACTAAGAAAATCTGCATATAGACTTCAGTTTACAATAAAATATCCATATTGGTTCATTCGTTAAACAAATGTAACATACTAGTATAGGGTATTAATAATAGTGAATGTGAGGTACAGAGTATATAGAAAGTTTCTGTACTATTTTTCTATAAATGTATTAGATATAAAGCAGTCTAAAAACTACTTTAAAAGGTAAGTGTTTATTTGAAGAGTTGTGACACATAGAGAAAAAAGATGGCAAAATAAAATCATTTCTAGATAAACAAAAGTTGAGAGAATGTATTGCTAGCAAACCTTTCATCTTATATAAGTACTAAAGAAATTTTGTCAGAATGAAGAAAAGTGACACCAATAATTCAAATCCAGGTTAATAAACAAAGATCACTGCTATGGTTTGAATGTTTGCTCCCTCTGAAACTCATGTTCAAACTTAATCCCCAATATGGCAGTACTGACAGGTAGGGGCTGTCAGAGGTGACTTGGGCATGAGGGTTCTACCCCCATGAATAGATTCATCCCTTAATGGATTAATAGGTTATCATGGGAGCAGAACTGGTGGCTTCATAAGAAGAGAAAGAGAGACTGAGCCAATGCATTAGCACGTTCAGTCACTGGGCCATGTGATACTCTACACTGTCATGGGATTTCAGAGAGGCCTTCTCCAGATGCAGCCCCTTGACCTTGGACTTTTCAGCACCCGTAACAGTCAGAAATACATTTCTTTTCCTTATAAATTTCCAGCTTCAGGTATTTTGTTATAAGCAACAGAAAACGAGCTACAGCAATCACCAAAGCAAATAACCAAATTAAAAGATGAGCAAAACACCTAAATAAACATTCTTCCAAAGCAGACTTACAAATGATCAACAGGTATATAAAAACCTGCTCAACATCACTCCTCATCATTGAAATACAAATCAAAACCATAATGAGGTATCACCTCATGCCTTTTAGAATAGCTATTGTCAAAAAGACAACATTGACAAGTGTTGGTGAGGATGTGGAGAAGAGGCTATCCTCTTTTGTACACTGTTGGTGAGAATGTAAATTGGTGTGACTATAATGGAAATCATGATGAAAGTTTCTCCAGAAATTATAAATAAACTTCTATGTGATCCAGCAATCTCCCTTCTGGGTATATATCCAAAGGAAATGAAATCGGTATGTTGGAAAGATGTCTGCACTGCCACATTCACTGCAGCATTATTCACTATAGCCATGATACAAAAACAACACTAGTGTGAGTGGACTGATAAAGAAAGTGTGATATAGAGAGAAAATAGAATATTATTTTTTCCTTAAAAAAGGAAACTTGACTGGGCGCTGTGGCTCACGCCTGTAATCCCAGCACTTTGGGTGGCCGACGGGGGTGGATCACCTGAGGTTAGGAGTTTGCGACCAGCCTGGCCAACATGGTGAAACCCCTTCTCTACTAAAAGTACAAAAAATTAGCTGGGCGTGGTGGTGGGAACCTGTAATCCCAGCTACTTGGGAGGCTGAGGCAGGAGAATCACTTGAACCCGGGAGGCAGAGGTTGCAGTGAGCCGAGATCATGCCATTGCACTCCAGCCTGGGCAACAAGAGTGAAACTCCGTCTCAAACAAACAAACAAACAAACAAACAAATGAACAGAAAACCGAAACGCTGCCATTTGTGACAACACGGATGAATTTGAAAGACATTATGTTGAATGAAATAAGCCAGTCACAGAAAGACAATTACTGCATGATCTCACTTATTTGTGAAATCTAAAATAGTCAAACTCATAAAAGCAGAGAATAAAACGATCATTTCCTGGGGCCGGGGGATGGGGAAAATGAGGAGATATTGGTCAAAGGGTTCAGTTATGCAGGATAAATACATTCTGGAGATCTAATGTACTTCAGGGTGACTATAGAAAAATGAATAAACAACAATCACCAGAAAAGGTAATTATATAGGTAAGCATAAAAGACAGTATAATTGGATATTTTTCTACTTTTTTGCCTTAACTGATTTAAAAGTCATTGCATAAGATCTTAGTATATAATTATATTATTGGGCCCAAAATCTATATGAATATAATATATTTCAAATATTATCACACAGAAGGTGGGGAGAACAAAGCTATATTAGAAAAAAGAAATTATACCAAATGCTAAGTCAGTTTCACAGGAAGAGATGAAAGAGCCTTCAATGATAGGTGAAGAGGTTAACATATAAATCTCCCTAGATATACATTTCCACTCTGTTTATCTCTCAACTCCTTTAAGCAGCACAGAATTACATAAAGTAAAAATTATGATGTATTGTTGGTTTTATAACATACAACAACTGTATAACAAAATGAGTGTGGTGATTGGAGCTATGTAGGGTGAAGTTTCTATAACACACTGGATTAAGTTTATAGAAATAGGGAGGATACTCTGGTAAGTTAATGTGTATTTTATATTGTAAACCCTATGGCAACCATTAAGGGTTTCTTTATTTTGCTTTCTTTCTTTTACTGTGTAATTCCATTTACATGAAATTCCAGAAAATTGATCAGTTTCCTCTCAAACCTTATCAATTTTAACAGAAAGCCGAGTTTGGTTTCTGGAGCTTGGGTTGGGGCAGACATGGACCGTAAAGGGCTTGAGAAATGTTTAGGGATGATGGGACTGTTCTGTACCTTGACTGAGGCAGTGCTTATATGAGTACATACATTTGTCAAAACTCATCAAGCTGAACATTTTAAATAAGTGCATTTTATTCTGTGAAAACTACAGCTGATAAAACTGATGTAAAAAAATTAATTAGACTCAGTTCTTTGAAGAAAGAGATGAAAAAAGTGGGGCCCAGCCTCAGAATTTCAGGACTCATAATCATGTGACCCATATTTAAATCTCCTAGAAATATAAATAGCACTGGGCACAGGGAGCCTAAGGAGAGGCAAATATGGAGACAGTTCCCAGGGGATCTTAATCTACATGAAAAGCTGCATTCCTAGGCCTATTTCTATGAGTGAACAGCAGGGCTGCCCTGGTGAGGACCTTGTGACCCAGATCAGACACTGGCAGAAAACAGGGCTTTTGTTTTTTCCCTTCCCCTTGCTGCCCCTCCATCCTCTTCCCTCTCCCTTCCTTCACTCCACGCTCCCTTCTCCCCCTCCCTTCCCCTTCCCTCTCCTCTTCCTGTTTTCCTTGTCTCCCTTCCCCCTCCTCTCCTTCCCTCCTTTCATCTTCCCCATCCCTCCCTTCCTTCTCTTGCTTTCCCTTCCTCTCCCTTCCCCACTTGCTTACCCCATCCCTTTTTTCAGCTCTCACTCCCCCTTCCCTTCTTCCCCCTTATCCTTCACCTCTTCCCTTCACCCTCCTTGTACTCATTCTTCTTCACTATATGCTCACTCAGGGACCTCAAACTGGAAGCACTTTTTTTTTTTTTTGTATCTGATGGGTGACATTCCCCATGGAGCCAGTGACATCTGCTCTCAGCATCCCTGGGTGCTCTTCTCTGGGATGGAGCAGGCTCACCTGAAACACACAGGGCTTTGGTGTGCAGGCTTTGGGGTCGCTTGTATCTGGCACAGGTGGAAAACATCCATTCTTCCTCTGCCTTTTTTTGCTTCTTAGTCAGGGTTGAGGAAAACCATTATGGGAAATGTAAGACTATGTGATTCTATAGTTGGACCAACCAACTTACCAGAACCCAGCAGAGACCTCGGTGAATTCAGAACTTATATACAGCTACAGGGGTGTTGTAGCAGGCACCATGAGGCCCCATCTGTATTCTCTTGCTCTGACTACTTCTTGGAAGTGGCTTGATTTTGGCTGCAGCCCCTGCATTTCTTTGCCTGAGAGTTTTCCTAAGTGACTGGATCATTTTGTGTACACCAGCAATATATTAATGCTTCCCATGTTCTGCATCCTCATCAGCACTTGATGTTGTCAGGTTTTTTTAAGCCATTCTTATAGATAAAGTGGTATCTCATTGTGGTTTTAATTTACATGTTCCTTATGGCTAAGGATAGTAACTATCTTCCTTGTGTCTACTGGTCATTCATATACCTTCTTTGGCAAAGTGTCTGTTCAAATCTTGTCCATTTTTAATAAAATTTGGGTCATTTTTTAAAAAGTTTTGAGTTTTAATAGTTTTTTATATATTCTGTATACAAATTCATTATTAGATACGTGATTTGCAAATGTGTTCTTCCAGTCTGTGGCTTGTCTTTTCATCTTTTAAACAGTATTTTTCACAGAGCAAAGGTTTTATACTTTGATGAAGTATAACTTAACATTGTTTTTCTTTTACTGCTCATGCTTTATGTATTATATCTGTTACATTACCTAGTATATCTTGCTACTCTTTGTTTAACCCAATGTCACAGACTAGGATCAACATTTCTAATTAAATTTTTATAATCCATCTTGAATTAATTTTCATGATAAGGTGTTAGATGTGGCTCAAAATATACTTATTAGAATCTGGATGCTTCTAAATTTAAAAACAATTCTTGAAGTGAAATTCACATAACATAAAAATAACCATTTTAAAGTGAACAATTAATCGCACTGAATATATCTTCAATGTCATACAAATATCACATTTGTCTAGCTTTAAAACATTTCCAACACTCCAAACTAAAACCCACCACACTGTAAGCAGTTTTTTTTTTTTCTCTCTTCCTCCAAGTCACTGGCAACCATTAATCTGAGTTCTGACTCTATAGACATATGTATTCTGGATATATGATAAAAATGGAATCATACAATATGTGATCTTTTGTGTCTGGCTATTTCCATTGCTAAGAAAAATGCTTTTGAGATTCATCCATGTTGTATCCTTTATCACTACTTAATTCCTTTTGATGGTTGGATAATAACATTCTACTATATGTGTTTATGCATTCATCTTTGGATGGACATTTGGGCTGTTTTCACCACATGAAAAATGTTTCTATATACATTTGTGTACCTGGTTTTCTTTGAGTACAAGTTTTCAGTTTTGGGTGGTTTGTGTATAAGAGTGGAATTGTGGGGTTATATTGTAATTTCATTTAACATTTTGAGAAACCACTAAACTTTTCCACAAGAGCTGAACATTTTACACGTTCACATCAATACACAAGGGTTCCAATTTCACTTTCTCGTCAACACTTGTTATTTTCTAATTTTTTATAACCATCAACATTGTATTAGAAATTCTAACAGAGCAGTTAGGCAGAGATAAATTAATAAATAGCATAGAGAATAGAAAGGAAGAAGTAAAGTGATCTCCATTTGCATAGTATATAATCTGATATATAAAAAATCCTTAGGAGCATATTTTAAAATCTTTTGGAACCAATAAATGAGTTCAGAAAGCTTCCAAGATGCAAGTCAACATACACATATTTATTGCATTTCTGTATAATAATCAATGCCCAATTCAAAATTTAAATTTAAAAACCATGTTTAATTAAAAAACAGTTTTGTTTATAATAATACCAATATCAATATAAGAAAATATTTAGGAATGTTTAATGAAAGAATATAGGAACATATTTATTAAAATATATATTTAATGAAAGAAGTACAAGCCTTGTACCATGGAAACTACATGACATTGTTGAAATAAAGAAGACCTAAATAAATGTAAAAAAATCTGATATTCATGGATCAGATGATTCAATAATGTGAAGATGACAATACTCCCTATGTTGCCCTACAGAACCAACACAATCCTTATCAAAATCCCAGCTGCTTTTTTGAATAAATCAACCAGCTCATCTAAAATTCATATAGAATTGCAAGGGATCCTGTCTAGCCAAAGCAATTTTACAAGAGAACAAAACTGGAGGATTCACTTCCTGATTTCAAAACTTACTACAAAGCTACAGTCATCAAAATAGTGTGATACTGGCATGAGGATAAGCATATAGATCAATGAACAGAATTCAGACCTCAGAAATAAATCCTTGCAAAAAGGTCAAATAATTTTCAACAAGAGTGCCAAGATAATTCAATAGGAAAAAACTACTTTTTTCAACAAATGGTGCTGTGGCCAACTGGATATCCATATGTGAAAGAATGAAGCTGAATCCCTACCTCATAGCATACACAGAAATACACTGTAAATGACCACAGATGGAAATGTAAGAGCTAAAAGTATAAAATTTCTTAGGAGAAAGGATTAAGTTCTCATAAACTTAGGCAATGATTTCTTAGATAAAATACTAAACGTGAAAAACTGGACTTCAGCAAAATTTAAAACTTTTTGTTTCAAAGGATACCATCAAAAAAGTAAAAAGACAGAATGGAATAAAATATTTCTAAATCATATATCTGATAACAGATCTGGTTTTTGTTTGTTGGTTTGTTTTTTAGAGAAGGGGACTTGCCCTATCATCCAGGCTGAAGTGCAGTGGTGCAATCATAGTTCACTGCAACCTTGAATTCCTGAGCTCAAGCAATCCTCCTGCTTCAGCCTCCCAAGTAGCTGGACTACAGGCACATACCACCATGCCACCTAATTTAATGTTTTTTTTTTTTTTTTTTGGTAGAGACAAGGTTTCACTATGTTGCCTAGGCTGGTATTGAGCTCCTGGCCTCAAGTGATCCTCTCACTTCAGCCTCCCAAAGCACTGGGATTACAGGCATGAGTCACTGCACCCAGTCTGATAATAGGTTTGTATAAGTAATGTACTCTTGCAATCCATAACCCAACTCTTCTATTCTTCAAAAATGTTCTTAAAAATGCACAAAATGCTTAGCTAGGAATTACTTTCCTAATATAGTTGCAATATGGTATAGTTTGTACTGAAAGAGTCATTTTTATTTTGCTCTGGAAAGATGTTCTTCTCTTTTGTCTATGATGTAAATACATTTTTGGGCTCCTTTGGCTCTGTTTTTTTTTTCTCCCACAGAGATTCCAATTATCTTTAGATTGCATTTTTATTTTCTACATCATTCTCATCAATTTCATGCTTTTGACTTTTGCATTGTTGGAGAGGTCTCTTCTGTATTGACAATGGTAGCTAAGATTTGTCGTTGTGAATTTATGATCGACCAGACACGGGGCTAAGCACTTGAAGCATCTATTTTTTTTTAAAAAAGTATTTATACTCCTCATCATTTACCTATGAGACAAGTCATATTTTGTCTTATTTTGCAAGTGAGGAAACTGAAGAAAAGCATGCATGACTATCCTTTGCTGAATCACCCTGTCAGGGACAGAGGTGACTTAAGCACCTGCAGCTTTCTTTTAGGATCTGCATACTGGCTGATGAAACTACTTCACCAAGACCACTACGGCACCAGTGTGCTCTACCAGAGTATGGAGAGTTTTCCCTCTGTCTGATATCTCCATCTGAATTTTCTTAAATTCCTGTCTTATCTTTACTAGCCTATTTTATATTTTGTTCTTCTTAGATAGCTCTGTTATACCTCATCTTCCTTTTAATAATTGTTGCTAAGTAGATGATTCCAATAATTTCCTTCTGTCTCTGCAACAAAATTTTTTAGTTGGTCTCTGACATCTCTTTAAGGCAATGATTTCCCTGCAGTAATTGTATCTTTAGTCCTTATATTGATATGAAATGTATTCTTTGAAAAAACCAAGGCTGGAAGGCTCTCGCCTGATTTGCACTCTGGTGGGAATCATGCATATTGCCCTAGCAACCACAGCCATGCAAAAGTCCACAGGCTGAGGCCCTGGAGACTGGCAGACTCAGGAAGAATACTGGATAACTTTAAAAGGTATCCTACTTGCGGTGAGTTTTCTATTTGTTTATGAATTTTATTCCATCTCTCATTTTCACAAATAATACCTTAATGCAAGTATATAAGATAAGGGCAGACCGGAAACGCTATTACGGGTTTTCATTCCCTTCAGAAGGCTGCTAGTGGTACTGCAACTCCATGGACTAAAACTCTCTTTGATGATTGGCTGGCTGGCTAATTTGAACAAATTTGAACCTGCTTTCACTACAAAGGCCAGCTTTCCCTCTTCTTTCATCTCCTTTCCGCCTGTGGAGAAATGCATTACTGAGAGCTGTGAGCAATTGAATTTTTAATATTTGCCTAAGGACATGAGAAAGCTGGGTATTAAGTTACAATTCAAGGAACTGTGTGTCACGTAACTGCTTATTTCACAGCCTTGGATAGTTCAACGTCTACTGTTAACCACAGAGCTAAGTCAAGCATGCTCTTTCCTGGTACTACCTCCTTGTAAAGCTTCTGATGCTGGGTTATTGAGAACATAGTTTTCAAAGGTAAACATGACTAACTAAACGACCATTTTTTTCTCTGAAGAGAGGTAAAAACATACTAAACTGGCATTTGTATATTGCCATAGAGACTCCTCTACGCTTTCAGATACTCCTTTTCCTCATCTGCAATCTTGAAGTAAAAACTGCATTGCAGTTGGATATGAAACTAAAATGGAGAAATATTTAGGAAGTGCCCCCGCACAGTGCCTACCTTGTGAAAATAATCAAACGAGGGTAAGCTAATATTTGTTTATTATTATTGTATTTATTATCAAAAATAGTAAATGTACTTGATAATTTCTCTTTGAGTACACTAATGAAATAACTTAAAATGTGACAGAAAGAGAATTTATTAGGTTGGGACCTTGACTTAATAGAACCTATTATCCAGTGAATATAACATAACCTAATTAAGATATATAATATATTAACATATATATTATCCAGTGAATATAACATAACATAATTAAAACCAAATAGCCAATAAAAATAATTTAAGATTAGTCAACATAACTTCATACCAATGAGACATATGCTTATGGTGGAATCCTGTATACTTATTTGTCATTTTATTTTTTCCAGTTATGTGCATGTGCATTGGGTGAAATTGCCTTAAAGAGAAACTGACTTCTCTTTTACAATTCTTCAAAATCAGGCCAGCCTGTTTTGAGGCTCCTAGGATATCTATGGAATTCCAGGTATAATGAAATTGTTCCACAATCTTGTAATTCTCAGTTTAACTACTACTGAATAGTGACCAATATCCACACGGTGCCTTATACACAGTGCTTTATAATTTACCAAGTAATTTTTCACTTTATTCCTGCAACATCCTAATGAGATACGTGTGTGTATATATGTGTGAATATATATACACACACATCCTTTTTACGAGAAAACCAAGGACTGTAGAAGTTATGAGCTTTGCCAAGGTTATACAGCCAATAAATGAAGGACCCAAAATTTAAATTTAGTTCCAACTTCAAAGTTTATGTTTTAAACATACTGTATTTCCTTTCCAAGGTCAGTTGATTATACATATTCCAAATTATTCTAAATACCTGCTCTTATATCACGTATGAGAATCATAACACAGGCTTTATCTGTGACAATTGGTAAAACAGAAATATTTGGTCCAGCTCACTCCCCATGCTGGAAAATGACCATCTGTCTTGACTCTGGACTTCAGGTGTTGAAGTTCAGGAAATCAAAGTTGAAGTTGATTTACAACTAACCAGCTCTGGGTGAGTGACTCACAGTAACAAAGTTTACAGGATCTGATTCACACATCTACATGCCAATTCATGGTTAAGGAGCAACCTTCTTGCTGTGGGAACCAATGCTCTTTCTTTGTAGAAAGCACCTTTCTGAGTGTGTTTGTCTATGGAAGTACCAAGCTGCCAATAGAAAGTCAGGGTGCTGAGTTTGGCATCTGAGCAAAGGGACTTGCATTCTTTAAATGTGTATTTCTGGATATCTCTGCAAGTCACACAAATTAGCCTTTCTAATATTTCAGAAAAGAATTAAGGTTTATTTAGAACGAATCTTATACAAATAGTGAGTAATTAAAAGGCTGGGTAATTTCAGTGTAAACTAAATTAACAAGGAGCAACAGAAACTCTCATCCGTTGGCAGATGAAATGTGAAATGGTGCAACCACTTTGGTAGAGAGTTTGGTAGTTTCTTACAAAACTAAAGCACAGAGTTAAATATGACATGGTAATTGCATTTCTACTAATTTACTCAATTGCACTGAAAATCTCTGTCTATACAAAACATTATGATAGATAATCCTACTGCTTTAAATTCCTTTTGCTATCATTTCTGCTTATCATTAGGATTCTTATAAGTAATTTGGCAGAACAAGTGAAACTGCTTCAGAATGGAAATGTCACGCATATATTCTATAATATTACATGCTAATATTATGGTCATGCTTAGTTCAAAATGGTGGGCTTAACAGGAGCGGATATAGCAATATGAAGCTTATAGAATCTCTGCTAGAATCTTTCAATATTGATGTTTTTCAGTGTGCGTCTCAGACAAAATGTGGATAAAAAGTTAAAGGCAATGGGGGGATGTTGCAAATCCACAGCGCAAATTTTTTCAAAACTCATTCCCTTCTACATTCATTTATTCATAATTTATTTTTATTTTATGTATTTTGTTTGCTTTTTTCCTTGACATACCAGGAATGTAAGGCTAAGTTGTTTTTCTAAAAATCCTCTCAAGTAAAACAACTAATGATTAAAAATTGGTATCTGGTAATCTGACCCAGAATCTTGCCTTTTTTTCCCCCCTAGAGATGGAGTCTTACTCTGTCGCCCAGGCTGGAGTACAGTGGCGTGATCTTGGCTCACTGCAACCTCCACCTTCCAGGTTCAAGTGATTCTCCTTTCTCAGTTTCCTGAGTAGCTGGGACTACAGGCATGTGCCACCACACCCACTAATTTTGTGGATTTTTAGTAGAGATGAGGTTTCACCACGTTGGCCAGGCTGGTCTTGAACTGACCTCAGGTAATCCGCCCCCCTCAGCCTCCCAAAGTGCTGGGATTACAGGCATGAGCCATCACGCCCGGCCCTCACTTGTTTTCATGGACCTAGATTTATCACGCACGTCTATATTTGTACATCTATAATCACATACTATTTATAAGTTGTTTTTAAGACCTCTCAAAACCTTATAACAGAAGATTTCTTCCAGGACCCAATAGTGGTGATTGGGAGATCTTCTTTTTTTTTTTTTTTTTTTTTTTTGAATTCGATATTTTGGAACTTATTTATAGGCTAGACAATAAGTTACTCAGATTAACCCAGATCAATAGCACCTTGACTTGGTGACCCAGAGAATTCTAATTAGCTTTTAGACACATTTTTCTTTATCTTGATATTCAGTACATCATGTAAGTCAGTAACCATGTTAAACAAAATTAAAAGGACAAGTTATAGTTTACTTCACAGTCTATTTCAAATTCAGTTTGTGCACTAGGTCAGTTTTACAGGAAATGGTCTTTTAACATATGAAGAGTATAGATAATCTGTCAGGTCTCTTCTCTCCCAATTAAGAAAACAAGAATTATTTTGGCTAACTTGACAATTTTGTAAATGAAAAACATGAAGTGAGTAAATAAATCACAAAGATGGACAAAAAGCAATATGATATAATACACATCACTTTTTCCATTTGTATTCGGTAAGTTTTTACATTTCAAGTAATTGAAATATATATATGTTTTTCTTTTATATATATATATACACACACATACATATATAGTACCTTCCAGTTCTAGATTACTAAAGTTTATTCTGCAAAAGTACAAAAATAAACCTCTTAAGAAGTAAACAGGACAGGGCATGGCAAAAGCGAATGGCTGCATGTTAAGATTTTTTCTTGCCTTATATTGATGGGTGTATTTTAGGTGATAAATTTTCTTCACTATTTAGCACTTAAAATGAACATTTTCTTACAAACATTAGTTGTAAGAAACTGATTTTTATTAATTAGCAAACACATTGAGAGGTATCTGTTGATCTGTTATTCTTTAAATCCAGATAAATATTTTTAAAAAATAATTTCACACATGAGGCTTTAATGTGTTTATTTAGGAAAAGATAGAATCTGAGGCTACAATGGTTCAACCTAAAGCATCCCTTTTTCAATAGTGGAGCCAAACTCTGCAAAATGTTTTTCCTTGTCTCTAAAAATTAAATTAAGTAGTATTTTTACTATAAGGAAATTTGAAATTTTCCTATCATCAGGATTTTTATCAGTAGCCAATTTGCACCAATCATAAAATGTGTTAGTCCATTTTCAGGCTGCTGATAAAGACATACTCAAGACTGGGAAGAAAAAGAGGTGTAATGGACTTACAATTCCACTTGGCTGGGAAGATCTCACAAGCATGGTGGAAGGCAAGGAGGAGCAAGTAACGTCTTACATGGATGGCAGCAGGCAAAGAGAGAGAGCTTGTACAGGGGAACTCCTCCTTTTAAAACTATCAGATCTTGTGAGACTTATTCACTATCACCAGAACAGCATGGGAAAGGCCTGCCCCCGTGATTCAATGACCTCCCACAGGGTCCTTCCCACAACACATAGGAATTCAAGATGAGATTTGCATGGGGACACAGCCAAACCATATCATAAAAGAAACAGACTATTCTTTCCCTTATCCTCACTCAACCATGATGAACATCTTATAAAGCCACACTTGAGAAGGTGGTGGGTACACATGTTGGTGCTACTGATTCAGCAGCTATGGAGCATTTCAGCTCCTAATGTGTACCAAGTGTGCTCCACATGCTGGAGATAAAGGAGTTAAAAAGGCAAATGAAGATTTGGGCCATAGGAGGGTTTACATTTATGAGAAAGAAACAGAATATACATGCAACAGAAAAACATGTAATGCATTATCTAGTTACAATTTTGCTGTAAGTAAAGGGAAATACAGCTAAATGGTGACAGAAGGGAGGCTCCTTAGAGTGGACACTCAGGAAAGACCACTTGAAGGAGGTGATACTTGAACAGAGGCCTAAATAATAGTTCCCCTGCTATGTTTTGTGGAAGCATTCAAGGGACAGACAGCTGAAGTGCAAAGACTGGATGTGAGAACCAGTTGGGATGAAACCTTCCAGGGATGGCTTGGGATGGACTGAGTAAGGAGAGATTGAAATGATTTTAGCAGATGAGATCAGAGGTGGCCAAAGACTAGATTACATGGAGTCTGGTGCCCATAGGGAAACCTTAGATTCCTTCCTGTGTGCAGGAGAGTCTAAGAGATTTAAAAAGAGAAGTGATATGCCTTGAGTTTGTGTGTGTGTGTGCGTGTTGTATGTTTTCTGGTTTGAGGTTACCATGAAACTTGCAAATACTCTATTGCCCAGGCTGGAGTGCAATGGCACAGTCTTGGCTCACTGCAACCTCTGCCTCCTGTGTTCAAGTGATTCTCCTGCCTCAGCCTCCCAAGTAGCTAGGATTACAGGCACATGTCACTATTCCCAGCTAATTTTTGTATTTTTGGTAGAGACGGGGCTTCACCATGTTGGCCAGGCTGATTTTGAACTCCTGACTCCAGGTGATCTGCCTGTCTAGACCTCCCAAAGTGCTGGGATTTCAGGCGTGAGCTACCTGGCCTGGCTCTGCCTTGAGTTTTGTTTTAAAAACATCATACTGGCTGCTTTGCAAAGACTAAGAATAGACTATATGAAAAATAGTGGAAAGCAAAGAGATTTGTAATGGTAGATAATTTGATAATTTGTCTACGTGGAGACTATACAAAATGATCAACTTATGGATAGATAGAGCCAAATGGACTTGATGGCAACTGGATATGGGATATGATATTGAGAGAAATAAAGGATATTTTCTAGTTTTTGTTTTTAACACAGTGGACAACAGTGATGCTTTCTCACTGACATCAAAACAATTAGTTGAATAGAAATCCTATGGGGAAAATCAAGAAACTCAATTTTGAAAGAGTTTATTTTGAGATGGTTATTAAACACTTAAATTGAAACAGTGAGATATGTTAAGATCTTTTGATTAAATTCTGATTAAACTCTTGATTAAAGAGTTTAGTCCATTTATATTCAGTGTTGTTACTGATAAGTAAGGACTTACTCCTGCCATTTTGTTATTTGTTTTCTGGTTGTTTTGCGGCTGTGTCTTCCTTCTTCCTTCCCTCCCTCCCTCCCTCCCTCCCTCCCTTCCTTCCTTCCTTCCTTCCTTCCTTCCTTCCTTCCTGTCTTCCTTTTAGTGAAGGTTATTTCCTCTGGTTATATGATTTAATTTCTTGCTTCTTATTTTTTGTTGTATTTGTTAAACGTTTTCTGGTTTGAGGTTACCATGAAGCTTGCAAATACCATCTTGTAACCCATTATTTTAAGCTGATAAAAACATGGTTTGCATAAATAAACAGGTAAGAAAAAAACCTAATAAAGACTCTACACTTTACCTTTTCCCCCCAAGTTTTAACTTTTTGCTACTTCTATTTATATCTTAGTGTACTGTCTATGTCTTGAAACATTGTTGGAATTATTATTTTTGATTAGTTAATTGTTTAGTCTTTCTACCTAAGAGTAGTTTACACACCACAGTTACAGTGTTATAATATTCTGGTTTTTGGTCACCTACTATTAATGATGAGTTTTGTACCTTCAGATGATTTCTCATTGCTCATCAAAGTCCTTTTCTCTCTGATTGACATACTCACTTTAGCATTTCTTGTACTACAGGTCTGATGTTAATGAAATCCCTCAGCTTTTATTTGTCTGGGAAAGTCTTTATTTTCCCTTCATATTTGAAGGATATTTTTGCTGGGTATACTATTCTAGGGTAAAATATTTTTTCCTTCAGCACTTCAAATATGTCATGCCAATATCTTTTGGGTCTGCTACCAGACATACTGGAGATCTATTGTATATTAATTTGTTTCTTTTTTCTTGCTGTTTTGGGATCCTTTCTTTATCCTTGACCTTTGGGATTTTGATTATTACATGCCTTGAGGGTAGTCATCTGTGGGTTAAATCTGCTGGGTATTCTATAACCTTCTTCTACTTGAATATTGAGATCTTTCTCTATGTTTGGAAAGTTCTTTGTTGTTATCCCTTTGAATAAACTTTCTGCTCCTATCTTTCTCTTTAATTCCAATTAACTCTTAGATTTGCCCTTTTGAGGCTATTTACTAGATCCTGTAGGTGTGCTTCATTGTTTTTTACTGTTTTTTCTTTTGTCTTCTCTATGTATTTTCAAATAGCCAGTCTTCAAGCTCACAAATTGTTTCTTCTGCTTAATCAATTCTGCTCTCAAGACTCTGATGCATTCTTCAATATGCCAATTGCATTTTTCAGTTCCAGAACTGCTTAATTCTTTTAAATTATTTCAATTTCATTGTTAAATTTCTCTGATAGAATTCTGAATTCCTTCTCTGTGTTTTCTTGAATTTCTTTGAGTTTCCTCAAAATAGCTATTTTGAATTATGTCTGAAAGGTCACATATCTTTGTTTCTCTAGGATTGGTCCCTGGTGTCTTATTTGACTCATTTAGTGAGGTCATATTATGTTGAATGGACTTGATGCTTGTGGATGTTTGTTGGTGTCTGCGCATTGAAGAGTTAGGTATTTACTGTAGTCTTCACAGTCTAGGGTTGTTTGTACTCATCCTTCTTGGGAAGTCTTTCCAGGTGTTCCAAAATACTTAAGTGTTGTGATCTATGCTGTATCTGCATTAGGGGGCACCCAAAGTCCAGTAGTGCTGTGGTTCTTGCCGACTCATAGAGGTATCACCTTGAAGGTCTTGGACAAGATCTAGAAGGAATCTCTGGATTACCAGGCAGAGTCTCTTGTTCTCTTCTGTTACTTTCTACTACACAAATGGAGTCTCTCTCTGTTCTGAGCTGCCTGGAGCTAGGGGTGTAGTGACATAAACACCCCTGTGGCCACCAGCACTAGGACTGTGTTGGGTCATACATGAAGCTAACACAGGACTGGGTCTCACTCAAGGCTTGCTGGAACCATTCTTTGGCTACCATCTATGTTCTCTCAAGGCCCTGAGGCTCTACCACCAACAAGTGGCAAAGCCAGCCAGGCCTGTGTCCTTTCCTTCAGGGTAGTGAGTTCCCTGGCCAGGTCCAGATATGCTGTCCAGGAGCCAGGGATGAGAGTTAAAAAACTTAAAAGTTTACCTTGTGTTCTATTGTACTGGAGCTGTGCTGGCACTCAAACCACAAGATGTAGTCCTTCCAACTCTTCCCTCCCATTTCCAAAGGCAGAGGAGCCTCACCCCATGGCTGTTGCACCACAGGCCCATAGAGAGTACTGCCAGGCTACTGTTAATGTTTCCTTAAGACTCAAGGGCTTTGCAGTCAGATTATGGTGAATGCTGACTGATGTGGGACTCACCGTTCAGGGCAGTGGACTCCTCTTTGGCTTAGAGCAGGTCTAGAAATACCATCTAAGAGCCAAGGTCTCGATACCTTGGCTCAGGTACCCAAAGAGCCTGTTTGACATTCTACCCCGCTGTGGCAGAGATGGTACCTAATGTGCAAGACAAAGTCTCCTTTACTTGTTCCTCCATTTTTCTCAAGGAGAAACAATCTCTCCCCATAGTCACCATAGCTGGGAAGGTTCTGAGTCTCACCTGAAGCCAACAAGTTTCAGGATCTCATCCAAAGCTCATGACATGCTACATAGGTATCAGCTGGTTATTTAGGGTGCAGGGGCTCTTCAGTTAGCCACTGATGAATCTTGCCAGGACTGGGTTCTTCTCTTCAAGGGGGTGGTTTCCCTTTTGTCCCAGAATGTGGCTAAAAATGTTGGTCAGGAGCTAAGGCCTGAAAAGGGGGCCTCATGACTCTGACCAGTGTCCTATCCTGCTGTGGCTGAGCTGATATCCCAGATGCAAGACAAATTCCTCCCCATTCTTCCATTTCCTCTCTTTAAGCAGAAGGAAGGGGTCTATATTGGAGCAACGAGCTCTGCAGCCTCAGGATAGAGGAGGGGTGGAACCAGCACTCCCTTAGCTGCCCTGACTGGTGTCTCAGTACATCATGTACCCCTCCCCGCCCCAGTCCACTAGCTCTGAACTGAGTTCAGCACTAGAACTTGCCTAGGAGTTGCAGACCTTGTGGCCTAGATGCCTTTCAAGTTTACTTAGTGCCCCAGAGCACTCCAGCCCAAGGTGGCTATGCTTGCAGGAACTCAAGTTCTGACTGACAGGATGGGTGATTCCCCTCTGGCTAGGGCTGGTTGAAAGGCTTTCTCTGTAGGTGGGCATCAGCTGAGTTTGGTCCAATTTTGCTTTCTGCTATAACAGAGCAGCACTGAATTAAATGCAATGTCTCACACTTGCTGCACTCTCCCTCTCCCAAGTGGACATATTCTCTCTCCATGCTGCAAAGCCACTGCCAAAGGATGAGGGAGGGGAGGCATAGATGATTCAAGACTGTTTTTCCTACCTCTTCAGTGCCTCTTTCAGTGATATGAAGTTAAAACCAGATACTGTGAGTGCTCACCTGATTGTTGGTTCTTATGAAGGTGTTTTTTTGTGTGTAGATAGTTGTTAAATAGGTGTCCTTGTTGGGGAGATGATAAGTGGAGCATTCTATTCTGCCACCTTGCTCCACCTCTCCCCTCATTATTCTTTTTCATGTATTCTACATCTTAGTTACACTCATTTTTTTAGACGTTCCCAAACTTTGCTGCCCCCTTTTGTTCATAGATGTTCTTGCATCCACATGGCCAAATCAAGAGACCCTTTCTCCAGAGTCTTCCATTTTCTCTTCATTAGAATTAAACATCTTTTCCTATCAACTTTTCTGGGACACAATGTGTTCATCAGGTGTTAACATGTTAGTTTCATGAGTTTGTTCCTTGAGTCACTACATCTTATTTATTGTTGTATCCTTTAAATGCATAACAGAACTGGTAGGCTCAGTGAATGTTTGCTGCATTGAATAAGCAGAAGAAAATAATGACAAGTTTGCCTTCTGTTAGAGGAAGAAGACATGTATTCATAAAATAAAGGCACTAGGAGACAGCAAAAATAACGTAGTCCTGTGGTGATAATCATGTACGAAGAACATAATGTATATCATGTACCAAGAACATAAGGTTGTGTTTTGTGTCATAAGAAAAGGGGAAGTTCATTTGACAATCATTTATTAACCATTTGTTTTGTGCCAGACATAGTGCCAGGAATAAATCAGGTATGATCCCTGCCCTCATGGAACAAGGTAGGAGATTAATCAGTTATTCACCTTATTCAGTAAATGCTCATTGAGCACCAAATGTTAAGGTAACAGCCTCTAATCTGATGGAATTTAGGAGTCCTGTGGTTTAAGTAGTCATTATATATTATTGTCAAGTCCTTCATACTAGAGGTAAGATTTTTGGTGACCTTGAGGTATTTTGAAGTTATAAAGAGGGTTGTTTCTCTTTTATGTATTTTTTTTTTTTAGACTTAGAATGAACAAACTCAGGACTTAGAATGGAGTTTGAGAGCAAGGAGAAGCATAATCCCTCACTCCCAGAAAGAATTGGAATTGGGACAGTTGAGTCAATATTGTTGCAAGTGTTATAAAGCAGAGGCATGTACTTGTGAAGAGCATGATATGACCACATGGATCATCCGGGTTATTGTGGACTTTGGAATCTAGATGAGCCATGATAAAACAGTGCCTTTGGAAACATTGGTTTTATGTTTCATAGAATGTGCTACACATAAACAGTGTTTTATGCACGAAGATCAGTTGTGAAATAATGAGCCATGAGAGAATGTTTCAGACAAATAAAATAATAGTCCTTGAAAACACATTGTAATGTATGATTATGAAATTTGAATAGTATACTATGGAGTCTTAAAAGCTGAAGACTTAAGCAGCTTAGGGACATAAGGCTCTAATCTCTATTTGTGTGAGGTTGAGGAGGATTTGAGAAGGAAGTGAAAGCTCCTAGCATGTCCCCATTACCAGTCCCCTGCCTGTCTCTCCTATCTCAACTCTCATAGCAATAGAGATCAGATTTTAAATTTTGACCATGCCCAATTAGTTTAGTTTCCCAAGGTCATCGTGTAATTTCTACCATAGATTATCTAGTCACATCTCTCCTGAGATCACTTTCCCATTTCATAACTAAAAACTCTTATTGAACATTTAGACTGTTTTGTGACTAACACTCTCTAAAGTCTTTTCTGATGTTCCAGGGAATAACTGATGATGCTGAATCTGTATTCATTTTTACCCTGTATTGAATTATATCATTAACATTCTGATACCCTATTGTAACTATTTGTTTATATATGTTCCTTGCTCAGTAGAATATAACTGTGAAGACAGGGATGTTTTCACTGGGTGAATTTTTATAATCCCAACAAACAGCATAGTGCCTGGACAACTGGAAATCTCTCCCATTTGTTGTATAAAATAATAGATGAGTCGAAGCTGGGATGACCAGTTTTGTTTTGGGAGGGTGAGTGTTGGACAGTATACAGATTTCTTGGATGAGCTTGTTTGTAGAAATTCAGGGCTCATTACAGTTACAGTCTTTTGAAGAAATTCATTGTACTTTGAAAAAAAGAATTGGGCATACCATAAGACTTTCACATCTTGATAGATAATTAGTTCACTTTAGATGAATAAACAACATTATCAAATGATATTGCTTGAATACATTGATTTCTGGAGTCACTTTTGGCTCAAGAAGATTATGGATAAGTGGATAACTTTAGGGAAAGATACAATACCCAATTTTGGGGGGAGGTTTGCTAGTGATCAGTAGAAAGAGTAGCACAAAGGAAAAAAATCATAGTTATGAGACTTCTTGCCCTGTCATAAGCATCCCAGTTGTAATGAGGTTCTATTGTTGCTTACAGAAAAGATATTCCATGGTAGGGCTGGATGCCCACGCAGGCCAATGGCCAGCACATAGGGAACAAGTTGTTCTGTTCTACTTGCTTCATGTAGCTTTTCTTACTCCAGTGGAAAAAAAAATCCAACTAGGTGAGAGTGTATAACCAGAGACAAGCTGCTTATTAGCAATACAAGGAAAAGTAATTGTGCAATAGAGTAATGACAATGAAAATTAGTGCTCATCCCCAGGATTCAAGACCATAGCCACTCAGAGATCACAGGGAGCTTCACATGCTGTCTATCACAGCCAAGCATTTACAAGCCAATATTAATATAAACAGTGCACTAAAAAAGAATGTAAAACTAGACCTATTATGTTAGATCCTGGAAAAAAGGATCTTGGGACAGAGGGCAAGTGTGGACCAATCAAAAATTCGACTTTTGGAAGAGTTATATTTTTCTTTTCTTTTTTATTGGGTTTTTAATGTTGTGTGTAACTAAATAAAATACAGAAGGACTAAAGGAGTTTTGTTCATTATTAATCTATTGAGAAAAATACATGATATGTAAAAAAGATTTAATGTGTATCTTTGATACTTCTTCCAAATCCATGTATTTATAGGAACCAATGAACCAAGAAGGCAGGCAGACTTGCAAGGCCCTCATTACTCTTTGCTATGAGAAGGCTTCAAGTGGGCAGCCTATATTTTCTGATACAATTATTCTTTTTTTAATCTCTTAAAACACATACATCACAGACACACAAGAACACACACCCACACACACACTCCTCAAAAGTAATGTGAACATTCGTTAACACAACTTTCTGTCTTCCAGTTTGTCTACACCTAGAGCATAATCCTCCCTCAATATATTTGTCTCTCTGTCATCATCCTCAGATGGACTTAATGGTGGAGGAGTTAGTACCAAAAGCCTCATGCTGCATTCTGGAAGTTTCACCATTAGCCCAAAAGGGAAAAAAGAGTAACCTCTATGTCTATCCTAGAGGCTTCCTCATTGCAGACCAGACCTATGTGTAGACCCTGAGCATGCCTGCTGCCGCTTCGCTTCACCAGTCCTAGAGGAGTGAGCCATCTGCCAAACAGCATCCTTTAAAAATGTCCCCTTTTACCCTTACCCAAACCCTGATCCCACCTACCAAGCTCCATGCAGCCAGCTGGAAGGCTGACTATGGAGTGAGAGAGAGAGAGAGAGGAAGGGCTGGCTTGGATTGAGCCTCCCTCTTGTTTACATTGCATTACAATTCTTTTAAAAATTGGGGTTTTATGGTATTTATAAATATTTTATTGATTGATTGATTTGAGGCAAAATCAACATGTCTTTCTTTCAGCAATGGTTGTGTGAAGTCAGCTGTGTCAAGGTGTATCCCCCTGTAGGGGCTCCCATAAGTTAACACTCTACTTCTTCAGAATGAAATTCTAAGTCAATTACTTAATGTCCACTTGTAGGCTTAGTTTATTTATCTCACATTCATTTTATTACAGACATGTTTTAAATGCAAGCTTATAAATGAGCATCTGAGCAACTGTGAAGCCGATTTGCTGTGCACTGGTTACCAACTTGTCTGAGTTTGGTGAGACAGAACCCTCAAGCCCAGAAAGTTACATGAAATGGATTCATTAAGTACAGATTGGCAACATGTGCCAACAGAAGCCTAGGATCCATTGTGAGCTGGTCCCCCAAAGCTTGAGAAAATTGCCCAGGGCAGATGGTGTCTCCTCTTTATGTGCCCCATTTGCACTGCAGCTTAGGGATTCTGAAAGACAGCTCACCCTGGATTGTATACTCTGGGGCCTTGTGAGCTGGGCTAAAGAATTGAAGGACATCCTACTTGGGGGAAGAGGGGCCGGAACAGAGCACAGATTGTTCTGGCCTGCTCCTTGCTAATTTTAGAATGTTGCATTCCCAGCACATACTATAGTTATTCTTGAAAACTACAAGCAAAACAAAGGGAGAACTAGGTTGGTCCAAAATCCCCAGAAAATGGTCCTGCAGCAACCACATCCCATTTTATAGACACCAATCTCATTTCTCTCCCACTGTGAGTAAGCAGGATTACAAGGTCCTAGAGCTTCAGAGCTTCTCAGTTTTAAGTATAGTATATTTTAGCATTCCTGGCCCTAGGATCCAGGCTTCCCCAGCAATTCTGTATCCATGAAGCCTTAATTCTGTGACTGTTATAGGCTACATTTACTATGTATTATGTATTTATTCATTTCCATGAAAATGAAACACAAAATAAAACAAAAATGAACAAAACTCTTTTTGTTTATTGTGAAGTGAAGCCCATATAGAGAAAATATAAAGTAAAAAAAAAATCCCCCAAACATGCTAAATATACTGATCAATAAATCATCACAGGAGAACACTCACATAACCATAACAAAGGCCAAATAATCAACACATTGCCAGAGCCTACAGTCTGCATCCCCTAGTTGTGTCCTCTGGATCACTCCTCTTTTATCCTGAGTTTTACCACAGTAGTTCAGTTTTGCTTGTTTCTAAACTTTATTTCACTTGAATAATACAGGATGCATTATTTTGTGTGTGAATTATTTTACTTAATATTATCTCTCTAAGTCCCATCTAAATTATCTTACATCAAGGCAGTTTGTTTTTGTGACCAAGTACTATCCTATTGCACAGGATAATAAATATTCCACAATGTACTTATCTATTCTATAAATGTCTTTAGATATTTGAGTTGGTTCCAAGATTGAGATGTTACAGATAACATTTGAATTAACATTTGTTTGCATGTTTCTTGATGCAAATGTGCATGCATTTCTCTAGAAGTAGATTACTGAGTCTTAGGAAATGTTTGCATTCGAATTTAGTAGTTAATGCCCAACTCTTTTCTAAAGATACTGTAATTAATTCTTCCCAAAGTTTCTTTGTCATCTTATTGAAAACCAGTTTTTCTCTAATTGATGTTTATTTACCACTTATAATTTATTTTAATTATAGAATCAAATATTTTAAGAGTTGTAAAGGAGTTTGCAAAGCAAGTAGCTGTAACTTTTAATCCTGTATGTGAGGAAACCAAAATTTGAGGACGGAAATAAAATTTCTAAGTATCCCTTTTAATGTAAGCAGCTTTCATCTTCTCTGCTAGATTTTATTATTCTTAGATTTCTAAGTACATTTTGTGAATTTGTAAGCAAGGCATTTTCTTTGTAGAACTTTACTCATTGTGATCTGACAAGGCTCATCTAGTTAGAAGCTAAGTAAAACATACATATACATTTATCAGTGTATTCCTCAGATATCATCCTAACACGTTCTTAACTTCACATTATATATGTATAACACAGTTTGAATTGCTTAATGAATAATTTTGTTAGGCTTTCTTGTGGCATTTTTATCTCACTTACCCATTGTTTGTTCTCCAATGTGAAAAACTCAAACTGTGGGAAAACCAATTATAATCATTTTCTTCAGATTTGTTTCTTTTCTGTACCTTGTTTTGTTATGTGGGCATATCACTTATGGAGAAATTGTATATATATATATAATATATATTTAAAAGTGGTTTTAGGACTTAATTAAGAGCAGTTAAAGTGTGGTTATAATGCTAAGAATATTTATTAATATAAGGGAAATTTAATTCAGCTTAACTACAAGCAAACTCTAGATTTTAGTTTCATGTTAGAATTAGATATTATAAAAAAACTATTTATATTGCAAGGAAAGCTATTTAGAAAGATTTAATTTTTGTTGTTTTCTCCTTATGGCACATTTATTTGACTTCTAATCTACTAGAACTTTTAGTTCATCTCAATTGAAGACAGCAATCATTGAGCAACCAACAGAGTGGTGACTATTGAAAATGAAATGCTATAAAGAAACTCACTATTATAAACATCAAGTCCTATAATAATGAGGGAGAAACCAAATAGCAAAAAGTTATTAACGAGGTTTCACCTTGACATACACAGAGCTTGGAAGTCATCCCTCTCATCTTTTCACAAGAAAAAGTGGAATAAAGTAAAAATCAATGACTTTATTTAGACCCATTAGAGACTCTAGGCCATAGGGTGAGCTGCCTCCTTGAAATCTAGAGAGATAGATGAATAGAGAATCAAATCTGAGATAAGCTTACCTGTGAGCCACTAGACTCATAGAATGGTATATAGATGGTAATTTTGACAAACTGCTGGAAGCTGAATGTGAACTAGTATGAGAGTGAGAAATTCCTGGTGGCCACAGTCTTAGAGGTCCTTCATACTCTCCTGGGATTCATTGTTCCTGCCTCTAAGAACGCTACCATGTTCTCATGGTGAAAAGCTAATAAAAAATTCTCTTCTGTATCTAGCAGGGGGAGAGATGAAGTAAATTACTGTGAATTACTCCCACATTCTATTCTGTGATACCTCTCTCTCCATTACAGAAAGACAAATTCTTAGCACAAAGTGCACCAAATTTTCTATAGCCTAAGACTGTCTCACAAATTCTGTTTTTTTTTTTCTATTAACCAAACACTTGCAGAGGAGACAGTGATGTTTATTATTTACCCCCCCCAACCCCACACACACATACACAACACACACACACATACACAACACACACATAGAGAGAGAGAGACCAGAAATTTGGCAGGTAAGAATTTCTTACTCTTTTTGCCAGCATACCAGGTTTCCAGATCCTCTTTCTCTCTAGCTTTTAGAAGAATGGAGCAGCTTTTGTTGACCCTGTTCACTGTGCCATAATTGTGGGAGGCCAAGCAACATTTCAAAAGAAAATCATCTTCTTCTGTTTTATGAAACCATAGACAAAAGCTTCTCAATTTTGCAAGATTCTGCCCAATGGGCTGAATAGGGACCCACATTAATATTTTCCATCCCAGCAGAAGCAAAAATACACATAACAAAAGACACTAGTCACCTCATTTAACACCCAATATCGACCTGGCAAGGCTCAAACTTTTTCCCACTGGTTCCTGTTGTCTTTGATCCATTCAAGATTGGGAGGGGGTGACCTTCAACCAGGAATTCAATGGGTGGTCTCTGGGCAAGATAAAGAGTGGTCATCCTGAATCAAGCCTGGGAAACTTCTTTCAGGGATCACTGAATGTGACCTTATAAATAAGGAAGGTTCTCTGAGTTAGGCCTCCTGGACTTCCATCAATGATTCTGTTATGCAAGTCCATGTGAAGAGACCACCAAACAGACTTTGTGTGAGCAATGAAGATTTTTAATCACCTGGGTGCAGGCAGGCTGAGTCCAAAAAAGGAGTCGGCAAAGGGAGATAGGGGTGGGACAGTTTTATAGGATTTGGGTAAGTAGTGGAAAATTACAGTTAAAGTGGGTTGTTCTCTTGTGGGCAGGGGCAGGGGTCACAAGGTGCTCGGTGGGGAGCTCCTGAGATTCATTGTCCAGGAGAAGGAATGTCACGAGGTCAATTGATCAGTTAGGGTGGGGCAGGAACAAATTATCACAATGGTGGAATGTCATCAGTTAAGGCAGGAACTGGCTATTTTCGCTTCTTTTGTGGTTCTTCAGTTGCTTCAGGCCATCTGTATGTATACGTGCAGGTCACAGATGATATGATGGCTTAGCTTGGGCCCAGAGGCCTGACAAATTCCTTCAGAGATCCCTTCCACATATAGAAACACACACACAAAGACAAGATGGACAGAAGGTGATATTGGTTAGTGGTGTCCCCACCCAAATCTCACCTAGAATTATAGTTCCCATAATCCCCACATGTTGTGGGAGGGACCCAGTGGGACATAATTGAATCATGGGGGTAATTACAGCAT
The DNA here is from genome assembly GCF_000001405.40 of Homo sapiens. Classification (NCBI taxonomy): domain Eukaryota; kingdom Metazoa; phylum Chordata; class Mammalia; order Primates; family Hominidae; genus Homo; species Homo sapiens. The sequence goes on along the minus strand of NC_000007.14, from coordinate 46,769,049 downwards.
GCTCTTTTGATAGTGAGAGAGTTCTCATGAAATCTGATGGTTTTATAAGGGGCTTTCCCTGCTTTGCTCAGCACTTCTTCTTCCAGCTGCCATGTGAAGAAAGACATGTTTGTTTCCCCTCCTGCCATGATTATAAGTTTCCTGAGACCTCCCCAGCCCCGCAGAATTGTGAGTCAATTAAACCTCTTTCCTTTATAAATTATCCAGTTTTGGGCAGTTCTTTACAGCAGTGTGAAAACGGACTGATACAGAAGGCTTTCCATATTAAGATCCCTAACCAAGAATTCCCAGAGTATCCCTTCCAAACTCTCCTCCTATTGTCCTCCTAAGAAATCTCCCCAAAATCTTCCTGATTGAGGAGAAGTCTTCTGAACCAAGACTCTTCCTACTAATTAGGGAGGGCCAACTGAGACCCCTGAAGGAGCTGAACCAAGACAGACACTCTGCAATGAGGCTACAGACAGACACTCCACCATGGTGCTACAGAATCAATCAGGAGAAGGAAGGAGGCATTGGCAATGCCTACGATACTCACTGAAACAGACATCCCATGATAGGGCTACAGCTACAGACATTTCATGACTGGGCTACAGACAGACACCCTGGGATAGGGCTACAATTATGGGACATCTCCCCAGAACAATTTCTCTATTGGAATTAAATCCATGCACAGGGTGAGCAGCACCCCATCAGTAGATACAGTACCAGAGTCAGCCCCCAGTCCAAGAAAACTAAGCAGCCTCTTGGGCTGGCCTCTGAATCCACTACTGGAGGGAAGCTACCAAAGCACGGGCAGGCAGCCACAAGGGCAATCTTGGATGAGCTCCCCAAATTTGTAACCACCCAGTGGGTTCACCTTGTCTGCTGCTTAGACAGAGCCAATTTATAGAAACAGGAAAATTGCAATAGAGAAATAATAATTCACACAGAGCTGGTTGTGCACAAGACCAGAGTTTTATTGTTACTCGTATCAGTCTCCTCACTTGTACTTTCTAAACTTTCTTCCTATAAAGGTTTCAGAGGCTTTTCTCTAGTGTTGTAGTCACGTTTTATTCAAGAGCAAGTCATAAGAGGGCAGTGAAACTAGCTTTAAAAGAAAGGGACATTATTCCAAGCCCTTCTGAGAGCCTCAGTTGGTCTGTGTTGATATGAGGACATCAGGATGGCTTCCACTCAGCTGCAGGGTCTGCTCTGAGATCACATGACTTGTATTTTAATTCCACCTTCTGTGGTTTGTCTGATGTGGAAGCATCTGTGGAACCTGTCTGAGCCTCACTATAATTTGAAATCATAGCAGTACCTGGGTACACATCTATTGTGAAATCCATAGCATTCTCATGTCAGTGCGGCTCATCCATCCAAACCCATGTGATCATTGAGCAGTTTCTGGGTTAAACCTTAGTGTTAGGAGAGGGATGATCATGGACAGAAAAACAAATGAATGACCCCTGCTGTGATAGACACATGAGTTCATCATAATATTAATATTTATTAATATTGTTTCACTAAGTTGTATTGTTTTATCAATGTATTTATACTGTTTAATGAACATTACCCATTTGATCTAGTAATCAAATACAATTGCCATTTATTGTCTTTACTATATTGTTTGACAATGTGAAGAATATAAATACATGAACAAAATGATCTTCAGAGAGCCAAAACCTTGCTGGGTAAACACCATATTAAATAACTGGAGGCTTGTGAGTTTGAACTTTTAGGAAATTTCAGCTGCAAGGAACAGGAAATCCAAATCAAAGTGGTCTAAGGGTGATGAGCTTTATGGTTTCCCACAAGCCAGCACCCCAAGGTCAGGAGCAGAGTCTCACAGCTGCCCTTCTGCTTCAGGAGTGCCTCTGGTTGGGATTCTCTTTGCTGACTCTGTTCTTAGGCTGGGAGAAAATAACGATGGCAGCATTAGAGCCCACATCTGTGTAATGCCACTTTCAGAGAAGCTGTTTTTTATTTTTCTGTTCAGAGTCAGAAAATATTTCCCAGAGTGTTCAGAAGCTGTCCCTTATTGCCAGATCTTATCAATATGTTCTTTCCTGCATAACCCCCACCTCAGGGGGACATCCACGCAGAGTGGCTCCAGCTTGCCATGCACAGGCCTCATAGAGGCAGTCTGCATAGAGTTGCATGGCTGGGACTGTTCGAGGAGGCAGAACTCCCTAGCATGAAGGCCTAGACTTCACGGCATGCTCAGTGTAAGGACAACCCTAATTCATACAACAGCCCACAACTCATATTGGGAGACCCATCGTTCACAGATTCATGCTCCTTCTCTTCATTTCACATGTAAAATGCCCATCTCCACAAAAAACATACTGAGTTCTCTGCCAAACAGAGAAACCCAAAGCCTCATCCAATACTGCATTCAAAACCAAGTCCAGAATATCTGGCTCATGCAGCTTCTGCTCTGTCATGTTCCTCCTATCACCACAAAACTCACCCTGCAAAACCCAACATGTAGTGGTATTGAAAGGGGAGATCGCAGTAGCAAAAAGTCACTCTTACATGAAGCAATATGAAAAACACACTCTGACGACCAGTTGTTGCCAGTTCCCCTGCCTAGGTACAGAGTGGACACCTTGTTCAGCAAATCCAGCCTCCTGGTACTGTTCATTCTAAGAATCTCCACTGCCCTGAGGACCATGCAGCTCGAATCTGCCCTGGGAAGGCTCACCTCACCCACTGAATTGCAGCTAAGGTACCGGACGTCCTTCCCGATTCTACTTTAATAATGTAAATCTTATTGCTGCAAATTGAGCTGAGGAGATGCTGTGAGGGTGCTCACCTTAGAAGTACACAAGCCAAGACTTGGATTTCTTTGGCAGTTTGAATCCTTTAAATGGTTACTATCTTCTTCTAGTCAAGTAATGGTCTTGTCTGCCCCTTTCCTTTGAGTCTGGAAATTTCTGTCTCTTAGCAACATGCTGCTGCCACTGTCCCCCTAGGATCAAGCTTAACAGACTCAACTTTCTTCCAGCCACAGCTTTGGGACATTTAGATGAAAAAAAAGATCGTGGAATCAGGATACATTTGAGTTGTACCTTCTCAGAAACTGCCTTGCCCTCTGGCAGGTCAACAGTGCCTAAGGGGGTGCTCAGCAGGTGATATGTTTTGGCTGTGTGTCCCCAACAAAATTTCGAATTGTAGTAATCCCCATGTGTTGTGGGAAGGACCTGGTGGGAGGTAATTGAATCATGGTGGTGAGTTTTTCCCGTGCTGTCCTTGTGATAGTGAATAAGTCTCATGAGAGCTGATGGTTTTATAAAAAGGAGTTCTCCTGCACATGCTCTCTTGCCTGCTGCCATGTAAGATGTGCCTTTGGTATTCCTTTGGCTTCCACTATGATTGTGATGTCTCCCCAGCCATGCAGAACTGCAAGTCCATTAAACCTCTTTTTCTTCATAAATCACCCAGTCTCAGGTATGTCTTTATTAGCAGCGTGAGAACGAACTCATACAGCAGGGTTCAAATTTGTTTCATGTCTCATCTATCTCCTGCTAAACTTTGCACCTACCTACCTAGTCTCCTAACACAGATTTTTACTTGGGATCAAATGGTATCTTTTTAACTCCAAGAAATGGCTTAAGTTTCTGTCTTATTTTTGAAATGTATTCCACTGGCAAAGAGAGTTTTGGCCTTTCTTGCCATTTTACTTTCAGACAGGTCATCTTCAAGCCTTGCTGTTACTTGACTCGGGGTTTGAGGAAGACTACAAATCAACATACGCTGATGACAACGCTGAACTTCAGCTGAGCCCTTGTGCTCCTGGAAATCCCCCTAGCCTGCCCCCACATATTGCCAAATAAGAGCCATCTCTGTCCTTCCTTATGGCTCTCATAAGGCTACATTTAGCTCTCTTGTTTGGCTGCCTTAAAACGCCAGGCAGGACCCTCCTTTTTTTTTATTAATAAATATTCTCCCTTTCACAATTGCCTGAATACAGTCCTCTCCTAAATGTCTGGTTTCCTGCCATATTCCCAAATGCAGCAGTACTGTTTGGCCCATAACACAGTGCTTTAATCCATTTCCCAACCTAGCAGATGGGGGTCCTTGCTGCCCTTCCCTCAGTTAGCTTGACATTTTAGTCTATTATGTTAGCGCTCCCAATTTTAAGTTCTATGTTGACTTAAAATCAGTGATAGAAACACAAAGGGAAATTGGCACTAATAATGAAAGACATTTATGAGTTTGCCACTTGGGGATCTGAGACAGGGAGGCCTCAGGATGTGCTCAGTCAGGGCCCACTTCTGATTCTCTGGGATGCTCTCTTATGCACATCCATTTAAGCCTGTACTAGCAGAGAGATGATCTGTTTAGTATCATCTAAATGAAGATCTCCCAATGAGAACAGGCAAAGGCCATTCACCCAGAGCTGCTCTAGCAAGGGGGCCAGCCACCATCACCGCATTTGGCCAAGAATCACAGGCAGGCAGAGGAGAGGGGAAGCTTCACAGTGGGAAACAGGTGAGCCCTGTTGCAGTTCAGACAGCCTGCCTTGGAAAGCTGAGGCGGCTCACTAGAAGAGAGGCTGCCTACGTGATTGGTTAGGGAAGCATATTTGGCTTTCTCTGGTTGGTCCTTAGTTGAAAGCAGGGACAATATCAGGGAAGCTGCCAGTTATCAATCATGTCTTAGCCCTTTGGGACTAATTATTACAGGGGTTATTGTTTAGCCTCCTGAACCAGTTGTTAGAGTGGTCTGGCTTCCTATGAGTCTGACTCATAGATCTCAGGCTGGTTTCCTGGGCTGGTACTGTAGTGTATGAGTTGGCTTTCTGGGCAGTTTGCCACAGATTGTGGGTCAGAGTTTTATTTTTATGTCTGGTCTGGCCATTGCCCATTCATATCTCTGTCCTCCATTCTCAGTATTTCACATCTTTGCATTAAAACATGGAGAGAGAGAGAGGAGGAGAAGGAGAAGGAGGAGGAGGAGGAGGAGAAAGAGGAGAAGAAAAAGAACAAGAAGAACAAGAAGAGGAGGAAGAGGAGGAGGAGGAAGAGAAAAAAGAAGTGGGGGTAGAAAAGAGAGGAGAAAGAAGGGAAGAGGGAGAGAGGATGAGAACCAAAAGATAATTTTTCTAGAGGCCACAGGGAAATATCTTCATGCTTTCATTTGGCCTTAATTGTTCTACAAGCCCATTGCTAAGACCCACTGATGGGGGACAGGTTGTGACTGTAGTTAAATTCATTGTGCCCAGGGGTCTAAGAAAGAGTTTATGCTTTCCCGGAGGCAAACAGGTTGACTGGGGGAGTAGGTATCTGATTAAAATAAAGATTCTATCAGAAGAAGAAAAAAATACTGCCACAACATTTTGTCTTTCTGAAAAATGTTTTTACTTGTCCATGTTAAACAATTATACTTTAAATCTGTCACCAACTATCTGGAACAATTTAGGGAATAAAAAGTTTCCATGTCGAGTGTTCCGTTTTCAGAGAAGCGCCCCCAGCACTGTTACACATGGAAGCATTTCAACTTCCCAGTATAGCTGGTGTTATTATTTACACATGGTGTGACCTGTGGGGACTCTGGTGCCCATAGTTATTGTGAAACAATGGATGTTGCCTAAGGTTTCTGAATTTCATCCACATTTATTTTGTTGTTACAAAGTTAGAAAAAAAATTCCCTAAATAACCAAATCCTTTGCAAAGTGCTTTGGTAAATTTAAAATTCAGTTGTTAAATATTTCCTTATTTGTGCTCCAAAACTTGTAAAAGACACCATAAATTAATTTCATCGTTAATTTTTAGATGTTTTCTATAAAAATATTTTAATCATAAAAACAAGTATTTTCTCATTTATTTGTATATTTACTAGTCTAAAAAACTAGCTACTGATCAACATCAGCAATGAAAATATATTGTTTTGTCTTGAATAATATCAAAAAATACATCAACAGTTATTCTTTAGAGGGGTTGGAAAATAACTTTGAATCTGCATACCCGTTACAACTTTGAGATAAATAAAAATTTTTTTCTTGCTTTATTTTGGGGAAGAGCTGATTCCCACTATGAACACTAGGCATATGCGGAGAAAACAGGATGCAGGAATGCCATGAAGTCAAAGTATTTAGGCTGCGTATACTGATCAAAATGATTTCAAAATGATCTTCAAACTTAATGTAATTTAAAGCCAAAATATATTTGTCTTTTTTCTTCTACATGGATGTATACATTCACGATATACATAAAACAGATGGAAAAGAAAAATAAATGCTGAGTTGCTAGTCCTATGTGTTGATTAGTCCCCAGATGCATATACTTGTGTTGGTTGGTTTTCCAACCTTTCTAGTACATTAATTTGCTGTCATCAGCCACTCGCTGCTGAAGGAGCCTCCATGACATCTCCCCAGCTCTTTTTATTCATCTTGATAAGCCAAATCTCTGCCCTCCATTTTCAGGAAACACCTCTAAAATTCTTTCAAAATCTGTTATCCTAACAGAGCACTAAGTTTAATATTTATAGATCATCTATATTTTGCCAGACACTGCAGTAGCTGATGGGTTTTAATGATGAAATAAACACAGCACATGTGCTCTTGGGACCTTTAAACCAGTGAGGAAACAATGGTTGTGCACATCAGTAAGTATTATAGGAACACAGGACATGAGCAGAAGACAGAGAAGGAACACGTGGCTCATGTGTGAAAGACAAAAAGAAATAGCCCAAGTGTGTGGTGTAAAGAAATCTATTCTATATGAAAAAACGCATGTCCACAGACTGGAGACCCAGAAAACAATGCAGTTCCATGATGGAATACACAGATATTTGATGTGACCCATGTGTAGTATGGATGCAGGAAGCTGGCCAGAGGCCTGATGAATGAGGGCACACAGGCCATGGGAGGAGTCCTGGAGACAGACCCCTAAGTGAGGGGAGTTGCTGAAGAGTTCTACTGGAGAGGATATAGACATGTAGTGAGGAGCCAAATGTGTGAAGAAATGTAGAAAGTATCCACTTGTTAGTTTTCACATACATTCAACACACATTAGGTGGTAAGTACTTGTATTGTAGTTGAAAGTCATTATGAGACTGGAAGGCTCAGAGACACCCAGGGAACTCCTGAAGACACACTCTGAGGGGCATAGAGCCTTGTGTGGGAGACCTAGGGCATAAGAGGCAGACAGAGGTGAACTGTCAAAGGGCCATGCAGGTTAAGAGCCGTGCAAGATCCAAGGAGAGATAAGTAACGTGAAGTAAGAGGAAGAAGATCTTAATGGAAGGAGGGTCCATGTAGGGTTAAGTATGGAGTTAATGGGTGGGGTAGATTATGGGACTGAAATAAAATGTGCCTCCACACAACTTGATTAAACGAAATAGGTTCTAAAAGTTTTGGATTAAAAGTAAGTTGCTCAAAATAGCAAATCCCATTTGAATGCTGTTTTGGGGAAAAAATAATGACCTTCCTCAGTTACTACACGTCTGAATTTATTAATTTCTTTATTTGTCCTTTATTCAATGCCCACTATGTGCCAGACCCAGTTCTGGGCCTTGGGACACATCAGTAGATTAATAGACTACCTGCTCTCAAAGAGTGTGAATTCTGGGTAGTATCCACTGCCTAGATCATAAATATACTTTATGATCTCCTGAATGCATAAATTAGAGTTAGTGAATAAAACGTCTTTGTATTTGTTACTACATTTATTTATCTGTGAGATAGAGGAATCAAGAGAAATGAATGAATACTCATTACATGTGTAATGTATACCAAGAATTATGACTTTATACTATATATTTCAGTTAATAATCAGAAAAAAATGTAAGATGTAGATACTATATTTTCTAACTTTCTCATAGAAGAAACTAAAGTAAGGCTCAGAGAGGTGTATTAATCCAGTAACCATTAAAATTAAAATGAAAGTTAATCAGAATCGCTGGATATATGATCAAAGCACAAAATGATGACATTAGCGTAAACCAGTGAGAAGCAACCAAGAAATACAGATGCAGGAACACACCACTTGTAATGGAAATAAAACTATGGGTTCACCCGGGAATCAAGGTAACAAAGTGTTTACCAAAATATGGAGAACATATATAAAATGATATTGAATATATGAAAATATTAAAGAATATCTTAATTTAAAATTACATAGTCCATATTTAATTGTGGTAAGAATCAAAGTTATGAGGATTTTATTGATGCATAAATCAGTCTATATAACTTATTTCCAAATAACAATAAGAATTTGACACATGATTCTAGAATGCATTTGGAGTAAGAAAACTCAAGTAAGAGAGCAAAGTTTGTGAAAAAGTTTAGCAAGGAAGGTGGACATGGCCTGCTACATAAGCTATAACAAGATTAACTTAGGAATGAATACACACATCAATAGAATAGAAGAGAGAATCAAGAAAATATGTGTATATCTCAAATGAAAATTGTTAGAACATATAAAAATATACTTTATGATCTGAAAAGGAAAGTATATATTAGAAAAAATATAAAAAGAGCAACTCATACAGAAAAAGATTAGTCTACATCAATCTAAAAACCTCATTTTGAAAAAAACATGCTACAACAGAAGCTAAAAGATAGAGAGCATTTGGGAAAAATATTTATAACATCTATAATAAACTGATCAGTATCCAGAATATTAAAGTAATTTATCAAAATGAGAAAGCAAACAAACAATCTGATAGATAAGTTGCCAAAATATAAACAAGAAGTTCACACAAGAGGCATGTGTGACTCATAAACATCTAAAAGGTTCTCAGTCTCCCTAGTAATCAGAGTCACAGACATGCAGCCAACACTGAGAAACCTCTTCACACAAACCAGATTGGCAAAAATACAACAATGTCATAATACCAAATGCTGCTGAAGATGTGGAGAGATAGCTTGCTTGCTTGAGGGCCCACAGATTGGCATGACTTTAGAGAGCAATTTAGAAATATCCAGCAAATTTGAAAAGGGGCACACTCTAAGCCCAGCATTTCTGCTTGTGAACGCATCCTCTATTCCATCTTGTGCTGACAGCAACACTGTGATTAAATATGACATTGTCTGTAATAGTGCAAATGTGGGAACCATCCAAATACCCATTTATGGAGAATGGTTGCATGTCCAATATTAAGAAAACAAGGGGCTCTTTGAAGTATCCACGAGTTTCCATCATGTGACATTTGCCTCCTTGTGACCTGGGCCATGCAGTTTATAGGAAAGTGCAGCTTCCTGGGGACAGAGAGCAGGGAGGCTGCGGTGGATCAGCTGCCTGCTGTCTCTGACTGGAAGCCACTACCTTTAGGGCAGGGACTCCGACTACTTCACTCGCCACCGGATCATCTGGGTTTTGGTAGGTGGATGGTGGGCGGGTGATGGATGAGAAAGAGTGGAGACGATGGACTCAGTGTTGGGAGTGGTGCTCTAGGCAGGCCCATTCATCTCGGAGGAGACTTTCAACAGGCTCTTGGATATGTGGGTCTGGACTTTAGCAGAAGGGTCCAAGACAGAAATTACATGTGGAAGTCACTAGTATATGTGGGTATACAGTTGTTACTCCTGTTGTCAGTTTGGAAGAAAGTTGCAGGTAAGGTAACTTTCACGTATGTGTCCCACGGAGAAGGCCTTGGCAGATCTTTCAGTTTTACCCTTTTGGGCACAGACTACAAAGACTCGATTTCCTTCCACTTATTTCCTTCCCACCATCCCTTGTAAATGCCTAACCACGGGAAGGCCAACGGCTGTGACATGTCAAGATATGCAAAATGCAAAGAGCAGGGCTTTCAGAAACCAATCACAGAACTGTACTCCCTCAAGTTCTCCTCCTTCCCCAGATCCATGTACCCCTCAGACTCAATTCCAGAGAAAGGTGTTTGATGATTTCAAGGATTGATAAGAAAGGATATAAAGGGAAATTCAACTGGTTATGAATATATTTCAAGTTAGATTTTAAGTTTTAAGCAGGTACATTTATTAGGGAAAAGAAAGAAAATATTAACATGCAATTTTATTCAAAACACAAACCAGGAAGATTCAAAATTTTAGGCTTCTGAAGATGAGGGAAAATGCAAGATATTAATTTATCAACCTGCATATTGGTGCCTGTGTGTGAATGTGTAAGGCAGTGTGTGATAAGATTCATATAAGTGAGGGTGCCAACTTGAAGCGTATGTTAAGCAGTGCATGGCTGTACTCCCCACCACTTATGAAGCCTCCTAAGGTTCTCGAAGTATCACCTGCTGACAGCTTCCATTGGACAGAATGTCTTGAAAATCTTTCTGTCAAAGCACATCACATATACAAATTATTATCACATGACTTGATAGTCCTCAAATTGTGAACACAGTTGTCTCAAAAAGTTCATTTATCACTTGCTTAGGTCTCAAATATCAATTTTGTAGAAAAATATTTCAAATAATAGTTAGATGCTAGAAGAAGCCTAGCTCAATACTTCATTGATTGTAATTTGGGAAAGAGGAAAGTTTCCATAGTGGTAAAAAGAAGTGAAATTCAAGAACTCCCTGGTTGAGAGCTGAAGCCAGACTCATCAGAACAGGAAGACTTGACCAATGTAATACAAAGAAGCTTCTTCACCCAGACCCAAGGGCTCTGTCTGCAGGATACCTGGAGAGGACTTGGGAAGTAGAAAGAGCCCAGGTTTGGGGACCAGGAGGAGATTCATCTCTCAAGCTTAGCCCTGCTACCAACTGGCCAGGTGTCCATGGGTAAATACCTTTCTCTCTCTAGATATTTTTAGTTTGTTGTTAGTCCATAAGATCCATAAGATCAAGAGTTCAAATTATATAAATCATAAGATCTGGATCTCTTGTATCTGCCTTTTTTCTTTTCAGCAAATAGTGTTGTGCCTACCATGGGGGGGATGAAAACTTAACACAGCTGTGGGCTGAGTATTTACTGGATGTGTTTATTCATGATTTAACTTAATATCTTCTCTTTCCCTCCCTTCCTCTCTTTCTTTCTCCTCTCTTTGTCTCTGTCTCTGTTTTGAAAACTTAAAAATCTTATACGGAATACGTACCCCATCCATAATGCTTACATGTTGGGCTATGTGGGCTTCCAGAAGGCAACTCATAGGACAAATACCAACAACCTGATTCCAGGTGTCAGGCTTGTCTGAGGATGGCAAACTGAAACAAACCACAGGGCTGGGCTCCTCCTTTCCTGTCACTGCAGGAATCAGAGTAAGGAGATATTAAGGTTAAATATTCTAAAATAATTACTTTTAAAACTGTTCAAGTTTTTAGAGGTTTTTTTTGAGGTATAATTGATATACAAAAATTGCACATATTTCATGCATACATTTTGATGAGTTTAGACATCTGCATACACCCATGATACTGTCACCTCAATCAAGGTACTACATTTCCTTGTACTTTTTTCTTTTTTCAATAAGAAAACAACATGAGATCTACCATCTTAACATATTTTAAAGTACACAATACAGTATTATTAACTATAGGCATTATGTTGTAGACTAGATATCTAGAACTTATTCATTTTTCCTCATTTTTTACCCCTGAGTGACCATGTGATCTAGCAATCCCACTTCTGCATATAAATCCAAAAGAATTGAAATGAGGATCTTGAAGAGATATCTGTACTTCTATGTTTATTGCAGCATTAGTCACAATAGTCAAGATATGGAAACAACCCAAATATCCAACGACAGATGAATGAATAAAGAAAATGTGGCACATACATGCAATTGAATATTATTCAGTCTTAAAAAGAAAGAAATCCTGACATTTGAGATAACATGGATGAGTCTGGAGGACATTGTGCTAAGCTATTCAAGTTCACTACCATTAAAATCACGTCATGAAATAAGGGCATTATGAGGGAAACACATTCGAGCTCAGCCTCTGAATGTGCCCTGGAGGCAGGCACACCCTGGGACATTCAAGTGCCCATTCTTTGTTCTTCATCTTCTTCATTGTATTGCATGAGGCGTGCATTCACACATGCAGATTTTCATGGGAAGGCCCAGGATGCAGCACACTTTGATGACCCTAAAGAGCAAACTTAGTTCATTGGTAAAGGCGGGCAAATTATATGATATGCATTTAGTTTGTATATATGTATTTTATTTACTTATACTTCTTATGAACTTTTCAGCAAGTTTCCTTATGAAATTGTCTCTGATTTTGCTTCATTTTTTGGTTGATACTTCTGTTTTTTCAAAAATAGTTTTAATTTTTTCTTCTTTTCAACTTTTATTTTCAAATCAAGGGTACATGTGAGGTTTGGAGCATGGATGAATCCGTTACCCAGGTAGTGAGCATTGTACCCAATAAGTACTATTTTAGCCCTTACCTTCCTCCTTCTCTCCCTTCTCTAGTAGTCCCAGTGTCTGTTGTTCCTGTCTTTATGTCCATATGGACCCAACGTTTAGCCCCAACTTGTAAGTGAGAACATGTGATATTTGGTTTTCTGTTTCTGCATTAATTCACTTAGGATTATGGCTTCCAGCTGCCACCATGTTGTTGCAAGAGACATATTTTTTTATGGCTGCATAGTATGCCATGGTGTGTACATATCACATTTTCTTTATCAATTCATCTTTGATGGACCCCAAGGATGATTCATGTCTTTGCTATTGTGAATAGTGCCGTGATGAACACAAGGGTGCATGTGTCTTTTGGGTAGAATGATGTATTTTCCTTTGAGTATATACCCAGTAATGGGAATACTGGGTTGAATGGTCATTCTTCTCTTAGTTCTTTGATGAATCTCCAAACTGCTCTCCACAGTGGCTAGACAAATTCACATTCCCACTAGCAGTGTATAAACATTCCCTTTCCTCTACTATGAAATTTTTTCACCTCACATTTAATAAAAATGAATCCAAATAAAGCATGCACTGAAATGGGGATATCCAGCTTTATAACACATGATTCTTATTCAGGATGAAATTAAAGTAAAAGTATTAAATGGTTACTGCTTGGAGTATTTCCTACATGTCAGGCCCTCTGCTACATGATTTATCTCTATCACTATTAATCTCCAAATGACAGTGCAGGTCAATAGTTTTATTCCTACTGTCGAAGATGAGTGTCACTAGATGTACAAATAAAAATAGAGACTGCCTGGTTAAATTTGAATTTTAGGTAAACAATAAATAATTCTTATATAAGAATGGGGACATCCTTATACTAAAACATTATTTGTTGCTTGTCTGAGATCTGGGTGCCCTGTATTTTATCTGGCAATCTTACACTCAAGGCCACAATTAGAACCACTTTGCCTGATACCATCCAGCTTATTTCAGTGAAAACTCAGAATCTGACCTGTGTTTGTCTGGTTCTAAAGCTTATTTTAAAATTTTTTTTCAGCCCATTTTCCTCTAAAAAGGAAATAGGTCAATGCAAATCAGAAACGGTGGTGGATAAAAAGGCCTGATTTTTAGAGAACACATTTTTTCTTTTTTTTTCTTTTTGCACCTCAGTGATTAAAATAATGTATGTTTTCAGTGTTCTGTCCTCAATGTTGAATACTGCCCAGGGGGCTTTACTCCCTTTTTTTCTCCATGTAGCCTATGAGATAAGTATCTTTCTCATTCAAAGTTAATTCCAGATGTCTCTTTCTTTACTCTTAAACTATGAAATAATATTATTCTTTTCCATTAGCCTTTGATGATTACATCAAAACAGTAGACTTTCTCAAGGTGAGGGATTCAGTATGAGGGTTGGCTGGCCTGGCTGTGACAGGATTGGTGTGCTGGGAATGTTTGCCCTTAAGGGGGTTGCGAGACTCTTGGCATGAGTCTGTGGGACCCACTTCCTTCCTGTCTTGCGCATGAAGTCATCCCATCCAGCGACTCTGGTTCTGTCTTCTGGATGAAGAAAAAGCAACAACAACACAACAACAATCTAGCCTTCTTCTAAATTTGAGTTTTGAATCCTTTATTTATTTATTTATTTTTAAATTTTAGTGTAATTTTATTTAACTAGATAAAGCCTTCTCAAGTGTAATTTCTTTCTTTTTTGCTATGTTTCTTCCGTGGCTCCGCATAGATTTCAGATGTTTCCAAGAAACTTTCTTTACTGAGGACAGGGTGGTGGGGACATAGGGATTTTGCCTTGTGTGTTTTGTGTAGTCCTGTCCTTTCAGCTGGCCTTGGTTTACCAGTGAAAACAGGGGCTTGGCATTTGTCTTATCCATGGCCTATATCCTTGCCTTACAGTCTTATCTTTAGGATGTGTCTCTATTTAAGCCCAAATTGATGTACTTTATTCATTTGGTTTATTCATGTTTCTTTTCTTCTCCAATAAATGTTTATTGAGCCTCTATTTGCCATTCCGTGCTATGTTTGATTATGGCTCAAGCTATGTCAAGGATTAGAAAGTGTCTTTTATGAAGCACAATCTGAGTAATGTGTTCCACAAGAGTTTATCCCTCCCAGTAACCCAGAAAGAGATATGTATTGTTATTTCCCTTTAAAGGTGATAAAAGCAAGGTCCACTGTCTCATGAGTAGCATTTACCAGTGCCAGAATGAAAGCCTGAGGGGAATGACTCAAAATCCTACTGTGTCTGTGGACTGAACTCACAGCCAGACACAAAGCAATGCTCCCAAAAGGAGAGAGAAGAAAAACAAACACCAAAAGAAGATTGATTGTTGTAATTCCTTTTTATCTTGCCAACAGAATCTTCACTGAGAAACCCAAGAGGCAGGAGGGGAGACAAAAGGGTTTGTTGTGTCTTTCTCCCTACACTGTCATGTTTCCTGCCTGAGTCCTATGAGGGGACACCACCATAGAGGCCCGGTGAGGCCAGCACCATGGTGTCAAAGTCTGCCTTGTGTACCTTTGCTCATGTCACCTCTTCTTTTCTCCACTTCCAAATTCTCTCTATCCACTTCTTGAACTCTTCTTTTTAGCCCAGTTTAGCCTCTCGTATGCAAGTCCCTTCCTCTGTCCCCATTGCCCCAAGGATCCATTGCCTTGACTTGCAAGCATCTTCTTGAATTTCCTGCTAATTTGAACTGAAGAGATGGAAATGCACCTTAAAGATTGGGTGGGAAGCCAGCCATGGCAATGTCTGATGCCCAGACTTGGGAGAGTGGTTGGGTGCTGTAGGAAAGAGGTGGTTCTCGGTCCCAGTGTCAGCTTGTGTTTGGAAATGTCTGCATCTTTTATGGTTTCACTACACTGGCCAGATTCTGACATCTGATCAGCACTCCTGTCTCTGACATCTGATCAGCACTCCTGTCTCTGTTAGTTCTGGTAGCGTCAGGGCTCCCAAGGGACTCTGACTTTTCATCTTCTGCTGGACAGTTAGTGTTCCCAGTTGTTGATCTATAATCCCACTCTTGACAAGAGAAATAATAAATAATTTCTGTATCACTAAACTGTGTAAAGAATATCAAATACTAGGTAAAATTTCCTTTAATAATTTTTTATCACCTGTGCTTTATCCTCACATAATTCTTTCCATTATTTTGCCATATTATTATATCTACATTTTTAAAGGTACTACGCAATTCCTATTTTTCAGGTGAAGAAACTGGAACTTAGAGAAAATGGGTAAGGCAGCAGCACTGGGTTTTGAATCCAGACTGTCTGATTTCAGAACCTTATATCCTAACTACAAGAAAATGTATTTACTTTGTCTCGTTTGCCTATCCCAGAAGCTTCCAACTTGGAAATTTTTGGAAACTATCGTATTATAGCATTCACTGCCCTTCTCACCCAAGCAATAATTGTTTCATTGTCACGTGTGTGTAAACCAATGTGAGGCTCATTTTCCTAATTTGCAAAGTGGGATAAGAATACAGATTCTGCAGGGTTACTTTGAGTCAGAAGTTAAAAGTAAGTGAACGTGCTGTTGGAACTGTGAGTACAGACAGAGCTATGCACCCATAAATAGTGAAATACCAGATCTTTCTGCACTCAAACATTACCCATGTTGATTTATAAAAAAGAAACAATGATTTCACCCTGCTCGATCACTGCCAGGCTTGATGGGATGGTAGATAAAAAGAAAAAATAATGAAGTGTAGGAAATATGCACTTCCTCTTTATGGTTATTAATTTGTTTTTGTTTTTTTTTTCTTTCTGTGCAGACTCTTCAATTGTGAGTCAGATCATAAATCATTGCTTCACTTGTGGGTTTTGGTGGAGTCAGAGTAGATGACTTGAGAGTCTATTTGCAACATCTTTTCCCTTTACCTGGCTCTGCTGGACTTCAAAAGCCTATTTTTATGTGCAGGGTAGAATATGGAGCTGGAACACTAGGTATTCCCGGCTTATTTTTGACATCAAGCCTCTCGTTGGAAAAACCAGCAATTATTAAGAGGTTTCAGTACATTTTAAAAGCATATAAAATCAAAGTTATTCAATACTGAATCTAGGGACAACAATGTATTTGGAGATTTATTACCTCCCAACACATATCTTTTAGTTTACCTTTTTTATCCCAAATGAATTTAATTTAAAATATAATCATTATAATTATACTATATAAGAATATGAACCATGCTGCCTTGGATCAAGCAAGGTTTCAGCATTGGACATCTTCCAAGAGACTCTGAGTCAGGCACGTTCAAGATGTTCTGCAGATGCATCTCACAGGTTGATCCAGCATGCAGAGGTGCTTTAAAAAGATAACTGAGTCAGCTGGGCACAGTGGCTCACACCTGTAATCCCAGCACTTTGGGGAGGCCGAGGCAGGCGGATCACGAGGTCAAGAGATCGAGACCATCCTGACCAACATGATGAAACCCCCATCTCTACTAAAAACACAAAAATTAGCTGGGCGTGGTGGCACATGCCTGTAGTCCCAGCTACTCAGGATGCTGAGACAGGAGAATCGCTTGAACCCGGAGGCGGAGGTTGCAGTGAGCTGAGCTCGTGCCACTGCCCTCCAGCCTGGCGACAGAGTGAGACTCCATCTAAAAAAAAAAAAAACAGATAACTGAGTCATGGTGCTGTACAGCCAACATAATCAAAATGTGGGCCTTCAGCACTGAATCCATTTGGCCTTACTCAAGCCTCAGCTTTCAACCCCTTGTCTTCACCACATGTTTCCCACATACCAATTCACTCTCAAAACTTACTTCACCAGGCATGACTGACCTCTTTGGGACTTAGCATCTCAACAGTGTATTCCATTTCCTCTCTGTGATTTCTGTCATCATTCAGGCTTGAGTGACTTCTCATTACAAAATCTACTGTAGGCCATGGCCTTCACTCCTGCGTGGATGTCTCTCTGTTAGATGACCAGGGTCTTAAGCAGATGACCCACACTGACTTAGGGAGCCTGTGATTCTAAAATCAGCTGCATGATTAACTCCCGTGCTTTGACTTAGATGCAGGAGACTTTTCTTTCCAAGAGAAAGAGCAATTGCTCTAGGGAGAGTGGGAAGCCTACCTCTTCCACGGGCTAGCTGAGTGACATTGGTAACTTACTTGACATTTCTGGGACATGATTACCTAATCTGCAAAATAATATTCATTACACCTATAATCTAAGGTTGCGTAAAGATTAAATTAACTTGCTCATACTAAGTGACAGCTCTAACAGATGCTTAACAAATTTCAACACGTCTTCCTCCTTTGTAGAATATTTTGTATCACTTTTTTGGCATTTTACATGCAATGCATCATGGTTAATTATTGGGGTTGTAAATCCTTTGCAAAAAAGAATCAGGTTTTATATTTTTTAATGTACTCTTGAGTGTATTCCAACCTCTTTCTCATATATTATAAATACTCAATGATTTCCAAATAGACATGTAAAGGAAATTACTGTTCTCTTTTTCTGTGCTCAGTGGAAATATGCTCCACCTGTGTCTCCTTTTCATCCCCTTTAAAACTCTTCATCGTGTGGCTGCAGATTCACTACCGTCTTCCAATTTATCCAGTTTACCTGGTGCTGCGTGGCCTGTGCTGTCTTCCCATGACAGCTCTGGTTCCCATCCTGACTCCTCCTTCCCTTGTGCCCACAGCCAAGTCTGATGGGCATGGGAGAAAGCACAAGGGAGGACGTGTTCTGGGGTGGTATTCCAGAGAGCAGGAGAATCCTGTGGACTCTCTCTGCATTATGCTACACGGATTGCCATTTTGCTCCTCAGGTACCTGAGTAAAGATTGCCATTTGTAAGGGAACAAGCTTCCTGAGTGTTCCCAGCTGCAGTAATATTTAGCCTCAGCAATCTCCAGAACAGTACACAGAGCGAGGCCCCAGCTGCGGGAGCCCTGAAGACGCCTGAGTGAAGGGGCTCTCTTCTCAGCAACATCAGTCAAGGCCAAAGGGAGACCAGCGAGCCTCCTCTTGTTCCACAGGGCCCCTGCACTCCCTTGGACACATTCCTCCTCAGGAGTAGGAGTCTGTGTCTTAAAGCATGAGCCAGGCGACAGTAACACAGACCATGCCCCACTGCATCGTGCATGAATGTTTTGTCTCATGCCATGTGACACAGGGAAGGGTGCAGGCCTTAGTGTCAGCTCTGTAGAGTTCTGCTTTCACTCTAAAGACTGTTATTTCCCTCCTATTTTATCTCCTCATCTGCTAAAATGAGGCCAATTGCAGTCTGTCTAATCTTCCTTCGCCTCCTCCACAAGCTACAGTCCCCTTTCTCATGTGACTTCCATTGCATTAAGTGTTGTTTACATATCTTTCTCCCTAAGAAGGCCTTATGCTCCTCTATGGTAGAAATAGTCCTCATTCCCCTCATGGTCCCTGGGCCCAGGCTAGCTCCAGATCCACAGCAGGCAGGCAGTGTGCTAGCCCCATGTCTTTTTCCTTTCCTTGCCTCTACCCACCAAGGGAAAAACACAGCCTTTGCACGCTTATTAAAGGCTGGCTTTCCAGAATATTACCACCACAGCTGGGGATAAGAAGAAGCTGATTTTTTTTTACCATAGGAAGGAAAACCCACTGATACAGTTTGGTATTTGTCCCCACCCAAGTCTCATGTTGAATTATAATCCTCAGTATTGGAGGTGGGGCCCGGTAGGAGGTATTTGGCTCATGGGGGTGATCCCTCATGGTCTGGTGCTGTCCTCAGATAGTGAGTGAGTTACCATGAGATCTGATTGCTGTAAAGTGTGGTGCCTCCCCTGTGAGCGATGCCTGCTCTTACTTTGCCTTCCACCATCAGTATAAGCTCCTGGAGGCCTCCCCAGAAGCTGACCAGATGTCGGTGCCATGCTTCCTACACAACCTGCAGAACTATGAGCCAACTGAACCTGTTATTTATAAATTACCCAGTCTCAGGTATTTATTTATAGCAAGAATGGCCTAACACTCCCACTTCAACAGAGTCTTGTTACATCTCAGAGGGAGAGGGCAAAGTCAGGATATTTATTGAGACTTTACAGTCTCGTCACATTTTTGTTGGTGTCTCCTGTTCCTTCTGCAGGGATGTCCTTCTCAACTGGATCCTCACCCTTCTCTGTGGAGTGTGGGATACACCCTGCTCCCACCATATTCTCCCATTTGTTTATGTTTGGGTTGAAAAATAGGCATGAGAAATATGAGTTCTTCTTGTAGTTCAATTAAGAAAAGAAGTCTTCCCTAGATGTAAACTCCTGATGGAGGGCTCCTGCCTCATCCCTGCCATCCCTATGCCTCAAAGACACTACAGTTAACCACTCAGTCATGACTTAATGTGGTTAAAAGCCCCTAAAGACACAGATTTCAAATTGGGATGGTCAAAGAAGAGTCAGTTCTAAAACATCTTTTCCCAAAGGATGGTTCTGATTGGTTTGGCCAGCACTATCTCCCTAATGAGACTTGATTCTTTTCTTTGAGACAGATGTATTCTCACTCAAGGAGGTAAAATACAATAGTCACTGCCTTCAAAGATATAATATTCCTTCATGTGATGAATTCATATTACCTGGGCAGCCCTTATGCCACTTTTAAACTTTTAGCTTGGATTGAAATTGCAGGAAAGGCACAAGTCAATTTGAGAAACTATGACTCTGTTAGGGTTCAGAATACTGAGGACCCCATCATCTTCACTTATTTAGTCATTCAAAAGACATTTGATGAATGTCAGTAATGTGCCAGGAACTATTCTTGGGTGTAGAGATGCAGCAAAGAACAAAGAGAGTCAGATAATACATTTTAAACATGGAAATGTATATATTTTTTCAGATAACAGTGAAAGCTTTGGCAAAAAGAAAAACAGGCTTAAGTGCAGGAAGTGCTGAGCCTGAGGTGGTGGCTGTTTTTTCAGGGTGGTTAGAGGTGTTTTTATTTCTAGGTTGACATTTGAGCAGCCATCTGGGAGGAGAAGTAAACGTGATTCAGGAGAAGATAGAAGTGAGGGCAAAGACCCTGAAGCAGGGGGCTCTTAAGGGGGTGCTGGTACACCAACAGCCAAGAGGGGGTGTCTGGATGAGATGGAGTTGCAGAGGAAATTAGATAGTGCAGGGGGGTCTTTAGGTGATCTGGGCCCCAAATGCCAAGAATGCAAGGTAAGTAGGAGACCATAAGTTCCTCTCCATCTCTGAAATTCTAACATGCTTTATTTTTATTCATTCCTGATCATACAAAATCAACACAGTTAAACACACCAGCTCCTTTGGGATTATCCACATGGATATTAGCTTTCCAGGTTCAGTACTAAGTGTGAAAAACAAAAGCTTTCTTTAGTAGAAAAGATGTCATGTGGGCATAAATTTTCATGCAAATTCACAAAGGCTGATTGTCAATTTAGGCCTTAAAACCACAATACTGCAACACAGTTCTATTCACTTTTTCCACGGAAACCATACAAAATTGTATACAAGTACTTCTCGTCTAAATGAATGCTCTTTGTAATAAACTCCACTTCGGGAATTCAGGAAGAATCAAGCAATATTTACAAGAAAAAGATAAGAAGAGGATGGGTTACTGGTTTAATTTAAATCTTCTTAGAATTGTTTTGTTTTTCACTGGGTATGTGGGTTAACAATGTGGTTCAGACCTTTCGGGAACCATTTCTTTAAAATGATGTGTGATTGGGAAGGGTGGGATTCCAGAAAGCCACAGATGCTAACAGTAAATCACCTTGACCTTGACCTAACCAGGAAAAAAGCAAAACAAAAACTTACATAGAAAAGGAACTTTGGCAAGCCCCAACATTTCCAGCTTTTAAAGTGTCTAGATACTCACTGAGGTAACGTAGGTCCTGGTGTGAATAAGAGGTTTCTCCACAGGCCAAGTGTGAACACATTGCTTTTCTGTCCTTTCTCTTGGACAGAGAATCCTCCGCTAAGACTGGTGTGTGTGTGTGTGTGTGTGTGTGTGTGTGTGTGTGTGTGTGTGACAGAATCCCACTCTTGTCACTCAGGCTGGAGGGCAGTGGCGCGATCTCAGCTCACTGCAATCTACGCCTCCCAGGTTCAAGCGATTCTCCTGCCTCAGCCTCCTGAGTAGCTGGTATTACAGGTTCGTGCCACCACACTCGACTAATTTTTGTATTTTTATTAGAGATAGGGTTTCACCATGTTGGCAGGCTGGTCTTGAACTCCTGACCTCAAGTGATCTGCCTGCCTTGGCCTCACAAACTGCTGGGATTACAGGTGTGAGTCACTGCACCCAACCAAGACCGATTTTTATTGTGGTTTTCCTGGGGAGCCAGAACGGAGTTGTGAAAACAGCAGAGATAGCACAGACCCTGACCTGGCCCTGCAGGGGTGAGCGCATCTGTAAACACTGACCCTCCAGAGAGTCACAGGAAGTATATGCACCACCACAAACACACACACATCGATTCCACTCACCTCTGTGTGTAGTTCACAGCACATACTCGACAAGTGCCAGTTGTCAAAGAATTTTGCAGGCCAGGTGATTTTTACCCTCACTGGTGTCTAGAGGGAGGAAGGAGGGTACAGCATGCAGTAGAGGGAGGCTCGTGTGCTCTGACACATCTGCCTGGGGGAGCGACACTTCCTATATATTTTGCACCTAGTCTAGTGCGCCTCCTCACATATCACTGCTTTCTTGATAAGCTGAGTGGTAGACATCCTTAAACACCACCACAAAGTAGTGAGAGTTAAGGCTGAGACTACATCCCCGAATTCAGATATGCCCTATCCTCAATCTCATTCTGTGATGGCAAAAGGAGAGCATCTCCTTTGTGGCCAAAGGATTTTAGTTTCTGGAAATGACTGAGTGACTACACATAGAGGTCAGTGCCACTGAAAGAAAATTTATTGCTTCTATTTCCCAGGAGGAGGGGGCACACCACATCACGCAGGGCCATGCAGAAAGCTCAGGGAGGCTAGGAGACAGAAGGAAGGGCCCAGCCAGAGCCTGTATTGAGGCTTCTGTGGAGAAGTAAAGGCAGGGATGGGTACACAGCGTAGGGTGGTCTCTGGTTGCCTGGTACTTGGCCCTGGGATGATTTAGGGTAGGGGCAATGTTGGCTTGCTGTGCGAGTTAGGGAAGAAGGTGGGGGCTCAGACTTGAATCAGCAGATCTGCATGTGAGAAGTGAATACAAGGCATTGGACTTAAAAGGAGAGAAGTGGACACTTTGGCTGAGAGTTGGGCCTTGTGAGGAATGGATGGCAAATATACATACAGAATCTAAGAAAACACAGAACAGAGGGGGCGGGTTTGGGGGAGATGATGTTTCCATTTTGGAACTTTTCAGTGCGGAGCTGTAGGTATCTGGTGGCCACCCAGAGGGCAATCGGCAGGTGTTTGGACGTGTCTGTCTGAAGGTCAGAGCCAGTCCCCGCTGAAAAATCGGATGGGGAAGGAGTCTGCATGCAGCTTTGCCCCTGGATGGGTGGGCTCCAGAACATATGGGCAGGAGGAGCTGCTGCTCCTGCAGGACTTGGCCATATGGGGCTTCTCTCCATGTCCTCTGCCTTTACTGCAGCTCTGCTGTGAAATGTTGGGAAGCTGGAAAAGTTATTGTTGGTGTTTATTGTCCTTGTTTAGCATAAATCCGGTCAGAAAATGTCTGTTAAAACTAAAGGGAGAACATTGAGGAAACTTGGGAAAATGTGCTGGAATAAGGAGAACATCCCTCAAAATGCTTATTCCTCACTTAGGACAAACTGGGCACATGCTGTTTTGGACTAACTTTCAAGATAAAATTATTAACGTTGCCACTGAGGAAATTCAGATGGGAGGAAACTAAAGGGAACTGCAAAGGTGGTCTGGTACAGTAGCACGTGCAAGGTCCAATCCAGAGTCAGCTTGTACCACATTCTGGCAGCCAGAGGTGCTGTAGGATCAGGGCTCTGCTGCCTTAGACTGGACACATCCTGCCTCTTTCTTATTCTGTTGTTCTCTCTGGACTTAAGGCTGATTCTCTTTCCTGTTTGTAGATTATGTTTCCCAAAGTTTTGATGACCAGTTATACATGATGTTTTATATCATGCTTGCCAGACCACGCTTCCCACTGAAAAGGTGTAACAAAAAAAGCTGTGAGCTCCACCTCCATTTTCCAATTTCTTGTGAATTTTCTTTCCATTTTCCTTTAGAAATAGTTGTGAGTGTCAGCCTGTTCCATACCCTCCCTTGCAAGCTGTTAAATCCTACATGGATTTTATTTACTATTCAATCCTCTGCCTCATATATGCAGCAATTATTCCGTATCTGGTGACTCACTAGGAAATTCACTGAAAATTTATCACCACAATTCATTTAAGGCCACACTCTCTGTCAACCTCTGACTATAACCCATTCTTTTCTTTTACTCAACAGAATAATCGTAAAGTATTTCTTTATATTCCTTGTCGAGGTGAGTTTTTTTTCCCTGTAGATTATTCAGTTTATCCATCAGGTTTTGACTTTTTAAAACCACTTTCAATTTTAAGAAGACAATTTTTCAACATATAACCTCTAGTTTTATACTATCTCTCAGCTAAGCATGCAATCGTCTTCTGTTTACTGACTTTAGGTGCTATTTTTAGCAGTAAATATTATTCTGAACAACCCTCAGTAACGCTGAGATTATGGGTTTGAGGAATGCCAACATCAACAGAATCAGGTGTGGGAACTACCTGACAAGGGTTTTTAAAACAGCTGTCAAACATTCTATGACAGTCTATTACAGGCAAATGTAATACAGATAATTTCAGCAAGGAAATAGATTCATAAAAAAGAACAGGATCAAATTATAAAACTGATAAATACGATAACAGAAAAAAAAATTGCTGGATGGATTCAATAGTAGAGTGCAAATGAAAGAGATAAAATATGTGAAATTGAGTACAGAAAATTAGAATTCACCCAATCTGAACAACAGATAGAAACAGACTGAAAAAAATGATATAGAATGGAATAATTAATGGCCGAAGACTTGACAAATTTTGCAAAAGATACACACTTAAAAATTCAAGGCACTGAAAAAAAGCCCCATGAATAGATACTAAGACATATCATAATTGAAGTTCTAAAACAAATAAAAAAAATTAAAAGAAGCCAGAGAGGATCGACATGTTACCTACAACGGAACGCCAATTAAAATGACATCAGATTTCTCATTAGAACCAAGGAAAAGAGAGGGACATGGCACAATACCCTTTAAAGGCTGAAAGAAAAGAGCTGTGAACTGTGTTTCTATACCCAATATAAGTATTTTTCAGGAAAGAAAGAGAAATAAAAACAATCTCAGATGTAGAGAAAATATGGGAATCTGTCAATGGCAGACTTATTCTTAAAGATTGCCTAAAGGATGTTCTTCCAACAGAAAAAAAAAAAGATGAAAGACGGGAACTAAAAGCATCAGGAAGGAACATGGAACAATGGAAAGAGCAAAATATAGGTTCAGTCACATGCTGTATAAAGACATTTCTGTCAATGACAAACTGCTTATGTGACAGTGGTCCAATAAGATTAGAATGGAGCTGAAAAATTCCTATTGCTTAGTGATGTTATAGCTGTTGTAACACTGTAGCAAAATTACTTTATTTTTCATGAAATGCAGTGCAGCTTAAGTGTACAGTGTTTGCAAAGTCTACAGTAGTGTGCAGTAATGTCCTAGATTTTCACATTCACTTAACCGCTCACTGACTAACTCACCCAGAGTAACTTCCACCCTGCAGATGCCATTCATGGTAAGTGCCCTATACAAGTGTACCATTTCTTTTTATCATTTATATTGTATTTTTTCTGTACCTTGTCAATGTTTAGATATGTTTAGATACATAAATACTTGCCATTGTGTTATAAATTGCCTGCAGAATTCAGTACAGTAACATGCTGTACAGGTCTGTAACCTAGGAGCAATCGGCTCTACAATACAGCCCAGGTGTGTAGTAGGCTGTACCATCTAGCTTTGTGTAAGTGCACTCTGTGATGTTCACACAACAATGAAATTGCCTAATAATGCATTTCTTAGAATGTGTTTTTATCATTGACATATGACTGTACATACAATTATCCCTTTTATTATAACTTTTATTAATTGTATTTAATTATTTAAGCAAAAGTTTTAACACCATCTGATACCCAAAAAAGAAATAGCAGAATAATTTTTTTTAATGCATGAGGCTGAATAAAAACAAGTCTGCAACAGACCATAATTGTGGGATGGAACTAAAGCAGTACTGACAGAAAAGTGTATACCAGTAGATGCTTACATTAGAAATGAGAAAAATCTTAAATCAATGGCCTAAATATCTACCTTGAGAAAAAAGAACAAAATACAAGGTAAGCAAAGGGAAGGAAATAACGAAGATAAGAGCAGAAATTAATACAAATTAAAACAGTCAAACAATAGAGAAAAATCAATGAAACAGAGCTGGTTCTATAATAGGATTAATAAAACTGATAAACCTCTAGCAAGACTGACAAATTTTTAAATAAGATAATTACTGATAGCAGGAATGAAAGAGGGGTTATTACCAGATACTCTGCAGACATTAAAACAATAATAAAGAAATAGCATGAAGCTGACTATGATACTTCAGGTACACTTGGGCACACAAAATAGCAAAACTCACATAAGGAGAAATAGGTAAACTGAATATGTTTGTATCCATTAAAATTAAATCAATAATTTCTATATATTTTTAAAAAACACCGGTCCCAGATGGTTTCACTGGTGAATCTTACAATATTAAATTACAAAATTAAATATAATTAAAAATAACATGAGTTCTACACAATTTCTTCCAAAATGTAGACATAAACACTTTTTAACTATTCTATAAGATCAACATTGTCTTTTTACCAACACAAGATAGTGACATTATAAAAACAAAACTACACACCGAAATCTCTCATGAACATCGATGCAAAGTGCTATCATCATCAGTGTCTGGGAAATCCCAGTGCCTGGTTCTCAAGCCTTTGTCTCGAGCACAAGCTCATTACTTCCAAGGCCAATTCCTCTAGCTGTGGGGGACTTATTACGCATCTTGCCTTCCTGTAAAATCTTACGAAGTCTTCCACTGGGTTCTGGGTTTTCTCTCTGGATCTACACAGCTCTAGCATCGCTCTTTGGTATCCTATAAGCTATTAAAAAAACAACAATATACCTGTTCAGAGGTTTTTTTTGTTTTGTTTTGTTTTCTCTCAGGTTATACTCCCTTAAGTTCATAATCATTGTATGGACAAAACAAAAACAAAATAAAACAAAAATTAAAAAGTCAGGCCTTCAGGTTTTTGACATTTATCCAAATACTACAAAATACATTGGATCGCTTCTCACTGCTCTGGGTCCATTTCCAAGGAATTCCTGCTAAGTTACAGGAATGTCACCTTAAAGCGACCTCCTTAGTGGTTAAGTAATTAAACCTTCTTTCACAAAGTCAATACAGTTTTATATTTTCCTACTTTTTTACAGCATAACCTTGAGTTCCCAGTGTTGACGTAAAGGACCATTCCTTATTCTTGTCCCTATTATGTTTTAAAAAAGCCAAACAAAACATTAAAGATAGCATAGCCTCATTTTCTTATTTTACAAATGAGAAGTATAATTCCAGGAAGGTTAAGCGTCTTGAAGTAATTAAGCCAGGGCTCTGTTAATAATTATACTGCATGTGGTCCATATCTTTCCCATCTCACTACTGAACCTCCATGAAACTAGGGAGTCACCCTCTGTTTCATATAAATATCTGAAAACAAAGTACCTCTGTACACTCACATGACATCAAAAAATCATCAAAATGCCATTTTAAAACATCTTTGATATGTTGAGTCAGGAAATTTATAGATATATGATATGACATCTTTAGATAAAAAGCAATGTAAAAAGCTATATAAATTATCTAATTTTTGGAGATTTGCAAAGGCTGTTGAACTACATTGCTATTTGCACTACCGCCCTTTTCATTTTAAGGTACCCTAGTGTCAGTCAAGCCAAACTGAGTTTTTATATATCTCTTCATCCTGAAGTGAAACACACTGGGTCGTGAACATGACTTGCCTCTTTTTGTTTGTTTTAGTTTATTTCTTCTTAAAAGAATTGCATAGTTTGTGCCTACCTTTAAAACTCAAGCTAGGCTTGTGCTTTAATGATAAAATGTGTATCTGATTGAAAGGTATTGATACTGAAATTCATACTGACAAATAAAGCCACCCAATGGAGAATATCATGTTAACATGCAAACGCGTAGAGAAATGAGCCATTCCGAATGGTTCCATCTCCGGGGTTCACCTCTTCACCAGTGGCTGGAAGAAATCACTGAGTCATGCCAACATTTATCTGTGAAACAACCTGAGTGCCTCTTGTGATTTCTCAGGGTTCTCACCCAGCTCAGATATCCACATTCTCTTGGCAATCCCGAGTCTTCTCGCTCCATAGTCCAGGGCTGATTTGCGTGTGATGAACACTGCTTCTGCTGGCTGCTCCAGCCATCTCTAGATGCCTGTGAGTAAGAGTGTGATCGAGGTCTCTCCTCATTCCCCAAGCTATGACCAACTCAAAATTGGTGAGTATAACAAATGTGGAGATAGCACAGATGTTACTAAAAAATACAGTAAAAGGAACGTAATTGTCTTAACCTTGAGGTCAGAGGCCACAGTTGCTACGTTCCATAGCCTCCCTGTCTGTAGGAAACCATTTCGACAATGTCCCTCTGTATCTGGGGTGTGTACATGCTCACCCTCTGCCAACAGAGAACTCTCCCCTTTTTCTTCTCTTTACCTGCTTTCAAATATGCTTAAAATTTCTCTCTGGATGCAGCCAGATGGAATCCTCAGTTGGTTCACATGATTTCTCTCAGTCTGTATCCAAAAAAGTTCTACTTTGACTTTAATATACATAGCATCTCAGCTTCCTGTTAGAGCAGCTAAGCTTTCTTCTATCAATTAAGTTTTTCTTTTTTCTAAGTAAAGAATATTTGTCAATAAAGCTGCTATTAAAACAATAGGCAGTTTTGGAATATCTAATGTCTGCTAGATAGAGCCAGAGGCTTCGTGACTAGCAATCATTGAATGTTTAGAACTGTATGCCGAAATGCCATTATCTCTTTCTAAATTATAGAGAAAAGTGACTAAAGGGTGGTCACCCAAGATGGCAGAATAATGCTAGTATATTTTAAAAGAAAGTGTCATTCATTTTGTTTGTTTCTGCACCAGATGAACCCTTTTGGAACCTACATCTTGCTGAGGGAGGCAGAGGGGTCCGAACAGGAGAGAGGAGTCCCTTAGGGAGGTGTAAGGTGTCCTGAGCCAGCTCTGGCTTGTATAGTATAGTGTGACCCTAAACAGTGAAGAATAACTTATTAGTCTTTGATTCTCCACTGATGAGATGTGAGCATTGAGCTAAATATTCTCTGGAGTCCCTTCAAACTATTAAAGTTGTGGATCGATATAATAATTTATAAAAGATACCTACTACTTTTCCAAGAATTCACATCCCAAATTTCCAGTCCATTGTGCACTGTTAGCACTTTCTGTAGCAGTGTGACATGGCATTAATATTTTGCTGTTGACTTTTTGGTGTTCATTTTACCAAAATGTGTGGTTATAAAGCTAAACATTGCCATGCGAATCTCATGGTTAATTCCTCCTTTTATTTTACTCTGTTAGAAAACAAAAAAGGCAAGCTTCCTGTTCCCTTTCTTTTCCATGACCCAAATTCATTCTATATCAGACAGCAGTGAAGAGCAGCTTTGCAGTCTCATGACTTGGCCTCCTAAGAGCCAAATAGCTTGGTAAAAGATAAACAGATTTCCATACATAGGTATCACGTTTGTGAGGAAACTAGTGACTGTAAGTTCTTTTATGGGGCATGATGTTTTCCTTATAGTGGTGGACTCAGGAGTTCTGCTCAAATATTAACACATGGGAGATGCTGACAAAATGTTCTCTGGCTTGAAACATAGAAGGGTGACAGTTTGCTTGGCTCAAGGCTCATCTGAAAAAAGTCTGTGGAAAATGTCTCCACTGCACAGCTCAACAAACACCATCCATGTAACAGGCACTCTCCAGACCTTTCATATATGCTATCTCTGATCCTAAAACCCTGTTATTTTGGCTCTGTAACAGATGACAAAAGCAAGATTCCAAGAAGTCGAAGAGACATGTGAGTCCAGGTGCGAAGGCCCCAAAGCCAAGTCCCTACATGGAAGTTCCCTAGTCACAGAACGTTTTAGCAAATGGGGACAAAAACTAGATTTGCAAACAGTAACTTACAGTAACTGAACAACATCTGTGTCCTTGAATTGAAATTTCATAATATTCTTTGTAGAAATATCAGCAACAGAATATTTTTATACTGCTTTTCTTGGAAACCTGCAACTATAGTTTCCCGAACCTTGGGAATTCAATTCAAATCTACTGAAGCATATCAATAAATCACAAATCTTTCTTTCTTTTTTGAAAGAACAAAATATACTGTCCTGTCTTGTATTTTTAATAATCAAATCAGAAAAAATCCACATATTCTTGTTTTAAAATCATATTAAGCTCATCATATGATGTTCATTGTTCCATTTCTTTAAGATGAGAATGACATGCCAAGTTTCTTCTAGCTCTACTTTAAAATTACTCACTTTGAAGTTATGAGACAGTGAGAATAGGTTTATTTAGTTGCAATTGGAGTTTCTTTTGAATATGAATGTGCCTTTCTAGTACTGGTCTGCCCATGCGCGGGTAACCTGATGCGTAAGAATCACCTGCTGAGCTTGTCCCTGTGTGGAAGTTCCCTGGTTGGCTCCAGCTCTGGTTCCACGTGAATATAGAATGGGGATGTGGAATTCATATGGGCCCCAGGTGATGCTGATGGCTGAAGCAGGACAGTATCTGATGGCTTGGCTAGACTTAGAGTCACAGATGTGGATGAGTCATAGAAATTATGCGGTTGGTAAACTCCCATTCTTTCTGAAAACTTTAAAAAAATCATATTTAATGTATGCAATAAATATCATACCTTTGTTTCATTTAATAAACTTATACTGAATTCAACTTTATTGTGGGCAGGAGCAGTTCCCCATTCACAGCAGCCTTTGCACTTCATTTTGTAATTACTTGGTTTTAGTTGTTTTTTCATGTTTTCTGAATAGGAGATTGGGTTTTTTTTTTTTGTGGTCCTATCATGATCCACACCTACGAGTGTGGTCCATATCAGTTTAGTACCTTTATTAATATGACAGATAGGCTTATTCTTACTACTCAAGACATATTTTTCCTCCTCTTCCCTTTTCTTTTCCTCAACATTCTTTTATGCTAAGGCCATTATTAATGTTTTAGTTTAATGTGATTTGGAAGGTCTGAGTTTTTTCAATGATGATTTGGAAGGTCTGAGTTTTGTTTTCTTTTTTTCTAATGGTTAACTGACCGCCTAGTTCTTTGTATATATTATACTACTGAGTCTATATTGACTCACCAGTATTAGCAATGACAGAATAAGGATATTTTCTCTATATTTTCTCATTCTCTCCCTTATATCATCCAAACTTGAGTTTTAACTTTATACCTTGAAATCTACGTATATCGATGTGGCTCGACCGACTTGTTTTAACTGATATATTGAGACTATCACAAAAAAGAATTCATTTTACTACCTCTTTTCTTTCATTTACCATACTCAATTTTTATTAAACATGGTATTGCTACATATTCAGGTCCTATAGTACTTCCTTTCTGTTCTTCAGCCATAATTCTTATGTTTATTTTAGCCCTGGCCTCATGGCTAAGAACTGAACGCTCTTGTTCAATTATTTTGTTGTGGTTTCTGCCTTTGTTACTTGGATGGCTACAGTTTATAATCTTCCATTTTCTTCAAGAAGGGCTCAGAAGTGCTGGAGTCCCTGAATTCTCTCATGTGTAAAGGCCAGTCAAAATACTCAACTCCATTTATCAAGTACTTCCTAAGTATTGTTTCTCTGCCTTCCAAAGTTGAATGTATCTGTAAGGAAATCTATGGCCAGTGCTACTTTCTCCTTACAAATGTCTTTACCTTTAGAATGGTTAAATTATTTCCTTATATTTGAACAATAATTCAAGTATATATTTGGATGTTAGTAAATGTAAGAGATTCTGAGAAGTGGCAGGAGATCAGATCCTGTTAGTTATTATACATCAGTTTAGAATAACGGTTTTCACTAAGAAAATCATAGGAAGCCCCTGAAGTGTTTTGAGCTGAGCTGTGACATCATTCAGCTCTGAAGTTTGACACCAGTTCAGCATCCCAAGGGCACATTTATTTAGGTCTTGATTCACATTAAGCTCAAATCCAGGGACTCTATTCTACAATCCCTAGCACAACAGTAGGAAGCTACTCATTATTGTCTTAAATATACCTAAAGAGCAGAGATGGAGAATGTAAGGCGCAGTGACCACCATCTGCATAGAACTTGCTTTTTAAAAATAATATTATTTAAAAATTATTTGAGAGGATTATAGATTCAGAAGAAATTGTTAAAAATGTACGAGGAGGTCTTGTGTACCCTTCACCTGGTTTCTATCAATAGTGTCATCTTGAATAGCTACAACACAGTATCAATAATACAAAATTCGTTTCATTTTCATCCAAGCTGTTGTGTGTCCTCTTTGTTGTGGGAGTATTCCAGGGAATGAATGTACCACCACAGTGTCCACAGTTTCTTTAACCAGTCACTTGTTGAAAGACATTTGGGTTACCTCCCATTTTTGTCTATTTTGAATAAAGCTTCTGTGAACATTTGTGTAGAGGTTTTAGTGTGAACGTAAGTTTTCTTTTCTCTGGAATAGACCACTGGATTTTGTGATAGTTGCATGTCTAGTTTTACAAAAAAAACTGCCAAACTCTTTTCCAGGTATTTGTTTGTCTGCAGTTTTCAAATAATTGATCCATTTCTTTCAAAGTTGTAGCGTTAATGAATGCACAGATGCAGATAGTATTCTCATGCTATCTGTTTTTTTGCTGTGGGATCTTTATTTCTGTTTTTGTGATTTGTGTCTGTTCTCTTTTTATTATTTTCAGTCTTTCTAGAGATGTTTTAATTTTACCTTTTTTTTAGTAACTGTTTTTTTCCTTTCACTGATTTTCTCTATTTTTTCCAATTTTCAATTTTGTTGATATTTGCCCTTTTCCTTATTATTTCCTCCCTTCTGCTAGGTTGGGTTTATTTGATATTCTCTTTCTAGTTTCCTAAGACAGAAACTTAGGTTACTGACTTGGATTCTTTCCTTATTTCTATTGTTAGTATTTAATAAAATTAATTTGTCTTTTCAGTACTGCTATTTTCTGTGTGTACCATCGATTGTTTTTCTATACGATAGTTTCATTTTTACTCGCTTCTATTTAGTTTTAAAGTTTCCTTGAGATTTCTTTGATCTGTAAGTTATTTAGAAGTGTGCTATTTCATTTACAGGTTTTTAGAGGTTTTCCTTTATCCTTGTGTTGTTGATTTATAGTTTGAATTTATTGTCATGAGAGAATGCGCTATGTATTGTTTCAGTTCTTTTAAATTTGTTGAAGTTTGTTACATGGCCCAGGATATGGGCTATTTTAGTGAATGTTCCAGGAGCACTTAAATTGTATTTTGCTGTTGTTAAATGCTGATGTGTTCTGTGTATGTCAATCAGTTCTCTTTGATTGATTGTGTTGTCCAGATCTTCTGTATGCTTGTTAATGTTATATTTAGCAATTTCATCAGTTACAGAGAAGGATGTGTTGAAGTTCACAACTATAATTGCAGATTTGTCTATTTTATTCCTTAAGGATAGTTTTGCCAGATTTTAAATATGTGGTCCAGAGGCTTTTTTTTTCCTTCTGAAACTTGAAAAATATTTTGCCATTTTCTTCTAATATTCCTGGTTTCAGATGAGATATCTACTGCCAATAGAATTAGTGCATTTTTCATTTCTGTTGAGACTTCCTTTTTGACCCATGGGTTATTTAGAACTGTGCTATTTAATTGCAAGTGTTGGAACATTGCTGATTTTCTGTCTATTCATTATTTGAATTGCTAAGGGTGGTGTGAAGTCCCCAAAGATAATTTCGGTTTTCTCTATATTTTTAGCTCTATCAATTTTTCATTATATATTTTGAAGCTCTTGGCCAGAGCTCTTTTCTGGAGAATGGGGAAAGATCATCAGTCAAAATAACTTGGTTTGGATGTTTCTTCCACAATACTATCAACCATAGAAGTCAGGGGATTTTGAAATTTCAAAGCAAGGATCCTGCACATTTGCCGTTTCATTTTTGTTCTCTACATTTAAAAAAATGTATATGATGAGAATCATTACCAGAATAAATACTATATACTAGTCAATTAAATCTGACTCAACAGAAATATAAAATTTACTCAAGAATAAATGGGGAAGATATGAATAAACATGGAATTATATTTTAAAATAGATATTTAACTGTCAACAATTTTAATTTGTATTAAATAGTGACTGAAGATTCAAATCAATTTTGATTTTTCTCTTTCATAAAGTCAGTTTCGGTAATCGGCAGCTATACCAAATTTCTAAAATCTCTTTCTGAAAATAGAAACAGAAGGAATACTTTCTAACTCATTCGATGAGGCCAGCATTACCCTATTACCCAAACCATTTGAGTTTGGAACATTATAAGACATTATAAGAAAAGCAAACAAAAGACCAATATCTGTTATCAACATAGATGCAAATATTTCCAATAAAATATTAGCAAATCAAATCCAATAATGTATAAAATGAATTATATTCCAGTTATGCAAGGCTAACTCAACACTCAAAAATCAATTAATGTGACACATCACATCAATACCCTAATGAAGAAAAATCACCTAATATCAGTAGAAGCATAAAAAGCATTTGACAAAATGTAACACTGTTTCATAATAAAAACGCTCCACAAACTAGGAATAGAGTAGGACTTCATCAACCTGATAAATAATATCTGTAAGTATCTTTCAGCTAACATCACACATAACCATCACACATTGGAAACTTGATGCTTTCCCACTAAGATCAGGAACAAGGCAAGGGCCGCACATGCTGGCTCATGCCTGTAATGCCAGCACTTTGGGAGGCCAAAATGGGCTGACTGCAACATGGTGAAACCCTGTCTCTACAAAAGATACAAAAAATTAGCAGGACATGGTAGTGCACACCTGTAGTCCCAGCTACTCGGGAGGCTGAGGCAGGAGGATCATTTGAGCCCAGGAGGTGGTGGTTGGAGTGAACCAATATGGCACCACTACACTCTAGCCTGGGTGACAGGGTGAGCCTGTCTTAAAAAGTAAAAAAAAAAAAAAAAAAAAGGGCAAAGATGCCCCCTTTCAATAATCATTTTTCAGATATCACTTACAGATATCATTTTTTGTATCATACTGGAAGGCCTGGCTAATGGAATAAGACAAGAAAAAGAAAGAAAACATATGCAAATCGGGAAGGAGGAAATAAAACCGTTTTTGTTTGCAGATGACAGGATTGACTAGAGAATCCAAAAGAACTGACACAAAAAATCCTTGAAACTAATAAAAGATTACAGTACAGTTGCAGAATACAAGATTAATACCCACAAGTCAATTGGTTTTCTATATACCAGGAATTAACAAGTGGACTTTTAAATTAAAAACACAATGCTATTTACATTAGCACACAAAATGAAGTACTTAGGTATAAACCTAACAAAATATGTATAAGCTCAATATGAGGAGGAATACAAAAGTCTGGTGAAAGAAATCACAAAAGAACTAAATAGATTTGTTTCGTTTTTTAGACAGGGTCTCACTCTGTCACTCAGGATGGAGGGCAGTGGCACAATCAGAGCTCCTGGGCTCAGGTGATCCTCCCACCTCAGCTTCCTTAGTAGCTGGGACTACAGGCACACACCACCATGTCTGGATATATGTGTGTGTGTGTGTGTGTGTGTGTGTATAATTTTTTTTTGTAGAGATGGATATATATATATATATATATATATATATATATACATATATATATATGTTTGTAGAGATGGAGTTTCACCACGTTGCCCAGGCTGATCTTGAACTCCTGGGCTCAAGCCATCTGCCCACTTCAGCCTCTCAAAGTCTCAGGATTATAGGCCTGAGCTACTGCACCTGGCTGAGAGATATTTCATGTTAATTGATAAGAAGACTCAATATAGTCAGTATATTAGTTCTTCTCAAACTGATCTGTTTATTCAGAGCAATATCAGTTAAAATACCAGCAACTTATTTTATGGATATCAACAGACTAATTTTAAAGTTTATATAGAGAGGCAAAAGACCCAGAATAGCCAACATAATATTGAAGAACAACAAAATCTTAGGACTGACCCTACCCAATTTCAATAATTAGCATAGTACTATTATAATGAAGGTAGTGTGATATTGGTAAAAGAATAGACAAATAGATCAATGAAACAAAATAATGAGCCCAGAAACTGATTTTTGATAGAGGAGCAAAGGTAATACAATGGAGAAAAAATAGCTTTTTCAGTAAGTGATACTGGAACAAATGGACAGCCATAAGCAAAAATATAAATCTGGACATAGACATTATACTCTTAATAAAATTAACTACAAATAAATGATAGGCTGGGCATGGTGGCTTACGGCCTGTAATCCCAGCACTTTGGGAGGCTGAGGTGGCTGGGAGGCTAAGGTCAGGAGTTTGAGACCAGCCTGGCCAATATGGTAAAACTCCGTCTCTACCAAAAATGTAAAAATTAGCCAGGTGTGGTGGCGCATGCCTGTGGTCTCAGCTGCTTGGGAGGCTGAGGCAGGAGAATTGCTTGAACCGGAGAGGTAGAGGTAGCAGTGACTCGAGATCATGTCACTGCACTCCAGTGTGGGTGACAGAGCGAGACTCCGCCTCTAAATAAATAAATAAATGACCTAAATGTAAAACACAAAACTCTAAAGCTCCTAGAACATTATGTAGGATAAAATCCAGCCAATTTGGGGTTTGGTGATGACTTTTTAGATACAACAACAAAGGTATAATCCATAAAAGAAAGAACTGATAAGCTGGACTTCATTAAAATTAAGAACTTTTTTTACCTCACAAAAGATACTGTTAAGAGAGTGAAAACACAAGCCACAGACCAGGAAGAAATATTTGCAAAAGACATATCTGATAAAGGACTGTTATCCAAAATATATAAAGAACACTTAATACTTAACAGTAAGAAAACAAACAACTCAATTGAAAAAAACGGGTCAAAAACATTAACAGTCATCTCACTAACAAAGATACACAGGAGATAAATAAGCATATAGAAAGATGCTCAATGTCATATGTCATCAGGGAAATATATAAAGTAAAAGAGCAGTGAAATGCCACTACACTCCTATTAGAAAGGCTCAAATCCAGAACACTGACAACACCAAATGCTGATGAAGGTGTAGAGCAAAAAATCTTGTTCATTGCTAGTGGGAATGAATAATGGCACAGCCACTTTGGAAGGCAATTTGGCAGTTTCTTACAAAACTCACCATACTCTTACCATACGATCCAGCAATCACACCTCTTGGTGTTTACCCAAAGGAGTTGAAACCTTATGTCTATACAAAAACCGACACACTGATGTTTGTAGCAGCTTTATTAGTAATTCTGAAACTTCCAACAAACAAGACACTTTTCAGTAGGTAAAAGAATAAACTGTGGCATGTCCAGACAATGGAATATTACTCAGTGCTAAAATGAAATGAACTATTAAGCCATGAAAAGTATGGGAGAAACTCTAATGCATATTGCTAAGTTAAAGAAGCCAATTTGAACTAATCTATAACTAAATCATTATGTAATTAAATGATCAGTCTGAACTAATTTATAATTAAATGTAATTAAAAGTTATTCAATAATAAAAAATGTTCTGAAGAAAATATGGAGGCATCTATATTCATACATCTTATGGTAGGAAAGATATGCCCCCAAAATGACTATAATCATAATAAAATAAGAAATGATATTCTAATTTTAAAAAACAATTAAAATATATATGATCTAGAAGTATTTACAATTGTCAGTGAAGAGCTCTTCCAAATTACTAATTTAAAAATGCTATCAGAGGAAATTGAACAAAGTCTATGAACTGACAAATCGTTTAAGGAGAAAGGGAAATGACCAATGGGGAAAAAAATCAACCCCCTAGTAATCAAAGAAAGAGAAAGTTAAGCAAATTAAGAGGACATTTTTTAATATCCTAATTGGCAGACTTCGTGCATTCGTGTGTGTGTGTGTGTGTGTGTGTGTGTGTGTGTGTTTGTGTCTAGTATTTTGCCAGGAACAAAGACGGGCAACTCGCTACCCTGCCCATAGAGATGGAAACGAATACAGATTTTCTAGAAAATAATTTAGACACACATTTCCACAACTTTAGTATCATACATGTAATAGACAGAGCCACTCAATTTTTGTGATTAGTAGAGAAGAACTAAATGAAGATTTACAGAGCATAATGACTAGGAAAATTTACTCTGTCTGTGAGAATTTGGTGCCTCAGTTTCTTCCATCTTAAAACGGGGCAGATAATCCTTTTTAAAAAAACTTTTGTTTTAAGTTTAGGAGTACATGTGCAGGTTTGTTATAAAGGTAAAGTCGTGTCTTGGGGGTTTAATGCACAGATTATTTCATCACCCAGGTGCTAAGCCTAGTACCCAATAGTTACTTTTTCTGCTCTTCTCCCTCCTCCCACCCTCCATCCTCAAGTTGGTCCCACTGTCTGTTGTTCTCTTCTTTCTGTTCATGAGTTCTCATCATTTAGCTCCCATGTATAAGTGAGAACATACAGTATTTGGCTTTCTAGTCCTGCACTAGTTTGCTAAATATAATGGCCTCCAGCTCCATCCATGTTCCCACAAAAGACATGATCTTATTCTTTTTTATGGCTGCATAGTATTCCATGGTGTACATGTACCATCTAATCTCATTGATGGGCATTTAGGTTGATTCCATGTCATTGCTATTATGAATAAAACTGCAATGAACATTTGCGTACATGTGTCTTTATGGTAGAATGATTTACATTCCTTTGGGTATACACTCAGTAATGGGATTGCTGGGTTTAATGGTAATTTTGTTATTAGCTCTTTGAGGAATTACCATACTGCTTTCCATAATGGTTAAATAAATTTACACACCAACCAACAGTGTATAAACATTCTCTTTTCTTTGCAACCGCATAGCATCTGTTGTTTTTTGACTTTTACTTTTTAAAATTTTTATTTATCTAATTTTTTTTTTTTCCTGAGACACAGTCTCACTCTGTCAGACTGGAGTGACAGTGCTGCGATCTTGGCTCATTGCAACCTCCATCTCCCGGGTTCAAGAGATTCTCCTGCCTCAGATTCCCGAGTAGCTGGTATTACACGTGCATGCCACCATGCCCAGCTATTTTTTTTTTTTTTGAGCCAGAGTCTCCTTCTGTTTCCCAGTTTGGAGTGTAATGGCACAATCTCGGCTCACTGCAACCTCTGCCTCCGAGGTTCAAGCAATTCTCCTGCCTCAGCCTCCCAAATGCCACCACGTCTGCCTGATTTTTGTATTTTTAGTAGAGATGGGGTTTTACCATGTTGGCCAGGCTGGTCTCGAACTCCTGACCTCAGGTGATCCACTTGCCTCTGCCTCCCAAAGTGCTGGGATAACAGGCATGAGCCACCGTGCCTGGCCTAATTTTTGTATTTTTAGTAGAGATAGGGTTTCGGCATGTTAGCCGGGCTGGTCTCAAACACTTGACCTCAGGTGATCCACCTGCCTTTGCCTCCCAAAGTGTTGGGATTACAAGTATCTGCCACTGTGCCCAGCCTTGACTTTTTAATAATAGCCATTCTGGCTGGTGTGAGATGGTATCTGATTGTGATTTTGATTTGTATTTCTCTAATAATAAATGATATTGAGCTTTTTTTATATGCTTGTTGACTGCATGTATGTCTTCTTCATAAAAGTGTCTGTTCATGTCCTTTGCTCACTTTTTAATGGAGTTCTTTGTTTTCTCTTGTAAATTTGTTTGTCTTAGAGATGCTGGATATTAGACCTTTGTCAGATGCATAGTTTGCAAGCAAATATTTTTTCCCATTCTGTAGGATGTCTGCTGTGCAGAAGCTCTGAAGTTTAATTAGATCCCATTTGTCAATTTTTCTTTTTGTTGCAATTGCTTTTGGTGTCTTTGTCATGAAATCTTTGCCCATTTCTATGTACAGGATGGTATTGCCTAGGTTGTCTTCCAGGCAACCGGGGTTTTTAGAGTTTTGGGTTTTACATTTAAGTCTTTAATGTATCTTGAGTTGATTTTTGTATATGGTGTAAGGAAGGGGTCCAGTTTTGATCTTCTGCATATAGCTAGCCAGTTATCCCAGCACTATTTATTTAACAGGGAGTCTTTTCCCCATTGCTTGTTTTTGTCAGCTTCATAAAAATCAGATGGTTGTAGATGTGCAGCCTTATTTCTGAGCTCTTTATTCTGTTCCATCGGTTTATGTGTCTGTTTTTATATCAGCACCATGCTGTTTTGGTCACTGTTGCCCTGTGGTATAGTTTGAAGTCAGGTAACATAATCACCGCAGCTTTGTCCTGGATTGCCTTGACTATTTGTTCTCTTTTTGGTTCCATGTGAATTTTAAAACAGTTTTTTCTAGTTCTGTGAAGAATGCCACTGGTAGTTTATAGGAATAGCATTGGATCTATAAATTGCTTTGGGCATTACAGCCATTTCAATGATATTGATTCTTCCTATCCATTACCATGGGATGTTTTTTTATTTGTATCATTTCTGATTTTTTAAGCAGTGGTTTGTAGTTCTTGTAGATATTTTTCACCTCCCTGGTTAGCTGTATGCCTAGGTATTTTATTCTCCTTTTGGCAACTGTTAATGAGATTGCATTCCTGATTTGGCATTTAGCTTGGCTGTTGTTGGTATATATGAATGCTAGTGATTTTTGTACATTGATTTTGTATTATGAGACTTTGCTAAAGTTGTTTATCAGCTGAAGGAACTTTTGTGCTGAGATTAGGGGGCTTTCTAGATATAGAATTATGTCATCGGCAAACAGGGATAGTTTGAATTCCTCCTTCCCTATTTGGATGTCCTTCTCTTTCTCCTTCCTGATTGCTGTGGCCAGGACTTTCAATACTATGTTGAATAGGAGTGATGAAAGAGGACCTCCTTGTTTTGTGCCAGTTTTCAAGGGGAATAATTCCAGCCTTTGCCCATTCACTATGATGTTGGCTGTGAGTTAGTCATGGATGGCTCTCATTATTTTGAGATATGTTTATTCAATACCTAGTTTAGTGAGAGTTTTTACCATGAAGGGATGTTGAATTTTATTTAAAATCTTTTCTGCATCTATTGAGATAATCATGTGGTTTATGTCTTTAGTTCTGTTTATGTGATGAATCACATTTATTGATTTGCATATGTTGAACCAGTCTTGCATGCTGGGGTTGAAGCCTACTTCTTCATGGTAGATTAGCTTTCTGATGTGCTACTGGACTCGATTTGTAAGTATTTTGTTGATGATTTTTGCATTGATGTTCATTAAGGATATTGGCCTGAAGTATTTTTTTGTGTGTGAGTGTCTGCCATGTTTTGATATCAGGATGATGCTGGCCTTATAGAATGAGTTGAGGAGGAGTCCCTCCTCCTCAGTTTTTTGGAATAGTATCAATAAGAATGGTACCAGAATTCAGAATGCTCTTCTTCGTACATCTAGTAGAATTCAGCTGCAATTCCCTCTCATCCTGGGCTTTTTTTGTTTGGTGGGCTATTTATTACTGATTCAATTTTGGAGCTCATTATTGTTCTGTTCAGGGAATAAATTTCTTCCTGGTTCAGTCCTGGGAAGGTGTTTGTGTGCAGGAATTAATCTATTTCTTCTAGGTTTTCTAGTTTCTGTGCATAGAGGTGTTCATAGTAGTTTGTGATGGTTATTTTTATTTCTGCAGGATCAGTGGTAACATTCCCCTTGCCATTTCTAACTGTGCTTATGCGGATCTTCTCCTTTTTCATTAGTCTAGTTAGTGGCCTATCTTATTAGTTTTTAAAAAACAAATTCTTGGATTCATTCATCTTTTGAATTGTTTTTAGTGTATTGATTTCCTTCAGTTCAGCTCTAATTTCAGTGATTTCTTGTCTTCTGCTAGCTTTGGGGTTGACTTGCTCTTGCTTCTCTTACTCTTTCTGTTGTGATGTGAGGTTGTTAATCTGAGATGTTTCTAACTTTTTGATGTGGGCATTTAGTGTGATGAATTTCCCTCTTAACATGGCCTTAGCTGCATCCCACAGATTCTGGTATGTTGTATCTTTGTTCTCATTAGTTTCAAAGACCTTCTTGGTTTCTGCCTTAATTTTATTATTTACCCAAAAGTCATTCAGGATCAGGTTGTTCAATACCCATGTAACTGCATGGATTTGAACATTTTTGTCAGTCTTGACTTCTATTTTTATTATGCTTTGGTCTGAGAGTGTGTTTGGTATAATTTCAGTTCTTTTGCATTTGCTGGGGATTGTTTTATGTCCAATTATGTGGTTGATTTTAGAGTATGTGCTATGTGACAATGAGAGGAATGTATATTCTGTTGTTTTTGAGTAGAAAGTTCCGTAGAAGTCTATCAGGTCCATTTGGTCCAATGTTGAGCTCAGGTCCTGAATGTCTTTGTTAATTTTCTGCCTTGATGATCTGTCTAATACTGTCACCAAAGGTTGAAGTCTCCCGCTATTATTGTGAGGGATTCTAAGTCTCTTTGTAAGTCTCTAAGAACTTGCTTTATGAATCGGAGTGCTCCTGTGTTGGGTGCATATATATTTAGGATAGTTAAGTCTTCTTGTTGAAGTGAACCCTTTACCATTATGTAATACTCTTCTTTGTCTTTTTTGATCTTTTAAAGTCTGTTTTGTCTGAAGTTTAAAGTCTGTTTTGTCTGAAGTTAGGATTGCAACTCCTGCTTTTTCTCATTTCCATTTGCTTGGTAGATTTTCCTCCATCCCTTTATTTTGGGCCTACTGGTATCACTACTTGTGAGATGGGTCTCGTGAAGACAGCATACCATTGAGTCTGGCTTTTTTATCTATGTTGTCACTCTGTGCTTTTTAAGTGGGGCATTTAGCCTATTTACATTCAAGGTTAGTATTGATATGTGGGGATTCGATCCTGTCATTGTGTTGTTAACTGGTTATTTTGCTGGCTTGTTTGTGTGGTTGCTTTATATTGTCACTAGTTTGTGTATTTAAGTGTATTTTTTTATTGACCATTAGTAGTCTTCCTTTTCTAGATTTAGTGCTCCTTTCAAGACCCCTTGTAAGGCAGGTCTGGTGGTAATGAATTTCCTCAACATGTGCTTATCTAAAAGGGATCTTATTTTTCCTTTGCTTAGGAAGCTTAGTTTGGCTGGATACGAAATTCTTGGCTGAAGATATTTTTCTTTAAGAATGTTGAATAAAGGTCCTCAATCTCTTCTGGCTTGTAGGAATTCAACTGAGAGGTCCACTGTTAGCCTTATGGGGCTGTCTTTTGTAGGTGACCTGCCCTTTGTCTATAGCTGCTTTTAACATTCTTTCTTTCATTTTGACTTAGAAAATCTAATGATTATGTGTCTTGGCATTGATATTCTTGTGTAAAATCTCATAGGGGTTCTCTCTATTTCTTGAATTTGGCTGCTGGCCTCTAACCAAGGTTGGAGAAGTTTTCATGGATGATATCCTGAAATATGTTTTCCAAGTTGTTTGCTTTCTCCCTGTCCCTTTCAGGGATGCCAATGATTCATAGATTTGGCCTCTTTCCATAATCCCATGCTTCTCAGAAGCTTTGTTCATTCCTCTTTATTCTTTTTTCTTTATTTTTGTCTGACTGTCTTATTTTAGAGAGTCAGTCTTCAAATTCTGAGATCCTTTCCTCAGCTTGATCTATTCTGCTGTTAATACTTGTGAATGCATTGTGAAATTTTTGTAGTGTGTTTTTCAGCTCTGTCAGATCCATTAGGTTCTTTCTTATACTGGCTGCTTTGTCTTTCACAGCTTCTGTATCATTTTGTTGTCATTCTTAGTTTCCTTGGATTAGGTTATACCATTCTCCTGAATCTTGATAATCTTCATTCCTATCCGTATTCTTAATTCTATTCCTGAATTGAATAGAATTCAGAATTCAGAATGCTTAACCAGCCAGCTCATCCTGGTTAAGAACCCTTGATGGTGAACTGGTACAGTCATTTGGAGGACATAAATAGTCTTGCCATTTGAGTTACTGGAGTTCTTGTATTGGTTCTTTCTCGCCTCTGTATCTGGGTGTTCCTTTAACTGCAGTTAGATTTAGTAGTCAACAGACTTATTTTCTGGATGTTTTCACAGGGCCAAGTCTTTGTGCCAGGGTCATTATTCGTAGCTGACTTCTTGTGTTTGTTTCACAGGAGGTATTTTTGGTGTCAAAGCTTTGGGGTGTGGTCTAGTAGGTGGTACTTAGGCATACTGGTCAGTTGCTAGGCTCTTGCTTGGTCATGGGGCTCTCCTATATTTCCTAATAGTTGCAGCTGTGCTCTCTCTCAATGCTTGGAAAGTGTGGACTCCTCTCCCACTTCAGTGGTGGCTATAGATCACAACTTGGCATTCCTGGGGTGCCCACCACAGCTCTGGGGTGATGTCAGGGTTTATGTTCCTTCCCCAGCTTGGAGGCGGCTGAGAAAAAGGGACCTAGTAGTGGTGTGGTAAAAGGTCTCTTGCTTTTCTTCTGGGGA
This sequence comes from Homo sapiens, assembly GCF_000001405.40. Taxonomy (NCBI): domain Eukaryota; kingdom Metazoa; phylum Chordata; class Mammalia; order Primates; family Hominidae; genus Homo; species Homo sapiens. Next base: position 46,725,083 of record NC_000007.14, on the reverse strand, counting down.
CTTCACCCCAGAGAGATGCAAGTCAGTAATTGCTCAGTGCAATCAGTGCTGAGGGTTCTGTGCTGTGCTCAGTGCGATCAGCACTGAGCATGGAGGGTCTGTGCTGTGGGCCCAAGCCAGGGGTTCCCTGTCTGGTGATGAGCCAGATGTGGAGTGCCTGCGGGAGATGGACAGGCCTCCTCTTCTTGGGTTGACAGCAGCTTGTTTGAGGTATAGAGAAGGCATTTAGGGTCTTTGTTCCTTCTTTAGTCTGAGGGTGGGAAGGGCAGTTCCACTGCAGAGGCAGTGGCAGAGAGGCTTTCAGTTGTCCCTAAGGGCCCCACCTCCAGGAAATGTGAAGCCACTCTTAGTTGGGGTGTTCAGGCAGTGGGGTGGGATGGCTGCACTGCTGGAGTGAGTTGGGCTTCCACTTGTTGGGGTGCAGGGGGTCTAAGGCTCACAGGGAGGAGAAATTGGTCTCCTCTTCATATGGCAGTGATGGTGTGCTATAAGCAGCATGGCTATAGCCTTCAGGCTCTTTGTTTCTTCCCCAGACCAAGGGCAGGAGGGATAGAACTGTTACCGTGGCAGTGGCATAAGGGCTGTTGTATGCCTCTGGGAATCTCTCTGTGGGGAAACTCTAGTCCATTACCAGTGGGTATGGTTAGCCATGGGTGGGGTAACTGTCCTATGTTCATGAGGCTGGTGCCCTGCCTGGTGAAGAGTGGGGCTGAGGGTTCCCAGAGGAGAGGAGCTGGACTCCTCTCTGTATGGTGGCTGCAGTGTGCTGGAAGTGCCCTTTGTTCCTTCCTAGTCTAAGGGCTGTTAGGGCTCTACCACTGCAACCGTAGTGGTGGAGGGGTGGTAGGTTGACTCTGGGATTTCCTCCTCAGAGAAATGCTGGGCTGTCTCTGATTGTGGTGATCAGGTGGGGGCAAGGTGGTTGTGCTGGAGTCCCAGGTCAGGTGATCCTGCCAAGTGAGGAGCAGCAAGTACCAGGATCTGTGTGGAGAATAGTCTGGCCATTTTTCTGTGAAGTAGTTGCTCTCTGCTGTGGGTCTGGATGAGCTCCTGGTCCCCACAGACGCTCCCAAGCCTGGAGACAGCAAGGGCAAAGGCTGAAAGGCAGCAAAGATGGCAACCCATCCCTCCCACTGAGAGAGCTCTGTCTGGGGAGTTGCAGAGCTGCTCCTGGCTTGATAGCCCTGGTGGGGGTGGCTGGAGACCCAGGCCTGGAGGACTCATCCAGTGAGGAGATATGGAAATGGGCACCTACATAAAAGTCTGGACACCTTTTTGTAGGACGGCTGCGGTATGATGGGGGCCCACTTCAGTCCCTAGTCACCTCTGATTTTCCAATACGTGGAGGTATCAACGATGAAAGCTGCAATACAGAAAAGATGGCAGCCTGTCCCTCCCCCTAGAAGCTCCATCCCAGGGAGTTAGACACCTTTTGCTGGCCCAAATGCATTGTAGAAGGTGGCTGGAGACCAAGTCAGGAGGTGCTGGCCTGTGAGGAGGAACGGGTTGGGGAGCTGCTTAAAACAGCAATCTGGCCACATTTTCATAGAGGAGCTGTTCTGTGCTAGGAGTCTGCTCAGTCCCCGGTTGCCTCAGGCTCTTCAAAGCCCAAAGGCAAGAACAGCTGAGCCAAACAGCAAAAATGGTGACCCGCCCCTGCCTCTGGTAACTCCATCCCAGGAAGGTTCAAAACCACCGTTGGCCAGAAAACCCTGGCAGGGGTAACTGGAGACCTGAGTTGGGAAATCCCACCCAGTGACGAGGAACAGGATTGGGACCCTCTTAGAACAGCAGTCTGGACATCTTTAGAACAGCAGTCTGGACATCTTTTCTTAGAGCAGCTGTGCTGTGCTGGGGAGTCCCAGTCACCTTGGACTCTCTAAAGACTGAAAGCAAGAACGACTGAGTCAGCCAAACAGCAAAGATGGCAGCCCACTACACTCTGGGAGCCCCATCCCAGGGAGGTTTGAAACCTATGTTGGCCGGAAAACACTGGCGGGATGACGGGAGACCCCGTCAGAAGATTTCACCCAGTGAGGAGAAACAGAATTCAGGATCCATGTGAATAAACAATCTGGCCACTTCTCGGCAGAGCTGCTGTACTGTGCTGGGGGACTTCTCCAGTCCCTTGTTGCCTCGGACTTGCTAGAGCCCTAAGGCAACTGTGGCTGAAGCTGTAAAACAGCAAAGATGGTGGCCCACTCCTCCCTCTGGAAACTCTGTCTCAGGGAGGTGTAATGCTGCCACTGGAAGCTGGCTAGGGTTCCAAGCCAGTGGGTTTTATCCTGCGAGGTGCCATGGAAGTGGGGCCTGCAGCTTGTCGCTGCTATCCCGCTGGATTCAATCCCTTTCCCAGGGGTATGCACAGGGTTCTAACCTCTTTCTTTGCCGGAGTTGCAGCTGCTTTTGCAAGGAAGCCCAGGTTTCCAAGGCTCCACGTCTGTCTGAGTGACTGCTCTGCTGAGACTCCACTTAGCTCTGTATGTCAGACTGAAAGCCCTAGTAGAGTGGGTTCATGAGGGGATCTCCTGATCTGAGGGTTGCAAAGACCCATGGGAGAAGCATGAGTCCTCAGAGTCGCTCATTCACTCACTGTTTCCCTGAGTGGAAGAGGTTCCCTTGGCTCCATGTTGCTTCTGGGTGGACAGTCGTCCTGCCTTGCTGTTTCTCTGTTCTCCATGGGTCAAGTTGTTTCCTTGATTAGTTCTGATGCATGTACCTGGATGTTTCAGTTGAAGGTGCTGTATTTACTTGCCTCTTCTATTCCTCTTGGTGAGAGCCACACATATTAGCTGCTCCTAGTCAGCCATCTTGACCAGCACTGTGGGTGATAATCCTAATAGCTCGTTGGATTGTTGGGGACAGTGAGCAAATTAATTCATAGAGAACAATTAGACTGCAGCCTGGCACAGACTAAATTAAATATAGGTAAGCCCTTATTCTGATTATTATAGCTCTTTTTACAAAGATGAGTGATTGTAAATAATGCAGATGTCCAACAACGAGAAGTAAAGCTAGAAACCATGCAGTGGAATACTATCCAGCAAGATTCACACATTATTGCAGAACTGCATTTAGTGACACAAAGGGATGTTGTGTTATGATTTTGAATAAAAACATGATTTTAGTTAAGAAAAAATCAAGCTTGAGAGGTTATGAATCTGTTCTTGTATTGCTATAAAGAAACATCTAAAGCTGGGTAATTTATAAATAACAGAGGGTTAACTGCTTCACAGTTCTGCAGGCTTGTACAGGAAGCATGGTGCCAGCTTCTGCTTGGTTTCTGTTGAAGCCTCAGGGAGCTTACAATCATGGCAGAAGGCAAAAGGGGAGCTGGAGTCTCACATGGCAAGAATAGAAGCAAGAGAGAGAGGTGAGGGTGGAAGGTCCCACACACTTAAACAACCAGATCTCACAGGAACTCGCTCATCACCAAGAGGATAGCACTAAGCCATTCATGAGGAATCCACCGCGTGATGCAAACACCTCCCACCAGGCCCCATCTCCAACACTGGGGATTACAGGTCAACATGAGATTTGGCAGGGACACAGATCCAAAACATATCAGGTTATATATTGAAATATATGGTATTTGGGCTAACTCAGGATTGTAGGTTTTGTGGTGGTTTGTTTTCTTCATTGGTTTCTCCGTATTTTCTACATTTTACCTGCACAAGCATAAAGATGTGCTTTATTTTTCTAAGTAAAGATCTCATTTGATAAGATATATTTTCTTCTTGAATCCTTAGCATGGCCCTATGTTTAGTTACCATTGTTATTCTTATTTTTACACACTGAGATTGAGAGTGTGGGAACATGCCTGGTGGTAGCCAAGCTGGGATGCATTAGACCCCTGAGCAGTCCTTCTCCACACTGCCCCGATTATGTAAATCCAGGGATGTGTCCAACAAGATCTGGTTATACTTGGAAAATACACACCAGGAAATGTAAAAATATTGGTGACAGATGGCAGAAGCAACGCCTCTGACTCCAGTTATCAGAAGATATGGGCCTTGTGGGTTGGGTAAGCTCAGCATTACTAATTTCCAACTACTGGAATATTGAGCCTGGAATGACAAAAAAAATTCAGAATTATTCTTTCACATACCCATGTTATGAGTGCAAAGCACAGGCTCTCCAGTCCAATTTTCTGTATCAAGACTTTCTTATGATGGTTGAGCGGGTTTGACTAACTCTTACACAGTCCATTAATCTCCTGGATATCCAGTTTCTGAAATTAATTACCATTTCATTCCATAAATGTCTATGAATTCCCTAGTCTATGTCAGGCTTTGGTGGGCCAGACACTGTATGCATAAACAGTGTTTCATTCTCTAGTCCCAAGGTGTTTGCTGTTTAGAGAGGCCCTAGGCATGTAGTGAGTTTAAATAATTACAACAGGAGGAAGGAACATATGGCAGCAATGATGTCCGTGGTGCAATGACTGCAGAGAAGGGCATGGAAGGTAGCAGATAAGATAGGTTGCATGTTCCAGGGTGATGTTTTCTCTTCCTGATCAACGCACAAGAAGACCTAGCATTTTAGTGTTTCTATTATGCACATAGTGTTATTCTCAAACTCAGCACACTCACACCTAAACTCATGATCCTCCTCACCCTCCACCCAGGGCTCGCTCCTCCCTGGGTCTTCACAAACCCAGGCATCTTCCCCTCTTGGCTGACTCCTGGACCACTGCCCTGTCTCAGGCCTCTCCTCAGTACAGCTCATCATGTGCCCACTGGCCAGAGTGAGATTCCTCAACAGGTAGCCATGGCTTATTTTCAGATGTGTCTTGCCTTCTGGGGCCATAAGGATATCGGCGGCAAACCACCATGGCACATGTATACCTATGTAACAAACCTGCACGTTCTGCACATTTATCCCAGAACTTAAAGCAAAATAAAAATAAATAAATAAATAATAAAATAAAATGAGGTATTAAAGTTTCCAAAAAAAAAAAAAGAATATTTGTAGCTTTTAGCAAGTAGGCAAAGGTGTTCATTTGTAGATTCAAATCTACCTTTCCAGCTTAGGACAGAAACTCTACAAATACTTGGACTTTTGGGATACTATATCCTGTCCCTTGGTTCTCTTGGGTTGAATACCCCATGCTGATGGGTATGCTGCTTCTTGTGAAAGGCTCCCACTATCTCTTATTGGCAAATTCCCAGTTATCCTCTAAGAAACACTCCACAATATTGTGTTGTGTTGCTCTGTAATGTAAACCACCTATATTGTTACAAATTGTTTGTGTCTCCGTTTGTCAGCTATGGTCTTCCTAAGCACAAAAGCATCATCAATCTTTATGTCTTAAGTGGTTAGCATAGTTGTGTACATTTAAAAAGCACTTAAAAATTGTTTATTGGCTGGTAATTTTAAGTACATTCCAAGACTAAAGAAAAGTGTGATTTAACAATTGGCTGTGGGGAAACTGTTTGCCATTGAAGTAAAAAAAAAAAAAAAAAGGAGGAGGGAAGGGATATGATGTGGATCCTCACACAAAACTAAATGCCAGATGGATTAAAGACTTATACACACTACTATTTTTAAAGTACAAGAACAAAGAAAACCTTAACTGACTTAAAATGAAATTCCAGCACTTTGGGAGGCCGAGGTGGGTGGATCTCCTGAGGTCAGGAGTTCAAGACCAGCCTAGCCAACATGGTGAAACCCCATCTGCACTAAAAATACAAAAATTAGCTGGGCATGGTGGTGGGTGCCTATAATACCAGCCACTTTGGAGGCTGAGGAGAATTGCTTGAACCCAGGAGGCAGAGGTTGCAGTGAGCCAAGATCGTGCCATTGTACTCCAGCCTGGGCAACAAGTGCGAAACTCTGTCTCAAAAAAAAAAAAAAAAAAAAAAAAGCTAGGGAATCTATTTATACTATTATGGAAATATGTCAAAGATATATTGTTAAGGGGAAAAAGAAAACCGTATAATAGTAAGACCATATTTGCTCAAAAAAACCCTATAATATGTATAAACCTATGTTCACATTTGCATCACAAATTCCTAAGATTCATAAGAACCTTAATAGTGGTACAGCAGAGAGGTAGGCTTTTGCTATTGACCATATACTCCTTTATGCTAGTTGATTAGTTTATGATTTTTATATGTTTTACCTGAATAAGTTAATGCTAAGAGGAGAAACATACATTTCCTAGCACCTGGTGGAAAAAGCGTTTTTTATTTTATTTTTATTTTTATTTTTTTTGGAGACAGGGTTTTGCTCTGTCACCCAGGCTGGAGTGCAGTGGTGCAAACAAGGCTCACTGTAGCCCCAAACTCCTGTGCTCAACTGATCCTCCCACCTCAGTCTCCCAAGTAGCTGGAGACCACAGGTATATAGCAACACACCCAGCTCTTTTTTTTTATTTTTTTCCAGAGACAGGGTCTTGCCATGTTGCCCAGGGTGGTCTTGAACTCCTGGGCTTGAGAAAATCCCCCACCTCAGCCTCTCAAAGTTCTAGGATTACAGGCGTGAGCCAGCACAATCTGCTGGAACGGAAATCTTTCTGCACTTGGTTACTGTACTTGTCTGTTCTGTCCATTGTCTAGAATGCTAGAACTTCTCTATCCTGTTTTCTTGATTAGTTTCAAATCATAAAACACATCTATACAATTTGTCAAAATTTTTCTCAAAACTACTTGAAGTAATGTAAAAACAACTGTTTTATCTGAACAGTTTAGAGAAAAATTTTAGCATAACAGGAAGTAGTGATAAATCAATTCCAAAACGGTGAAAAAACATAAGACATATCTATTTCTGGTAAAATCAATCATTAAAGTCACATAGAGCTGGGCATTTTTAGTTTTGCTCCTGTAAATATGTTATACCTATGACTTTTATATTTATGTATTGGAAACACATTTTAAAGAGCTATTATTGGTGGTGATGCATAATGTCCCTCAAAAATATACAAACACAATACTTTCCTTTTAGAATTCAATGCTAGGAATAGTTTACTGGTCCTAGAATTGGCTTCATTTTTTGAAAATAAGACAATGAGAAGTATTTGAACAAAACTGTTTTCCTTTTTGTTTTGGCTGTGAAGGTACCTAAAAGTGGTCAATTTGATATACAGCTATCATAAGGATATTTCAAGGTGACTGATACATTTATATCCCTTCCTTTACCAAAGTTTTTTATTTTCTCTTTTAACCATACTGCATATGTATCTTAATGTAAGCCACCTCTGATATTTTTAGAATATCTGCAGGTTATTTATGTTAAATAAATACAGATAAGATCATGAAACCTAAAAGGGCTAATTAAATCTTTTATTTCTGGAGTCTGAGATTGCAAAAGGGAAAAGGGAGCTCAATTTTATTATTCCTTTTATATGAACATGAAACATTATAAGAATCACTCTTATTCTTATCTTAGTATGTCTGCTTCACATTCTGCTACATTCTGGCTAGAACCAAAAAGAAGAAAAAAGCAAGAATATTAAAAACATTGAAAAACAATTACACAAACATTTTCAGAAGATTACAGAAAGGTACAAGTTAAGGTTCAAGTAACTTATTCCCTTCCAGATGATTAATGTATTTTTCATTTGACATAAACCCTATTATATATTTCTCAATTCAAATGTATCCAGTTGCTCTGATTTTTACTGGATTTTTATCCAGTTGCTCTGATTTTAAAATTTATATAAATATTTATATATATGTATGTGTGTGCATATGTATATATGTATATGTATATATATACACACACATATAAATATATGTAATATGTAAAAACTTAGCCAATAACTTCATAAGAGATTTATCTCAATATAGTATCCTCAAGGATAGTATCCTAAAACTTCAGCCCAAAATAAAGTTCTGCACAGGGGCTTGGCTGTGTTTACATAAACACACACACATATGTTCCTTCACACTCACATGTACATACACAGTGGGATGGGAGAGAGGAAGCAAAGTCATGTGCTCAGTTTGTCATGTGATGGAACAGGAAGGAAGGGAAGGAAGGGAGCTCAAGCCAAGTGCCAAATGCTTATCTTCTAGTATTTGAAACTCTAACAGCAGAAATAGGGCATATATTTCCTCAGAGCAGAACTAAGATGAATGTGTGACAAGTGAGAGAAAAATCTGTAACTTAAATAAAATGTAAACATCGTAATCATCAACACTAACTCAAAACATGAATGTGATTGCCTGTCCAATTGCCATGTGGATCTTCATGCTGAGCACTGCAAGACCACCCCTAAGGAGCTCTGTAGAGAAGAAAGACAATCAATAGAAAGTACATGAATTGCACGGCCTGAAGTGTCCTCACATTCTGCAATCAATTAATTTAATTGCTAATACCAGGAACATCTCCATGGCCAACATCACACCTTGTCAACTCTCCCTGGACCCAGGTCATTGTTTAACATACGAGATATATGTTAAAGGAGATGTATGAATATCACATTTGACAAAAGATGAGACTGATGTTCATAATGGTGAAGGGATTTTCTCCAAAACAACCATTAATGGCAAAAATAATACTAATAGTTGGTCTTTATTGGTCACTACTCAGGTACTGTTCTATGAGCTTTACATATCCTAAGAAAATCCTTTCAGAGATGGAAAAACTGAGGCCCTACTAATAATCTTATAGATGCCATTATTATTCCCATTTTATAGATGAGCAGGCCAAAGCCCAGAAAATAGGTAGTAGAGCCTGATGAAAGGCCAGATAGGATAGCTTGATGGCTCACACTGTGTGCCAGAATCTCAGTCCAGGTCCCATAAAGCTTCATAGGTGACTCTTCCTTGCAGCCTCCTGGGTCTGTGGACAGGCTCTGAGGATTCCCTAATGTATCCATGTTCATGGCACATTCCCACTGACAACCTACTTTCAGTTGAGCTTCTCTAATCAATCAAGGGAAAAACAATAAAATCTATTTCAATCTTTTAAATTAGGGATTTAAATTTTTGTCCATGTCTAAATATTCGGATTATTATTTATCATTTGGTCCATGGAATGGGTAAACTTCTTTTGAAAGCCAATATTTAATAATTTATAAAAGCACAAAATATTAATTTCTAACAAACACTTTGAAACCTCTAAATTTAAAGAGAGAAAAAATGAAAGGCAGGACAGCATGAAAAGCAAGGAGGAAAGAAGAAAGGAAGGAAATAAGGAAGGAAGGGAGAAAGGAAAAGGGAAAGAAAAAAGGAAGAACAGATATTCAATGACTTGATTAGATAATCGCTTACATTTTCCAAGAGAAGTTAAATAATGATGACATAAGTACTTAACAAAGTTGAGATGACAGAGGTAAAGGGACCTTTACAGGATTGTGCAATTTAGTAGTTTTCAAGTTTTGGGTTATGAAATCTCCTTCTTTAAATAAGATATAATGAGATATCCCCAACCACTGGGACTGTGGCTGAAGGTTGACAGCAGGAACATGAAAACCCTCCTTCTTGCCCTTCTCTCCTCCCCAGGGTGGCTCCTACAGCTCCTCTGAATAAAATTTATTTGGAAGGCATCTTCCTTCAGAGGAATGGTATTCTGAAACCACTACCAACTAGGTATCAAGGCCAATTGGATGAAAGTACTTGCTTGATGCCACCTGCCCAGGTGTGAGTCGGGCTCCATCAGGGAATGCAACCTGCCCTGGGTGAAGAGAAAGTTTTGAAGATCCTCTGTGCCTTCAGCTATTCCTTTTCCATAGAGAGGAGTGGGCCGCTTGAGTTCCTTAGAAGCGCATTGGCTGGGATACCTGGGTATGCAACTAACCCAGAGGGAGATCAGGAAAGAGCATGGAGCTCTCCTGGTGTCTCCAGCCCTTGTTCTCTTTCAGCTGTGTCTCCTGGCCTTGAGGTTGAGGAAGAGGAGGGAGGTGGTTTAGGGTGAGCAGACTGGAGATGTTTTCCAGCTCTGCCCTCAGGAATCATGGAGAAAAGGGAGGGATAGAGGGACTTCCAGGCACTGCCTAAGAGAGCAGCCAGCCACTGGCAAGAACTCACTGCCTGTGAGAACTCTAGAGGTCCAGACTCATGTCTCACATTTCTAGCATCACTCATTTGTTTGCTCTTGTCCACAGGCTGAATATTTTACAGCAATAGAAACCTTATTCAGAAAAAAATCCTGGGCTTTATTCAGCTATAGTAAAAATAGAGAGGTGTTGAGGTCTGCATCACCCTGGAAAGCTAGAAACCTGGACAGCAGGTCAGCCATGAGATCAGAAAACGTCGGGAGGATGAGCAGCCTGGAATGGTGCCTGATGGATAGAGAAAAGCAAGCTGCAGGAAAGCCAGGTCTGCATAGGGAGGTGACTCTGGACAGCCATCTCTGGGTATTTACTAGCTTGAACATCTGAAAATCAGATTTTTTTTCAGCCATATCTCAAAATGAGATATCCTCACAGGGAGGCCTGCCAAATCATATATGTTTGATATTTTAAAAAGAAAAGGAGGAACTAAAATAGTATTTAAAATAACATTAATTTTATATAGACTTTTAAGCTTGGTTTCTAGGAAATCTACTTCAGTACTTACAGTAAATTTAATTTGATGGTACACCTGAGAGTATTTGCAGAAATTAAAATTAGAACCACATTGTTTGCTTATCATTTATCTAGTCACCTGTGACCTTTGCACTTTAGCGTTTTGAGCTTCCATGTGTCACAGTAAAAGCAAGTCCATGAGTAGTGAGGTACACACATACAGAAACACGGGCATGCATTGTGGTATATGTAACAAGGGGACTGAGCTTAGTACCATGCAACTGCTATCAGCAGCTGAAGACCAGAGCCCACAGCACTTTGGGGAGGCCACTTGGCCTCTGCCACTACTAATGGGGTCCGGGATGGGGTTAGAAGTCTGGCTTGTCAGTTCAGAGTTCCTAGTCCATATTTTGAGGATATAAAGATATCCTCTGGGTCAAGGAAACCAGTTGCAGGATTGACTTTGTCATGTTTGACCTTGGAGTCAGAGTCCCTGGGGCCCATGGGAAACAAATACAGAGCAAGATAAGTTTTCTAGACACTTGTGATTTAGCTGCTAAGAAATGGCTGCTGGCCAAAGCTCACTAACCTTTAGCCCTCAACTGGGTAGTTGCAGTTTATGGGAAAACAGCAAACCAGCCCCTGAGCACTGAGAGGCTAAAACAAGCTAGAGTTGATTCACCTGCATTAGCCAGTCTTTAACTTGGGATTAGGGCTACTGAGGGTTGAGTGACCCCGCTTTTTAAGAAGAAATTCCTTGGTCCTGTGTTTAGATACTTTGGTTTGCTCTTTTTCTCTCTCTGTCCTCAAAGCATTTTTAATCTTTGCTTAAAAGCGGTGCCAAATTAAACGGCATCTCCTGGCCCACTGTGGGTGGACAACTCTGCCCACCAGGACAAGAGTTTTCTGAGTCCTTTGTCCTCAGGTATGTCCTAAATAAATTGTTACCAATAATCAATAAAGAGTAAAGCTCAAATTACTAGTATTTCAATCTATTGAAACACATTCAAGACGAATGTCTTGATACCTGCTCACATTCTTTTTGAGGTGCTTAAGTGCCCCCCATCCATATTGCCAAAGAGCAGAATCTTCTGTCTCTGTCATTGTGTCCCAGACTGTCTTCTGTGTAATTCTGCATGCCATGTTCTCATATCCTCTGGAGTGGGGAGAAAGCATAATCCTGGAGCTACATCCTGGGATAACGCTGTTTAATTATATCACCTTCTTAGAGGCTCACATTGCACACTGTATATGGAACCCTGGTGGAATTTGTTTATCACATAATTTCCATGGGACATTTTTTTTCTTTTTTTTTAGTAGAACATCTTCTAATACCTTGTAGCAGCGTTCCACAGGGCACACAGTAGGAAACACCATTTTCTATGAGCTACAGAAGCATCTAGGATTACATCAGTCTTGCCCAGAAATGTAGAGTGGTAAGAAGAATAACTAACATTTTTGGAAATTTACTTTGTAATGGGTACCCCACTAGGAAATTTACATGTATTCAATATCCTATTTAAGTCTGACAATGAATTTGAGAAGAAAGTAGTATTATCCTCCTTCTACTTTTTTTGTGGCTCACGATAGCAATTTAGGTGATTTAAAATCAGACCTGTCTTACTACAAAGCCACCAAGGCAAACTGGATGAAATTGATGTGTAAACTGTACCCAGTTCTCAGAAGGCAAACACATCATCAAAGTTCAGCCCTCTCCTTCCTCCAGTTTATATTTGAAGAAACAGAGGCACCTGAAGTCATACATTTCTCTGATAAATCATTTGCCAAATTGTCCTCACATTAGCACATGAGACAGATGCACCAAGGTAAGAACCAGCCCTCATGCATGAGAGGGTCTGGCGCCTGGCTGAGGCACAATGTGCTCAATGAAGAAATAGCGGAACAATCGGCAATAGATCTGTAATCCTCTGTCCCTTCACACACACCCTGAGATGAAAAGGATCATGGAGTCTCAGATTCTGAAAAGAAGGCAGTAGCTATGTAGCCATCCATTTCATCTACCACTCTGAAGTGCAGTCTCTTACCACAACATCCTTTGGACAAGGTAGCGTTCATCTCAGTGGGCACCTCTACAACGGTGGGAAATGCAGTCTCCCACAGCAGGCAGATATGTGTTCCAGTGACCTGGCCACATGGGAGAAACCAGTGCAGACTTTAGAGGTGAAAGGCCAGCATTTGCAATCTGGCTGTACCACCATTTGCCTGTGTATTTTGAGGCAAGTTTCTTAGTATGCCTGAAACATATCAGAGGAATTTTTTCTTTGATGTTCAGCTGTAACTAAAAGAAAATTATCTTTGAAATATAAATTATGGCAAGCACTTCCATGGTTTGGGGAAGATTGAATGGTATACACAGACAATAGCTCTCAACAAATCTATAAGGAATGTTGTGGAAGTAAGTTCTAATTATTAAGATGCATGGGGGGTGAGATCCTCATTAATATCCCTTCAATGTTAAGATTATTTCATTTTTAGTCATGAATGGCAGATAGGTATAATTTCATGTGCTACCTGAGACAATTCTCTAGAAGTTTCTTACTCATATCTATACTCAGTGACAAAATTGTTACGATTAGTGGAAATATGTAAAAAGATGGGAGATTTTATATTAGGAAAGTTACAAAAAACAAGGTTAAATATCTTCTGAAGTTGGTTGTCCATTTTGAGACTCTGATTCTGTGAATCCAAGTATTGCCATTAAGAAAGTTTTAAAGCAGTATCCATGTCAGAAAAAAGGCAACCTATTTCTCCTTTGCTGAAATAGATTTGCACTTATTCTTTGGTTAACTGGTTGCTTTCCTTCCCTTAAAATTCAGTGTAACTATCATCTCCATAGTTATATAGTAAGGAAACAAGCAGGACATTCAATATACTTTGAAATAGTTTCATGTTTTCCTGTGCCAGGGGTAGTCTTTCTCAAAACAATTTGATGCTGCAGCAAAAATATTATAAAAATCTGTCAAAGGAATAGTCATCTATCCTTAAAAATATGTATCAACCAACTTGTATCCAGCGTTTTAATAGTGCCTGATGGTTGCATGTTTTAGTCTGTTAACATGAGTGATCAGTAAACAAAATAAAGTTCACAAAGTTTAATATTATTAAACTGCTCTCTAAACATTCTTCCTTACAACAAATTGCTAATCTGCCAAGCATTTATTGTACAATACACAGTGTTTAAAAAGGTCTGTCACAGTGTCATTTGAAAGAAATATCTGCCTAAAATATATTAGAGGGACTTTTTTTTTTGATGTTCAACTGTAACTAAAAGAATGCTGAATCACAAATGCTTAAGAAGGTTTTAGCACAATTATAGAAATTGTCAGGACCAAAACTTAATTTTTTTCCAAACGGACCTTTTAATTTAGAAACATGATGTTTCTTCCTGTTTCTGCTTTTGTTGCTCAATTATAAATCCACAGCCCTCATTATATTATCCAATTGCACAATGAGCTTCTTTCCTTGAGGCTTCATTTCCAAAGGCAACTGACACATCAGTGGAAATTATCTTCCTGTCTCTGAATGTCATCCATAAAGTGAGAGATTTGAACAAGAAGTCTCTGCCAGTTTCAACACTTCTCAAGGTCTTTCTCAGTGATACAAATTTATAAGCATTTTAGCTTGGAATGGGTGTATATATTCTCTGCCTCCCACATTCAAAGGCTTCTTAGGATACTAACTCCAGCTCAGATTTCTTCTCATTGTACTATTTGAGGAGCCTCCAAACTAGGCTTCCTGCTTTCAAGCTTGGACCCATACATCCATCCCATGCTGAGTAGCTGAAGAAATTTATGCAAATTGTAAATCTGACCATTCCTTCCTCTAATGAAAAAAGCCCCATGGCTGCCCTGGCCCATAGGATCAAGGCCATGCTCTGGGAACTGGTCCACAGATAGAGTCACCTTCCTTCACCATGTGGTTACCTTGCTTCTGTGTGGCCTCACTGTAAGGCCATTGCTTCTTCTGCTGGATTATAAGGATAAATACAAAGAATGGTCAAAGCATGAGAATGGGAGATATGATTTTTACCAATTACCACACATTACCATTACAAAAAAGTATATGTAATAAAACCTGAATAGTTATTGCATGGTTGCAAATGAGCAGGAGGTGGTGCAGTGGAACTTGAGAATGTAGATTAAAATACAGACTTCCCCACCTACTTGCTGTGTGATTTTTGACAAATTGCTTATCAACCCTCAGTGTGAGTTTCTATACCCATACAGTGGTGATAACACCAGCAGATATCTCCAAGGATTGGTGAAAGGTTTAGATATGGGCAGTGCCTGGTACAAATTGAACGCTCAACAAATGTGGGCTCTTACTATGCTGCCATTTTTCTTCTGTGATTATGATTTTAAAATGCAAGCTAAGGAAAGCCTTTGAGACTAAACATAGAAGTGTTGACAATTCAAGCAGACAACAGACAAGCCCAAAGCAGAAGAAATAGAAATTATGTTGTTCTTGGTGTTTAGTTGAAGTTACAGGAGAATGAGCTCTCAATAGAAAATACCCATATCAGCAGCTTTTATAGAAAATGCAGAGATATTCTGAAAATATTTCTGTTTCCTTTAATTCATGATTAAAACCTAAGACTTGATAAACTGTAGAAATGAGAAGGTGATTTTGGGGACTGAGGTAGGGTGGTCTGGGCAAACTAACATGCTGTTGCCCCTATAGCTTTCCACTGCTCTATATTGATCCATGGATAACATTTTGAGGTATGCAAAGGAGAGTAAGAAGCAATCAACATTCAATGTGTGACCTCCAACAAATGCAGGCTGCCTAACCCTGACCCACAAGAAAATTTTTTAGCATATTTTTTTTCTCTAAGAAGATAATATATCTAATCTATTGCTTATTGAAATTAAATCATTTGCCTGTAACAATACAATGTGTGTGTGTGTGTGTGTGAGAGAGAGAGAGAGAGAGAGTATGCATAAGTGTGTATGTAGCTGTGGCCAGAAATTATCCTGGCAGTCCTCAATCGGTCATTATAATTGCAGTTTAATGTCATCAGTTATATTATTTCACCTATATACATTTAATTCTGCTAACATGACATCATCAAAGTGCAGCTTAAGGAAGGAGAACAGTCATGTTAGACATAGTTGTCAGGTCAGATGCAGTTCTCATTGTCATGTCATGTTGGATGCAGTTCTCAACATCCAAAACTTAACACTAATATCTAAACAACATTTCTGTAGCCACACATCTATGGGATTCTGCTTCCCCAAGAAAACCCTTGGACAAACCCCTGTCTGGCAAATGTCCACTGAGATGAAGCAGCCTAATCATTCTAATCAAATGCCAAACCACCTGAACATCCCTTTCAGCAGAAGACAGGTGGGCTCAGTGACTACTGAAACATTGAGAATAATTAATGCAATAATTGAAAATAAATAATGCTTTACCAGCTATTTGGATATCCCTTAATCAGGTCAAGTTGACACCCCAAATCAACCATCATCCCTGTTTTACAATCTTTGTGGCCATATCAGTCAAATCTCTGCCTTCTTGTTCACATTGCTCCTCTTCTTCTTTGCATAATCTTTCTCTGCATATCTCTTATATGTAGAAAGAATTAATACATGGAATACATGTATACTATACACAAATTATACACAGAAGATTATGTCCCTCTTGTAAGGGCATTCATGATTGAATTTAGTACTCACTTGAAAAATACAGGATAACCCCCCACCTGAAGATCCTTAATTTAATTGCACCTGCAAAGACTCTTTTCCTTATAAAGTAATATCTACAGGTTCCAGGGATCACTACCTAATTTTGTTGGGTGGCCGTTTTTCAGCCTACAATTTATTTCCATCTTTTTACTTTCAAACTTGCATTCTTGCATCTATGGTCTGTCTCTCGAAAACAGCATAGAGTTGAATGTTCTCATTTTTTTCATTGAGTCTGAAAATCTCTGCCTATTCCCTGTGTTTGATTGTTCACATTCAATGTAAATGTTAACATGGTTAGATTTACATTTTCCATTTTACTATTTGTTTTCTGTGTCTATATTTGTTTCTGTTTCTCCTTTTTGAGGTTTCTTTTGTGTTATATAATTTTTAATGTACTATTTTAATCTTTTCTTTTTAAAACTATATTTCCATATGTTTAAATTATTTTCTTAGAGGTAACTCTGGCATAACAATATGAATCCTAACATCTTATAATTGACCTCCAATTAATACTAACCTAATTCTGATAGAATAAAGAAACTTTAATACAGTTCCAGTTTTTTATCTTCCATTGTGGTATTACTACATATATTTGTGATATTATGCAGAATATATCTGGCCTTTGTCCCTGGTTCCTGACACAGATCACCAAAAGCCCTTGGGGATTCCCAAGTCACAGAAGTGTCTTTGTTATGCTAATGAAGTGACTTAGCCCTGAAAAGCTTCAGGATGTGGCTGCACACCAGAAAAATCAACCACATCATTAGAGGACTGGAATTTTGAGCCACCCCAATTTCCATGGACAAGAATGAGACTGGAGTTTGAGTTGAATTATGTGACCAGTGATTTAAACAATCATGGCTACCTAGTGAAACCCCAGTAAAATATCTGGACACTGAGGCTTGGAGGAGCTTCCTGGTTGGTGAATACATTGATATGCTGGGAGGGTGATGCACCTGGACTCCATGAGGAGAGGGCAAACAAGTTCTGTACACTGTTCTCTGTCCCCCTAAGCCCTTGCCCAGTGAATTTCTCTTTTTGCTGTTTCTGAGTTGTGTTCTTTAAATAAAATAATAAGCATAATTATAGCACTTTCCTGAGTTTTGTGAGTCATTCTAACAAATTAGTGGACTTGAATTTTGTATCAAAAATTTGGAAAGTTTTTACCAGAAAAGATTTCTGTAGTTACCAAAATTTTAGAATTTGTTTGTCTTTGGTTAATATCCAGAATAATGCTGAAAGGTTTTATTTATTTATTTTTAAAATTTTTTCAAGTTGAGTTTTTGAGGCTAGAGAAATCATCAGTCTCATGTAGCCATAATCAGTAGTCCTCCTTTCTTTTTGAATTTTTTTTTTTTTACTTTTAAAATTGTCCTTTCCCCTCCACATTTTATTTCCACTAAGTCTTATGACATTATTCAAGGGTTTATTTGTTCTATTTTCTGTATTTTATGAAATTATTTTTTATGTTATTCCAAGTTTCTTTGTTTTTTTTGTATCTTTTTCAAAGATTTTAGTATAATTTCATAATCTCCAATCTTTCTAACCCTAACATATGCTTTTATCATCTTTCTTGTTTCTTAGGTAGGTTTTGTGTGCATATCATTTTAATATCCTTTCTTTTTTTGTATAAACGTTGTTATGCTATTTTTTATTTTATTTTATTTATTTTTTTGAGATAGAGTTTCGCTCTTGTTGCCCAGGCTGGAGTGCAATGACACGATCTTGGCTCACTGCAACCTCATCCTCCCTGGTTCAAGCAATTCTCCTACTTCAGCCTCCCGAGTAGCTGGGACTACAGGCACATGTCACTACGCCTGGCTAATTGTTGTATTTTTAGTAGAGACAGGGTTTCACCATGTTAGCCAGGCTGGTCTCAAACTCCTGACCTCAGGTGATCTGCCCAACTTGGCCTCCCAGTCTTTATTCTTTTTTCTTGTAGTTTTACGTGGGGTTTAAAAAAACTCCTTGCTATTATTCTTATTTAAGTCAGGTGTATTTTCCAGACCATTTGCTATTTATTAACAAGTCATCTTACTCCATTTCCAAGTCTTTGCACCTATTCTCCTGCTGCTTTAAACCCTTTCCTCTAAGACATCTTTGCTGCTTCCTCTTTTCATTAATTTCTCTTCTCCATATGTCACATTTAGAGAGGCCTTACCTAGTCAGTCTATGTAATTATCACTCCCTGCTTATTCTGTTTCCTTAAGTGTCTTTCCCTCATTGTATTTATCATCACCCATTGCAATGCAAATTAAATTTAATATATAAATATAAAAATAAATTATAAATTCTCTATGAGATCAGATATATTGTTTCATATACTTCTGTATCAACAACATTAAGAACAGTTACTTCCATAGTGTAGATTTTTAATGAAGACCTTTTACGTGAATGACTAAATGAAAGAAAACATAGTTTTTGCTTTTTCAGAGTTACTAGTCTGTATTTGTAACATACTAGTGATGTTCACACCATGCATACTGAAGTCTGTCCTAATGGTCACAGAAAATTAGCATAAGAGAATAGAGATTAAAATGATATTGGTCATCCCCCTGCAGGGTTGACTGGGGAAGAGGCGTGTGTCCAAGGACCTATGCTATTACCAAAGCTCAGGTTTTATAGTGCCCTTTTGTAAAGAAAGATGAGCCCTTTCACTTCACACCAGTGACTGATTTGGGCAATGTAACTGGTGGTCCCATTCTTACTGCCTCCTTAGATCTTCCAAACTAGAGGTCAGAGTTTAGCTTGAAGCTAGGGTTCATCTAGGATGCACTTTTCTTATCTTTGAACAGCAGATTTTACACACATTTTGGCAATGTGTAATGAGTGTATAAATTCGGTAATGTTAAGGGTAAAAGTGGAGGTTATTGATGTGTACCAATTGATTTAACTCAAAGCCTTATGCAATACTGCCTGGATAACACTGTTTTCTGCTCATTTTTATTCTTTTCACGTGTCTTGTTTCCAGTATCTGGATCCATTTTCGATGGGACGTGCAGGCAATGAGCTGAGAACCCACATCTGTAAGCTGCTTCTGTGAAGATTTTCTGTAAATGCCTGACATTCCAGTAGCTTTGGAGTGAAACCAGAAGTTTCCTAAAGTAAATCCAAATAAATTTAAGCAGAGTTCCAATGAACATTCATTTATAGTTATTATTACCATTAGTTTTGTTTTCTCCTATAACTTCTAAAGAAAATTTAAAATTAAATACCGTCATTTTACTCAAATTGGTTTCTTCTTATAAATTAGTTGGATTTCTTTAAACTCTCTCATTTGACCTAGCCACTGATTTACTGCTGGTCACAAGCTGTGCCTCAAAATCCCCTGGAACTGCCCCAAGTGCTTAATGAGCCCAAAATAAGTTATTCTTAAACTCATATTTAAACTCAAAATAAGTTATTCTTAAACTCATCCTCGGGGAACAGGTTTTCCATGAGGCACTGCTGTAATATATCGTATGTTATTTGGTAATAATTACAAAATTAAACATCATTTAATTTCATCATTAGGGCAGAAAATAATGCCAGACATCCATGGTTGTTGGCATCAGAGAAATGTTCCCAGGTTCCTAGAAAGCAAAAGTGAATGACGGCCATCACCGCAGCAGCCCTGGGAAGGCAGTATCTCCCATGGCAGAAAGACTGGCTTTAAACACACTCTGCATTATAATTTTACACACATAAACACATATTTTTCATCAATATTTTTTAGCCTTACCAATATATTCCAAGATTTATTTGCTTGCTAGCTGTTTTTGCATTCTGCTTTTTCACTTTAGGGCTAATTTCCATCTAACTGAAGTACATCATCTTGTAACTTCCTATCAACAATGTTACACTTGCTCAGTTCTTTTTTTTAAAAAAAAGAAAGTATTTATTTGTAGTTATCCTGGAACGATTATTTAGTTGTCACCAGCTGTTTTCTCTCAGCACTTTGAAACAAGTGTTTTGTCGTCTTCTGAAATTTATTTTTACTTAAAGAGAAATCTGCTGTCATCCTGATCATTATCTTTGGGGAGAAGGAGGAGATTATCTGCTTTTTCTCTGTATTGCTTTTTGAGTTATTGCTTTGGCTCTGATGTTCTGCAGTTTACACCAACATGCACCTTCATGCACAAATGTACACATATGTGCAGGCATACAGAAATAAGCACACACACATATACATATGCACATGCATGTATACATGTGCATATGTATACCTGCATGTATATACACTTTTATTTAGGTTTACGTTTGTTATTATTTATCCTGATCATGTCTTATTCCTTCTTTCAGACATTTTTTGATCATCTAACATGTGCCAGATTCTATTTGCTATACCATGTGTTTACTAATTTAAAAACACATATATTCGAATAGGCAAAATTCTCGGAAATTTTCTTTATTTTCTCTTCTCATTCTTTCTCTTGTCTCCTACTATTTCTCCTTTTACATGTACATAAAACTTCTTTTCTTTTTTAATCGTAATAACTATCATCTTTTAAACACCAACTATGCACTTTTCCAAGTGATATATTGTATGTTACACATTATAGTGGGTTTTTTTGTTTGTTTGTTTGTTTTGTTTTGTTTTGTTTTGTTTGAGACAGTCTTGCTCTGTTGCCCAGGCCAGAGTGCAGTGGTGCAATCTTGGCTCACTGCAATCTCCACCTCCCAGATTCAAGCAATTCTCCTGCCTCAGTCTCCTGAGTAGCTGGGATTACAGGTGCCCACCACCATGCCGGTTAATTTTTGTATTTTTAGTAGAGACGGAGTTTTTTCATGTTGGCTAGGCTGGTCTCGAACTCCTGACCTCAGGTGATCCACCTGCCTCGGCCTCCCAAAGTGCTGGGATTACAGGCATGAGCCACTGCGCCCTGCCTCATTATCGTGTTTTTAACAGCTTTAGCAATCTCATCAACCCTGTGAAGTAGTTTCTATCATCTCTATTTACAGCTGAGGAACCTGAAGCATAGAGAGGCTGAGTCACATACCAGAGTTCACACAGTCAGTAAGCAGTCATTACATGATTTGATCTAAGTAATCTTTGAAGAATGTCCACATTCTCAACATTACAGCCTTTTATATATAGCATTGATTTAAAAAAATCTTTTTCTTTAATTTGGATTATATTTATTTTGATTTCATACACACAGTTTTTCATCTGATTACTCTTGAATGTTCTATTCTTGGAGTTACGGCCCACATGTATGTTGCAGCCCCCAAGTCTTCTTTGCAATGTTCTGTTTCTTCATGCGTTTTTATCATTTTGGATTATGAATGCATGGTTGGAGGGGCAGTTTGTTTGCAAGAAGTCTTTGTGCCCGGGGTTGTTTAAAATGTTCTGTGGAGCAAATCTGCCTTTGCTGCTTCATGCCACTGGGCAATTTTCATATCCTTGGATGAGATTATTTGTTAATTCTTTGGCTTAATGGTTATTTTCCAGGGGAGTTTGTGTAAATTTGAATTCCTGTCCAGGTGGTGGCATAGACCTTGAATTTCTGCTTCTAATGTCTGATTCCTTATTTTTTTTACTTCCCAAGACTGTAAAGAAGTTCAGACTTCTTGTACTTTCTTTGTTCTGTGAGAGTAATTCTGTTCCGCTTTTCACTGAGGGAAAGCAGGTTAAGCCTGACTCAGGTATGTTTTTCCCACATCTGTAGCTCTTGGCAATGTTCTCTTCCCTGAAAGGAGTAGACCACATGCAGGCCTGTCTCAGGGAAGACCCTCTCTGTGAACTCCTGCATGAATGATGAATGCATGCTCACCTCCTGATTCTCATCCCTCTTTCTTTCTGTCTCTTATACCTGAGATTTTATTTTGACTTATTTTAGGCTCAGTTATAAATTGATGTCTGGCTCTAATTTGGGAAGCATTTCTGTGTGCCCTACTGAGAGAAGCCATTCCCCATTAGCTTAACTCACTCTATTGCTCCAAGTTCTCAAATATGTATACCTTGGTCATTTATTATTTTCAAATGTTGTGATTTTTTTTTCTATATTAAAGACATTTGGGCGGGTGTGGTGGCTCACACTGTAATCACAGCACTTTGGGAAGCCAAAGTGGGCAGATCACTTGAGGTCAGCAGTTTGAGAATAGCGTAGCCAATACAGCAAAACTCTGTCTATACTAAAAATACAAAAATTAGCAGGGCATGGTGGCCACACCTATAATCCCAGCTACTCAGGAGGCTGAGGCAGGAGAATTGCTTGAACCCAGGAGGTGGAAGTTGCAATGAGCCGAGATTGTGCCATTGCACTCCAGCCTGAGCAACAGAGCAAGACTCAGTCTAAAATAAATAAATAAATAAATAAAAATTAAAAAAAAAATTTATAAATAGTGGATATTAACATATTTTTCTGTTTTTTTCTCCTTTAAAAATGTGTGTTACATTTAAAAAATATTAATCATATTATTTGTAGAAGAGTTTTAGGTTTACAAAAAAAATGAGCAGAAAGCTTATAGAGTTCCTATAGCTCTCCCTCCTGCACACAAAATTTCTCTATTAATAACATTTTGCATTGGTGTTTTAGGGTTCCCCAGAGAAATAGCACCTATAAGATGTATATAAATATAGACAGAGATTTATGATAAGAAATTGGCAGCCGGGTACAGTGGCTTATGCCTGTAATCCCAGCACTTTGGGAGGCCAAGGTGAGTGGATCACCTAAGATCAGGAGTTCGAGACCAGCGTCGCCAACAAGGGGAAACTCCATCTCTACGAAAAAAAAAAAGTACAAAAATTAGCCAGGCATGGTAGCATGTGCCTGTAATCTCAGCTACTCGGGAGGCTGAGACAGGAGAATCACTTGAACCTGGGAAGCAGAGTTTACAGTGAGCTGATACCGTGCCACCGCACTCCAGCCTGAGTGACAGAGCAAGGCTCTGTCTCAAAAAAAGAAAAAAAAAAAAAGAAAGAAAGAAATTGGTTTAAATGATTATAATGGTTATGGAGGTAAGAAGTCCCAAGAAAGACACCTCACAATTTGGAGACAAAGAAAAGTGATGGTGTAATTCTAGTCTGAATCTGGCAGCCTGAACCGGGAAAGCCAACATGGTTCTAGTCCGAGTCCAAAGGCCCAAGAACCAGAGGAGGTGAGGGTATAAGTTGTAGTCCAAAAGCCTATGCCTCAAACCTAAAAGGAACCCATGTTTCAGTTTAAGTCAGGAAGAGACCAATGTCCTGGCTGAGGCAGCCAGGCAGGAGGAATCTCCTCTTGCTCAGTCTTTTTGTTCTATTCAGATCTTCAATTGATTGGATGAGGGTCACCCACAGAGGGGAGGGCAATGTGCTTTATTCAGTCTATCAACACATATGTTCTCATCTAGAGCACCTTCAGAGATACACCCGGAACAATGTTTGACCAAATAACTGACACCCAGTGTCTCAGTCAGGTTGACACAAAATTGACCACCACAACTACTATAGTACATTTGTTAACATTAATGAATCAATATCAATACATTGTTATTAACTTAAGTTTGTTATTAACTTAGGTTTATAATTTATATTAGGGTTTAGTCTTCCTATTGTGCAGTCCTAAAAGTTTTGGCAAAAGTATAATGACATGCACCTGCCATTGTAATATCATACATGATAATTTTACTGCCCTAAAATTCCCACTTTTTCAAAGTGGGTTGTAGTTGGAATTGTATAGTATGTAGACTTTTCAGACTAACTTGTTTCACCTAGTAATAGCCATTTAAGTTACTTCTTATTTTTTCATGACTTGATAGCTTATTTATTCTCATCACTGAATAATATTCAATTGTATGGATGTAACACAGATTATTCATTCACCTACTGAAGAACATCTTGGTTGCTTTCATGTTTTGGCAATTATGAATATCCATGTAAGGTTTCTCTGTGGACGCAGGTTCTTCACCTCATTTGGATAAATACCAAGGAGTGTAATTGCTGCATTGCCTGATAAGAATATGTTTGGTTTTTAAGAAGCGGTCAAACTGTTTTCTGAAGTGGCTGGACCATCCTTCATTTCCACCAGCAATGAATGAGAGTTCCTGTTGCTTTACAACCTTGCCAGTATTTGGTGTTTGCTGTTATTTGGGTTTTTGCCATTCTCATAGGTGTGTGATGGTTTCTCATTATAGTTTTGGTTTGCAATTCTACAACAATACATGATGTTTGACATCTTTTCATATGTTTAATTGCCATCAGCTTATCCTCTTTGGTTTCTGTTCATTTTTTTTCATTTTTTATTGAGTTGTTTGCTTCCTTACTGTTGAGTTTTAAGAACTTTTTATATATTTTGGATGCAAATTATTTATTAATAAGTGTTTTACAAATATTTTCTCTCAGTCTGTGGCTTGTCTTCTCATTCTATTGGCATTATCTTTCACGGAGTAGAGATTTTTAACTCTAATGAAGTCCATCTTGCCATTTTTTTTTTCCTTCATGGATTGAAGTGTTGTATCTAAAAAATTGTCACCAGATCCAAGGGCACCTGGATTTTTCCTACGTTATGTTCTACAAGTTCTATAATTTTGCATTTTACATTCAGATCTATGATATATTTTGAGTTAATTTTGAAAAGTTGCAGTCTGCATCTAAATTTACTTTTTTTTGCATATAGAGATCTAGTTTTTCCAGCACCATTTGTTCAATGTACTGAATCCTCTCTGCATTGAATTACCTTTACCTTTACCCTTTTGTAAAAGATTAGTTGAATGTATTTGTATAAGTCTATTCCTGAGCACTGTATTCTGTTCCATTGATCTATTTGTTTACTATTTCACCAATATCACACTGCCTCGATCATCGTTTATAGTTAGTCTTAAAGTTGAGAAGTGTCAGGCTTCCAATTTTGTACTTCTGCAGCATTTTGTTGGCAATTCTGGGTCTTTTGCCTTTTCATATAAGCTTTAGAATCACTTTGTTAATAGACACAAAACAACCTTTTAATTTTGGTTGAAATTACAATGAATCTATAGATCAAGTTGGCAAGAACTTATATCTTGACAAGATTAAGTTTTTCTGTCTCTCGAGATAGAATATCTCTCCTTTTATTTAGAGCTTTGATTTCTTTCATCAGAGTTTTGTAGTATCCTCGTATAGATATTATAGATAGTTCTTTAGATTAATACTCAGGGATTTCATTTATTTGTGCTAGTGTAAATTCTGTTGTATTTTAAAATTTTAAATATCAACTATCTTTGAAATGAATTGACTTTTGTATATTAATATAGTACCTGCAAACTTACTATAATTACTTAGTTCTAGATTGGTTTTTGATTTTTTTGAGATTTGTACATAAACAATTATGTCATCTGCAAACAAAGATGGTATTATTTTTTCTTTCCTGTTCTATATACCTTTGATTTATTTTTATTTTTTGTTTCACTAAGTAGGATTTCCAGTATCATGTTGACTAAGATCAATGAAAGGATACATCCTTGCTTTTAACCTGATCTTATGAGGAAAGCAACTGGTGTCTCACCATTAAGTATGATGTTAGTTGTAAGTTTTTATGAATGTTCTTTATGAAGTTGAGGCAATTTACCTCTATTTCTACCTTACTGAGTTTTTATCATGAATTAATATTGGATTTTGTCAAATGCTTTTTTTTGCATTATTTTTATAATGAATATATAATCTTTATTATTTAGTATGTTGATTTATTGATTAAACTGATTGATTACCTAATGTTCAAAGGGCTTTTCATACCTGGGATAGATTCCACTTTGTTATGGTGTATAAACTGTTGCATTCAATTTGCTAATATTTTGTTATCTATGTTCTGTCTATTTACAGGTTTTTATATTTACGTTCGTGAGAAATATTGGCCTATAGCTTTCCTTTTCTGTAATGTCTCTGCTTGATTTTGTTTTCAGACTAATGCAGTCTTCATAGAATTAATTACTAAGCAAATTACTCTCTTGTATTTTTTAAAAGAGATTGAATAATATTTGTATAATTTATTGGTGAGTATTTCACATGAGATTGAGAAAAGTCTGTACTATGCTGTTGTTGAATGAAGTGTTTTATAGATATCAATTAGGTTCAATTGATTGGTGGTGGTGTTCATTTCAACTCTGTCCTTACATATTTTCGGCTTGCTGGGTCTGTTAATTATAAATGGAGAGTCATCGAAGATTTAACTAAAACAGTAGAGTTGTCTATTTCTCCCTGTAGTTCTGTTTACACTTAAAGTATTTTGAGGCTATGTTGTTAGGTGCATACACATTGAGGATTGTTATGACTTATTGGCCACTATATTAGTTTGTTTTCACACTGCTATAAAAAAACTACCTGAGACTGGGTAATTTATTAAGAAAAGAGATTTAATTGACTCACAGTTCCACAGGCTTAACAGGAAGCATGACTGGGAGGCCTCAGGAAACTTACAATCATGGTGAAAGGTGAAGAGGAAACAAGCACATCTTACCATGGTGGAGCAGGAGAGAGAGAGAGAGTGAGAGGGGAAATGCCACACACTTTTAAACCATCAGATTTTATAATAACTCACTATCATGAGAACAGCATGGGGTACACTGCTCCCATGATCCAATCACCTCCCACCAGGTCCCCTCGACCCCCCACAAGTGGGGATTATAGTTCAAGATGAGATTTTTATGGGGACACAGAGTGAAACCATATCAACTACTTTATCATTATGTAATGTCCCTCTTCATTTCTGTTAATTTTCCTTTCTCTGAAGTCTGCTTTGTTTGAAACTTATATAGCTACTCATGATTTCTTTTGATTATTGTAATCATAGTATGTTTTTCCTTATGCCTTTACTTTTAACCCTTTTGTGTCTCTATATTCTTATGGACAACATATAGTTGGCTTTTGTTTTTCTATTCACTTTTAAAGTTTCTACCTTTTAGTTGGTATATTTAATTGATATATTAGACCATTCACATTTACTGTGATTAATGATATAGTTGGATTAATGTCTACATTACCTGTAACTGTTTTCTATTTGTTGCCCTTGTTCTTTGTTTGTATCTTATTTTTTTGGTCTTCTATTCTTTTCTGCCTTCTTTGGTTTTACCTGAGGGTTTCATATGATTCCATTATCGATTCTCTTTTACCATACCAATTATAACTTAATATATTATTTTATTTTGTTTGTTTTATATTTCATTTTACTTGTTGCCCTAGCATTTGCAATATACATTTGTAATTAATCTAACTCCACTCTTGAATAATGCTATAATTTGAGAGCATGCATTATCTACTGATAATTAATGCTGCATTATCTACTGATGTTTAGATAATGCAGATACCCTGTAACTGTATATTCCTAATTTTTTCTCCTGTTCCTTATAGTATTTCTATCACTCATTTTACTTATCTATGCTATAATTAGCTAGTACATTGTTGCTAATATTATTTTGAAAAAAACTATTTTCTCTTACACTAATTAAGAATAAGACAAAATATTTTAGTTTGTCTTGATTTTTTTTTTGTTTTTTTTTTGAGACAGGGTCTTAGTCTGTTGCCCAGGCTGGAGTGCAGTGGCACAATCTCGGCTCACTGTAACCTCTGCTTTCCCGGGCTCAAGTGATTCTCCAGCTTCAGCCTCCTGACTAGCTGGGACTATAGGCACAAGCCACCAATGCCAGGGTAATTTTTATATTTTTGTAAAGACAGGGTTTTGCCATATTGCCCAGGCTGGTCTTGAACTCCTGAGCTCAAACCAGTCTGCCTGCCTTGGCCTCCCAAAGTGCTGAGATTACAGGCATGAGTCACCACACCAGGCCCTTTCTTGATTTTTTTAAAAAAATGCTCTTTCTTTATTAATGTAGATACAAGTTTCTAACCTGCATCATTTTCCTCCTCTGAAGAAGGTATTTTAACATATCATGAAAGGCAGGCCTCCTGGTGACAAATT
The DNA here is from genome assembly GCF_000001405.40 of Homo sapiens. Classification (NCBI taxonomy): domain Eukaryota; kingdom Metazoa; phylum Chordata; class Mammalia; order Primates; family Hominidae; genus Homo; species Homo sapiens. The sequence continues at coordinate 46,697,076 of NC_000007.14, read as the reverse complement.
CTCTCAACTTTTATCTGAAAACATCTTTATTTCTTCATTTCTGAAGGATAATTTTACTGGATATGGAATTTCAAGTGGGTGTCTTTTCTTTCAATAGTGTAAATATTTTACCCCACTCCTCTTTCTGCTCACGTGATTTCCAGAAAGAATTCTAACATAATACATTTCCTTGTTCCTCTCTGGGTAAGGCATTTCCCTATCTGTGGCTTCTTTCAAAATTTTCTCTTTCTCTTTGATTTTTCTGCAGTTTGAATATGATATGCTTAGATGCTTTTTAAAAAAACAAACAAACAAAAGGCTCTATCCTGCTTGGTTTTCCTTGAGCTTCCTAGATGTGTAGTTTGGTATCTGTCATTAATTTTGGAAAATTCTCCATTACTTAAGCCATTATTAATTCTACTAATTTTTTCTGTTTCTTTTTCTCTTTCTTCTTTTGCTATTCACATTATGGATCTACTATACCTTCTGTAATTTTCCAACGGTTACTAGATAATCTGTTCTCTGTTTTCTTATTGTTTCTTTCTTTTTGTCTTTCTTTTGCTTATTAAGTTTGAGAAGTGTCTGTTGACATGTTTCAAGCTCACTGTTTTTTTCTCCAGTTGTGTCCAGTCTACTGATGATCCCATCAAAGGCTTTCTTCAGGTCTATATTACTTTTTTTTTCTTTTTTTCAATCTCTAGCCTTTCTTTTTTATTCTTTCTTACAGTTTCCATCTCTCTGCTTATTTTTTCCATCTGTTATTGCTTGTTGATTACTTTTCCAATAGCATCCTTAGCATATTTTAATCATAGTTAATTTACATTCCTGGACTGATAAGTTTTATAATCCTTGGTGTATCTGAGTCTGATTCTGATATTTTATGTCTTTAAGGTTTTTTGTTTTTATTTTTGGTTTTGTTTTATTTTTGTTTAGCTTGTTTTGCTTTTTAATTTATTTTTGCCTTTTTTATGCCTTGTAACTTTTTTTTTTGAGAGCCAGACCTAATGTGTCAGGTAAAAGGAACTGAAATAAATAGGCCTTTAGTGTGAAGTTTACATTTATCTGGCTCAATTGTAGGTGTGTATACTGTTTTCTCTTGCTCTAGGTGCCAGAAGCTAACATTTTCTCTAGTATTTTGGATTATCTTTTCCGTTGTCTTGGATCCTCCTCATATAGAGTTTGAATCTTGTGGTCATTTTATCTGTAATTCCCTGTTATTATACAGAAGGCTAACTGATGTGGAGGTGGCGAGGGGGGTGTCTCCTGTAATACCATCATTCAATCTTAGTCTCTTAGTGAGACTGTGCCTCTGGGCTGTGACCTTTAGAATTACTTCCTAGCTCCCTCCCGCCTCCATTTAGGTAGGAAAAGAAGGCTAGAAATGGCTAGATTTTAGTATTTTCCTTTCCTTTTCCCAAGTCAAAAGCTAGCAGGGGTTGAGTTGGATATTTTTATTTCCCCACATTGGTAAGGCAATAAGACCCAAGTCAGCTGGTCTTGAGTGAAATAGTTTGCCTGTGGGCTGGACTTTATTAAGGAAAAAAGAGTTCTTTAAGCATATTTCAAAATGGTTACTTTTCCTCCCCTCTGCTGGAAGCTTGAGGGAATTTTTCTGTAATAATTCTGAGAACCTGGTGGGGCTCCTGGAGGTAACACGCAAGAAAGAGTGTGGATCCCTCTAATATTCGATCCCTTGGTGTTTTTAACTTTCAAGCTAGTCCACTTTGGGTCACCAGTATTTGCTAATTGCAGTTCAAGTATTAGCTCAGCTGTGGGCCTCTGCTCCTGGGCCTCTGCCCCAGCAGGCTATGATTCTTGGTACCTGCCTCTCCAGTTTTCCAGGCAGCAGTGCCCTATGGCCTCTATTATCTGACGGATCTGAAAAACATTATTGATTTTCAGTTTGTTCAGCTTAGTTCTAGTTGTGTGGGTATGAGTGGTGGCTTCTAAGCTTCTCTCTATTTTAATAGACTAGAAACTGAAAGTTTATATATTACTTTTTAACTTTGATGTGTTAAAGTATAGAATTATTATCTTTTGTGATTTCTTCTATTTTTTAAATGTAAAGATCTTTTTCTATTGAAAATATTCAATATCTATAGAATATTTTTCCTTTTTAAAAATAAGATATTTATGCTTTTATTTTTCATATTTAAAGTCAGGTGGAAGATAAAGTATTAGGAGAGATAAAATAATTTGATTTTAATTACTAATTGGAAATGCAGTTTGGGAAGAAGCTATGTAAATTTTAAAAACATTTGTTACATTACTCTATGGAAATATGATTGAAGGGTTGATTCTTAGAATTTCATTAAAAACACAACAAAGTTTGAGAAGGTTGAAAGAGGCACAGTTTACTTCATTCACCTAAAAATTCTCTCCTATTATCATTCACCATTTCTGGTGCATCCCTTCCTATCCTACCTTAAGCTGCTTACTGGTGAGGATCTGTCTTTTACTTTTACTATCTGTTGTTAGTGTGGAAATTAATGGTCAGGAAAATAAGTATAAATTTCTAATGCTAAGTTAAGTTTTTGATATTGCTGCATTTCCACAAATTGTTGTTAAACATGTTAAATTTCTCTCTAAATATTTCCCTGCTTTTTAAAACTTGTATCAAATAGCTGAAATGTGAGGTCTCAATACAATGACACAGAACTTTTCTCAATGAGCTTGCTTGAGATATTTCGTTTAATTCATTTGTATTTTCTGTTGTTTTAATGACCAGTTAGTAAACACTAGAATGAAAGACCCCAAACCTTGCCCAGTGTGTTTGAGAAATTATTGAAATAACTGTTGCTTATTTGTGTTCAATTCAGTTATTTTGACCCTTCAAAGAGATCACGTGACCGCTGATCTTCCTCTTCACTAATCAATTTGAAATGAGGTAGAATAGAAAACACATTATTTTCTAAAAGTAATTCTGATTTGTTCATCGTAACAAATTTAAAAAGCATAGTAGAAAAAGATTAGAATCAAATGTGGTTCCTCCTGCTTTGTCCCACCTGCCCTGGACGTCTTTGTCCCCAAGCCACACACATACAAGAGGACACACAGGCATGAACTTAGGGGTTTTGGTAAGCTCTGTAGGAACTCTAGCCTAGTCTCCTCAGCTGTAATGTCATGTGCTGTGAGGAGTTGATGAGATGACTTAGGTGCAATTACAGAGTTGGCCCGCAATGTTCTTTGTCTCCTCTTTCTGTCTGAGTGCTATGCCTCTAGCCTTGTGCTCATCCATTATTTAGGGAACATCTTAAAAGTGTTTCTCTGCCCAGGGAGAAGACACGATTTCATCTGATGTCAGTAATGTCTGTAAGGTTTAATATAGCAAAGAAAATCTGCATTAAAGACTGCAAACTAAGGGCTTGCATTTTGGCAGTTATTAAGCCTAACGGAAAGAACATGACCTAGGGATTTGGTGGTCTAATTTCACCTTTTGGACTAGTCATTTTTCTGACTGTGTATACTTGAGCAAATTTCTTAAGATATTCAGTTTAATTTCCTTATATATAAATTCAATTAACTTTCCTCCCTATGTTCCCACTAGAATTACAGAAAACCATGCCTGCCTAGAATTGGTACAGTAACTAAGCTCATACTAAATACTGAAAATATTTGTCTTATTATTAAAATTGTTAAAAGAAGCAATTATAATAATTATCATATCTTTCTGATAATAAAGAAGAGAATGGAAATTACCTGTCAAACTTTTTTTCTGTAAAGAACTGGACTGACAATCTTATATTTTGTAAAATTCCCAAAGCTGTATAAGAAAGACAACTTAATCATAGAGAGTCAAGTTCAGCAGAAATATACTAAAATGTAAATTTTAAATCACTTTATCATGATGCATTAGAATAAATTCTTTTCTATTTAAAACAATCTTACTTGCTAGAACACTTTGACAAAGTCGTTTCTACTTCTGAACACGAAGCTGCTGTGGATAGGTCCAAAACAATACTTAGATTTTGAGTTTATAATAGAAATTTGGAGAGTCCAGTTTCTAGTCTTATCTAGACCCATGGCAAGCCATTTCAACTTTGATGAAAAAGATTTAACCTATTTACTTCATAGAAGGGCTTTAGAGAAACAAAAAGAGAAAGCATACTATAATTCTTATGTTTTCAGACTCTGTTGTTAGGTACAGAGCAGAATTTTGAAGATGCATTAATTCTTTCAAGTCATGAAGGCAGTGTACAAGAGCAAGTTACAAAATGGCGGCCTGAGACCAAAAGAACCAATGAATTATCTTACAGAGACTTGCTTGTTTTGCTTCCTCTTTTCACAGTAAGTTATCTCAATTGTCCTATTTTTAAGTTTACTGATTATTTCTTCTGTCTACTCAAATCTGCTGTTGAACCTTTCTGGTGAATTTTTCACTTTAGTTATTATACTTTTTAGTATCCGAATTTCTATTTTGTTTTTATACTATATCTTTATTGATATCCTTGACTTGTTTGTACATCATTCTCCTAGTTTTCTTCAGTTCTTTATTAATTGTTTTTTCTTGCTGTTTGCACATATTTCAGCTGGTTGATTTAAAGTGTCTAGTAAGTTTAATGCCTGAGTTTCCTTGGATACAGTTTCTGTAAGTTTATTTTCTTTTTTTTTCCTGTGAATGAGCCATAATTTATATATATATATATATATATATATATATATATATATATATTTTTTTTTTTTTTTTTTTTTTTTTTTTTTGAGATGGAGTCTTGCTCTGTTGCTCAGGCTGGAGTGCAGTGGCACAATCTTAACTCACTGCAACCTCTGCCTCCTGGGTTCAAGCGATTCTCCTGCCTCAGCCTCCTGAGTAGCTGGTACTACAGGTGTGTGCCACCACACCTGGCTAATTATTGTATTTATAGTAGAGGTGAGGTTTCACCATTTTGGCCAGGCTGGTCTTGAACTACTGACCTCAAGTGATCCACCTACCTCAGCCTCCCAAAGTGCTGGGATTATAGGCATAAGCCACCATGTCCAGCCTCCAATTTTTTTTATATGTCTTATAATTTTTGGTTGAAATTTGGCACTTTGAATGTAGTAATACTAGAAATTAGTCTTTCCTCCACTTCAGAATTTGCTATTGTGTATTGTTGAGGTTTGCAGTCATCTATTTGTTTAGTGACTTTTCCAAACTATTTTTGCAAAGAATATATTTCTTCTCGTATATTGCCACCACAGTTTCTATTCTATTATCTCATCAGTTAGCCAGTTACCTGACAGAGAGCTGATGAAATGCTTGGAGTCTAAAAGAAAAAAAAAGTCTCCCAATCTTTGAAGACAGGCTCTGACTGAGGTAGTCCTTTAGGTCGAGCCATGTGTGACTCTGCCTTAGCCTTCACTTTCTGTTTACATGAAGCCCAATATTAGACTTACAATACTACGGTACTCTTAGATTTTTTCTGAATGTATGTCCAGTCCTGAGCATAAATAGTATACTTCATATTTCCTGTTACATCTGGAAACCCTTCAGAATATATATTTCCCCAAAGAAGCTTCCTTCTCAGCCTCCTTCTTCCCAGGCTTGTGGTAATCTTTGTTGCTTGCCTCATCTATGGTCCCATGCCCCAGAGCTCTATAAGTAGCTACTGTATGTCTTAAATTCTTTAATCAGATGCTTCCTGGAAAGCCACTCCAGACTGAGGGGCGCTGCCATGAGCCTAGGGATTAGGGAAAGTTAGATAGGTAAACAAAATGGACATAACTATATATTAATGAGACTTTGAAGCCTCTTTCTTCACTAAACACTCCGTTGGTATTGTGAGATTTCCATGGGATCTGAGAATTTTGAAAAAGTTGATATGGTCAGTTTCTTGTCAGTTTAAAGATTGTTTCCAGGGAGAAATCAATTGATGGGGCTTCTTATTTCATCATTTCCATGAAGTTACCTCCTCATTCACTTTCAAGTACTAGTTTATTGATGGGAAATCTGATTCTGCAATTAATATAAATTATGAAATAACAGTAATTGTGATTTTTCAAACCCTATTAAAACACATTTTATATCTTTCTATCAAGTGGTACAAAATATGTAAAGTTATTATGCATTAATAAAAATTTTGAGCAGAACAGAGTATTAGAATCCTTATTATCTGAATGAGGTTATTTTCAAGATGAAAAAGCAGCTGAGAACTGGAAGGAAGGTAAAGCATCTTCTTTGAGCCAATACTGATATTAATACCCAGGCCACCTCCCTTGTGAGGTAATGTCCTCTGCCAACTAAAGCAGTAGCATGTAACATAGATCATGATAAACATTTGTGACAGCATTTTACCTTACTCAGTAAATGAAGGCAAGCCAAGGTAACTGGTGGCATGAAAGTAGAGGAAAATAATTAGTGGACCTCAGAAGCCCTGCAAATAATCCTGTACAGTGACAGTGACCAAAAGTGATCGCAACAGTTTTTAAAGGTTTATTAAGTTGTTCATCTTGATTTTTCCATATGTGGCATATTGTCACAGTAGGAGAAGACTCCTCTTGTGTTTACTCTTTGAAGCATGGGTACATGGCTTTTGTAATCATCTGTGGCAGCAATAAATCATAATTTTAAAGCAATAATTTTTAATTAATTCATTTATTTACTAAGAAATGGCTGTAGCATCATACAAAAGGAAACTGTTATGCAGAGGGCAAAATAAATCCCCCTTCTGCTGCTTAAATGTGGTATAATTAAAATTATTAACATCTTTTTTAAAAGAGATCTTATTTTTGTAAGCAACTGTTTCAGCCTACAGAGCTATCTCTATCACTCATGGAGTGATATCACTCACAGCTGTTAATTTTAAAAAAGTATGTGAGTGTGGGATGGAGATGTTTATATAGTTTTAATGATGCAAATATGAAGGCTTGTAATTAGTGATTTTGGCAAAATAATAAGAATGTGTGGAGCTGAAGATAGACTCTAGGCCTTCTGCTATACTTTTAAGTTTGATTTATTTGTTCATTTATTGAAGATTTGCTAAGCACTATGCTGGGAATTGCAAATCAAAGAATATGTAAGATGCCATCCCCATCCAAGGTAAGTCTACGAATCCAGTTAATAAAATTACAAAAGTCAAGATGATGTCTTTGAAGCAAAGGTGATGTGCTAAATTGCATGCCGTAGACTGGCCCTGCCGCGACCCTTTCTGTATGCCAAAAACAAGCTGGGAATTGCATTGCCCAATATCCCTTCTACCCGTAGTTCCACATTTGAGTGGACCAACGAGAGGCACTCCCCCAGGTGTGAAAAGAGCAGTCCTTATTCTCAGGAACAATCTGCAGGGCTGTGTGGCTGGCCAGCATGGCCCTGAGGGCCATGTGCCTGAGGCTGTAGCTTGAATGAGCTAGTAGGAACTCCCATTGGTTATGGGGATTCTCACAGTCCCCATCCCCAGAGAGCTCATGAGAACCAACTGCTTTGGTGCTTTCAGTCTGAAGCCCTCAGGTCAGCCACCCTAACTTTTGATGGGTACTCTTCTGGACTTCCCATTCCCAGATCTCCCAGTGCTTCTGAAACCTTAATCTTTTAGTCCTTCTGACTCAGCACTGATGATGCATTTCTGTTCATAGACAAGAAGACAGACATCATTAATTTTTAAAAAATTACTATTTGACCTTTCGGAGAGCCAGCCAAGGAATCATGGATGTATGATATTTGACCTAGATTTTGAAGACAGTTTCTACAAAGAGAAAAGTGAGCAATGGCCACGCAGGTGATGAAGACAGTCTTCGAGAAGATGGGGAAACATAGAAACATATGACCTGCTCAAAAGTACAAGAGATTTTGCGTGACTAAAAATGGTATGGGAGGGGCATCCCAGAGAAAGAAGATGCAAAGTTGAGCTGACAGCAGACCTTCAAGCACCTCAAATTCCAGGACAACCAGAAGTCTTTCCTTAAGCGAGAAGCAGAAATGCATTTTGGATATTTTGCAAGAGTTCATGTAAGCTATATTAGTTACCAGAATTAGCAAATAAAAATACAAGATACCCAGTTAAATTTGAATTTCAGCTAAAGATATATTTTTCTAGTGAAAGTGTGTTCCGTGCAATATTTATGACATAGTTATGTTAAACTTATTTGTTGTTCATTTGAAATTCAAATATTATTGGGCATCTTTGCAACCCTTAGCATAATCAGGGCCTTTCACTTGGATTTCCTAATACCAGGGGCTAACAGAATCTTTAAGAGCCAGCTGTCATTATATATCATGTTCATCAGTCATTTTGGGCCTTTCAACCTTTTCTCCATAGACCTAAAGTTAAGAAAAAAGACATATTTGCAGGTTTGTGTGGAAAGCACTCGCTAGAACTGAAGCTCCCTGCAATAACTTTTGAAGTAGCAGAAATGGACTTAGGGCTCATCTGCAGGCACATTGCATCTTTACCTAATCTTCAGACACTGCTTATGGCTTGGATTGCTTAGGCCGTAGATTGATCATTAATCTTTAGGACGGTCCGGTGTGGTGGCTCATACCTGTAGTCCCAGCTACTCTGGTGGCTGCCCAAGACCTTGGGAGCCCCCCACTGTTGCATCAGCATTCCTGGATATGAGACATGGAGTCAAAGGAGATTGTTTTGGAGCTTTAAGACTTAATGACTGCCCTGCTGGGTTTCGGACTTGCATGGAGCCTGTAGCCCCTTTGTTTTGGCCAGTTTCTCACATTTGGAATGGGAACATTTCCCCAATGCCTATACCCCCATTGTATCTTGGAAGTAATTAACTTGTTTTTTATTTTACAGAATCATAGGCAGAAAGGACTTTCCTTGTCTCAGATGAGACTTTGGACTTGGACTTTTCAGTTAACGCTGGAATGAGTTAAGACTCTGGGGGACTGTTGAGAAGGCATGACTGATTTTGAAATGTGAGAAGGGCATGAGATTTGTGAAGGGCAAGGAGTGGGATGATATGATTTGTCTCTGTGTCCCCATCCAAATCTCATGTCAAATTGTAATCCCCACATGTCAGGGGAGGGACCCGAAGGGAGGAGATTAGATCATGGGAGTGGATTTCCCCCATGCTGTTCTCATGATAGTGAGTGAGTTCTCACGAGATCTGATGGTTTAAAAGTGTGTGGCAGTTCCCCCCTTGCTTGCTCTCTCTCTTCTGCTCCACCATGGTAATATGTGCTTGCTTCTCCTTTGCCTTCCACCATGATTGTAAGTTTCCTGAGGCTTCCCAGCCATGCTTCCTGTTAAACCTGTGGAACCGTGAATCAATTAAAACTTTTTTATTCATAAATACCCAGTATCAGATAGTTCTTTATAGCAGCATGAAAACAGACTAATACAGATGATATAGGACTAAACTGTACATAACTAATGTATACAATTTGATGAGTTTGGACATGTGCATAGACCTGTGAAGCTATCACCAAAATCAAGGAAATAAGCCTATCCAATATCTCCAAAAAATTCCCCATGTCCTTATGATTGTTTGTGTGTGTGTGCATGTGTGTGTCCATGCATATATGTGTGTGTTTGTGTCTATGTGGTAAGAATGCTACATGAGATCTTCCCTCTTAGTAACATTTTAAAGTGCCCAATGTTAAATGTAGGCACTATGTTGTACAGAAGATCTCTAGAATGTATTCATCTTGCATAATTGAATATTTACACTCATTTAACTGATCCTCATTTCCCCATCTCTTCAGCCTGTGGCTTTTTTCACTTAGTATAATTCCCTCCAGGTTTGCCCACATTTTTACAGATAACAAGACGTTCTCTTTTTAAGGCTGAATACTATTGCATCATCTGTATATACCACATTTTCTTTTTCCATTCATTGGTCAATAAACATTCAGGTTGTTTCCACATTTTCCTACTGTGAATAAAGCTGCAATAAACATGGAAGTGCAGATATCTCTGCAAGATATTTATTTTAATTATTTTGGATATATACCCAACAGCAGAATTCTTGGATTATATAGTAGTTCTATTTTTTTTTTTTTTTTTGAGATGGAGTTTTGCTCTTGTCACCCAGGCTAGAGTGCAATGGCACAATCTCGGCTCACTGCAACCTCCGCCTCCTGGGTTCAAGCTATTCTCCTGCCTCAGCCTCCTGAGTAGCTGGGATTACAGGCACCTGCCACCACACCTGGCTAATTTTTGTATTTTTAGTAGAGATGGGGTTTCACCATGTTGGGCAGGCTGATCTCGAACTCCTGACTTAAGGTGATCCACTTGCCTTGGCCTCCCAAAGTGCTGGGATTACAGGCCTGAGCCACTGTGCCCTGCAGTAGTTCTATTTTTAATTTTTTGAGGAGCTTCCATATTGTTTTCCATAATGGCTGTACCATGTACAAGTTTTCTAATTTCTCCCTATCCTTGCCAACACTTACCTATTTTTTGATAACCATTTTAATAGGTGTGAGATAATGTTTCATTGTTCTTTTTTATCAAGATTGATTTGGCTATTTGTGGTCTTTTGTGGTTCCATATAAATTTTAGAATTGCTTTTTTCCTTTTTCTATAGAAAATGTTATTGGAATTTTGATGGGGATAGCAATAATTCTGTAGAACACTTTGGGCAGTAGAGACACTTGAACAATATTAAGCCTTTTGTATATATATATTTGAACATATATATATTTTATAAATGTTTTATTTTTTCAGTATACATCCTTCATCTTAGTTAAGTTTATCTCTAGATATTTTATTCTTTTTGGTGCTATTGCAAATGGGATCATTTTCTTAATTTCCTTTTTGGATAGTTGATGTTAGTGTATAAAAACTCAAATGATTTTTGTATGTTGATCTTATATCTTGCAACTTTACTCAATTTGTTCATAATTAACAGATTTTTAGTGCTGTCATTAGGGTTTCCTACATATAAGATCATGTCATCTCTCAACAGATAATTTTACTTTTTCTTTCCTGATTTGGATGCCTCTTATTTATTTTTCTTATGTAATTTCTCTGGCTAGAACTTCTAATACTATGTTGAATAGAAATAGCAAGAGTGGACATCCTCATCTTGTTCCTATCTTAAATAAAACATTTTTCTGTTTTTCAGCAGTAAAGATAATGTTAGCTGCAGGATTCTCATATATGGCCTTTATTATGTTGCAGTAAATTTCTTCTAGACCTAGTTCATTGAGTTTTTATCATGAAAGTGTGTTAAATTTTGTCAAGTGCATTTTCTGTATATATTGAGATGATTATGTGATTTGTATCCTTCATTCTGTTAATGTGGTATATCACATTAATTGATTTGCATATGTTGAACCATCCTTGCAGCCCAGGAACAAATCTTACTTGGTAATGGTGTATGATCTTTTCAATATGTTAAATTGGTGTGCTCATATTTTGTTGAAAATTTTTGCATCTGTGTTCATGACAGATATTAACCTGTGGTTTTCTTTTCTTGTAGTGTTAAATGATCATTTTTAAAACACAAATGCATTTAAAGGCATTATTTCCAAAAAGATTCACCTAAACTTCAAATGTGTCATTTTCCTTGCTTCTAAAAATGTTTCAAGAGGACTATATAGCTGGATATATTATAGTTCATTTTAAATTTTAAAATAGTAGAAGGATGAATAATACTATTCAATTATTTTAAAAATTGCTACTAAATTTCTACTGTGGTCAAGGCTCTGTGCTGGCTGCTCTAGCTATCAGGTTGTTCAAAGCAGATCAACTTTGCAACGTTGCCTGTAATAGCACAGTAAAAGGTCAGGGAATGGGTTATGATGGAAGATTGGACAGAAACATCAGCAGAAAATGCAATTTTATAAATATGGTTGGGAGTGGTAGTTCAGGCCATTCAGAAAATTCTAGGTTACACCTGGAGGCAAGAGACTGGCCCTTTCCTTTACAAACATTTTGCTTGAAGTGTGTGGGCAGAAAACTGCTGCCCCCTAAAGGCATCCACGCTTTGGGTAGAGATGAGGCTATATTAGTCCTCATACAAGTGGGCATGACCAAGTCCTAGGAGAAAGACTTTGTACAGCATTATCTTCTTAGATTAATCACACGGGTAGATCCTGATCCATCTCTAGCTCCATGACTGGCCCTGATTACAAGAAATTATCCTGTTTAAGTTAATGAAATAGTACCTTATGCAAGCCCAAGGGTTACAACATTTTCAATCTTTCTTTAACTTAATCAGGTTTTTCTCTCTTTAACGTAGCCTGGGAAATTATAACAAGCAACACGTTCCCCTAACATGCATAACTATGGCATGCTTCCATACAATGAAAAAAAGAAACTATTTTTAAATTTCAAAAAAAGCACAAAATCTATTTTAATTTTTTTGTTTGTTTTCTATAACAAGCTGAAAAAATCAACCACAACAGAATTATTTGATTGTGTCCCAGCCTGGCACACAGTATTTACAAATGCTTGTACCCCCATCCTTCCAATCTACCCTGCCAATTTTTTTAAATGGAGAAGAGAAAGAGGAAAGGAAATAAAATTGCCCCATTCTGTTTTAGTATTTAAATTACTGGCACAAAAACAAACTTTAGCAATTTTGAGAACACTGGAATAGTAAAGCTTTGGTGTGTTCATACCCAAATTCAAAGCCAAACAGATAAGTGATTTTCAGACAGAGGCTTTACTGAAAAATCTTGAAGTGATCAAGCATGTTGGAGCATTTTACTAAGGTCAAATGATTGACAATAGCAATTTTGAAGCTGATCTGTGTTTAGGAACATTTGCATTCCCCAAGGATATTTTTGAACACTGGGTATGTGATTACTGGGATGATGGAGTTCAGGTTGAACTTGAATATTTCAGTGAATATATGAAGTATGTTGTTGGGTCTATAAGACTTGATACTAACTAGATGTTTCTGAAGTGACTTTTTTTTCTCCCTCTCAAATGAAAACCAGGACACATGCTCTGAGAAAGTATTTTTGTGATAATTCTGGTTAAAAGAGGCAAGTGTAATTGAGATGCTAATATACTGGAAGTCCTTACATGATTTGATAACCTTTAGATGCAGAGGAAACACGTGTTAAAACTATTAAAGCTAAACCTCGGAAAAGCCAGGCAGAGTTCTTGGGAGATGATTCTCCAGGGTCATTCATATTTCTGCTCATCTTGTGAGCACCGATAGCTTTGATTCTAGACTGCCTTCTCACAGAGGGTTGTACAGGGGACAGCCTCTGAAGATAGACACAGAGTATCCCTCTGAAGCAAAGGGCTGGTTTGCTTACTGTCCAGGATGATAAGTATAATGTCTTCTCCCAGTATTGGCAGTAAGTTTGTTTCTAGCCTGTTTTTGAAAGCGGGGTTCCCCGAGCTTGGGACTCCTCAACTATGATGCAAACAAGCTTGTGTTTTGCATCACAGGAAATGTTGGCCTCCACTCCATGTGACTTGTGAAGGAATCAAGGGAACAACTGCATCCCACATCACAGGGAAGATATTCCAAGCCTGATCATAACATCCTGAAGTTTGTAGGCTGTTAGGATACTTGTTCCAGGAGCATCCAAGGGGAGTCAGTGCCTGTGACAAAGGCATGGTCTGACAGTGTTACGTCTTCAAAGTTCTGTGGGGGAGACATTTTGGAAATGAATTTTCCAGATCCAAGAAAATCCCAATACCAAAATATCACGCTGTTGAACCAAACTCCTTATCCTTTTCTTGGAGAGGTGAGCTTAGGCATACTTACCCACATCTGGTCCCTGGCATTTGTTGGGCTGAGTAGAAAGGCTGTGGCTAATGGGTAACCTAGGGTGGTGTGATGTGGTCAAAGAGCACTGGTCTGCAGTTTGGGGAAGCTATGACCATTTGCTACTCACTCTCAGATAAAGCACATAAGTTTTGAATTTGGGGGAATCCATTCAAATCACTGGGTTTTTGTTTCCATCTGAGAGTATCTGTGAGATCCATGGTTTTCAACACCATCTTTAGTGGCAGAATTATTTATTCAAGCTAAATTGTATGTTGCTATGTGACCACAACGGAAAAGATGAATACAACCCCTCAGGCATGTGTGGCCCCAGCTCTCCCTTATCCTGTCTCTGCTTGGCCCTGGCGTCTCCTCATGACACAGGCCTTGGGGAGACTGTCAGAGCACCAAAATGCAAGATCACTCAGAGCAAAGCTCAGAAGGACTCGACATCCTCAGAGGGAACTTCTTGCTCTGATAGTCTCTAATTTCTAGGTGTATGAATCTCATGAGAAAACGAAAACCACGGTCAGTCTGGCAGACATTTGTGGTCTTTAAACTAAGACAAAAGGCCAACACCCGTTAGGCTGCAAAACAGCAAGTTCAAACCATGAGTCATCTATGGGTCCAAGCTCTAATTTGGGCTCAGGCTAGTAGTATTTCTCACTTTTCCAAGTAGTACTATTTAAAGTGTTATTTTTCTGACTTTGCACGCTTCAGTAAGTTTCCTTCCTTGTACAGTAGAGCCCTTCCCCTAGCTAGACACGAGGGATAATTTCTTGAGAGGGAAAATAGTCATCACAGAATAAGAGGACAGATGGAACAGATTTTAAGCATTTATACTGAAGGGTCTTGATCCATGTAAAGTTTTGAAGAATATAAGATATAATTTTTTTTCCTCTTTCAAATAAATAAACATATTACAAGCTAAGGGAAGGAGAGAGAATAGCTGAGGCTACTACTCGTTGTAGCAGTGAGCTTGGCACCTATCTCTGTCTCACGGACTTGGTACCCATCTGTCCCCAGAGTTTGTGCTCTGTGCCCAAATTGCCCACCTTACAAGGAAATCTGGGTTCAATGGATGAATGCAATCACATGCCCTAGGAATGGTGTGTCTCCATGCTGTGCAAGAGGGAAGGTACTCCGAGAAGGTGCAGACTCTGCCCAGCAGGGGCATGGCAGAGCTGAGTAGGTAGGAGCAGCCCACACCTCCTCACTGGCCCTCACATTGCCATGGGGGCATGCCTGGCATTAGAGGCTTCATCTTCCCTAGAAGCTCACCGTCATTATCCTGGCTGGAGAACATCCTTCTCTGTCCTGCCTCTGCTCCTGTGCCGGCCCTTGCTTTGGTGCTTGCAGAGTTTGTCCTTCCGGAGTTAACAATTTCTCACTCACGAGTGACGGGGATGAAGCCAGGGAACTGGTCCAGGGCAGCGCTGGCCAGGAAGCATCTCCCGCATAGCTGTGCCGGCAGCTCCTGTAGCCCCACGCCCTCTGCTCCTGCATCCTGCTGTCCACACGCCCTCCAGTTCTCTACTCCAGAATCATCCCAGGAAGAATCAGTCCTACCTCTTTGGGGAAAATTCCATCTATGGAAAGAATAAAAGACTCTCTTTACTGTTCTATAATTTATTCAATAAATGCTCACTAGGAGATGGGGGAACAGGAGGAATCATCCCTGGCTGGAAAAGTCCACCTACAGGGGAGAGGTGTCAGTCACAGGGCTCTGCTGTATACTCACTCCTAGATATTTTTCTTTTTAAAATTAATATTTCTTTTGTTTGTATTATTTGTTTTTATTTGTGACACGTAAAGGACCAGAGGAGTTGAGTGTTCTCAGTTCCCTAATACTAAGTATGAGTGCTAGGAAGAGCTATCTGATCCCAGTTTTTTTTTTAAAATAATCTTTTCCTCTTTTTCTTTGTTACAGTGAAATATATACATATATCTATATTTTTTCCTTTTCTAATTTTTTTTTTTGAGATGGAGTCTCGCTCTGTAACCCAAGCTGAAGTGCAGTGGTGCGATCTCAGCTCACTGCAACCTCCACCTCCAGCTTCCAAGCGATTCTCATGCCTCAGCCTTCTGAGTAGCTGGGACTACAGGCATGTGCCACCACACCTGGCTAATTTTTTTGTATCTTAGTGGAGATTGGGCTTCACCATGTTGCCCAGGGTGGTCTCAAACTCCTGAGCTCAGGTGATCTGCCTGCCTCGGCCTCCCAAATTGCTAGGATTACCAGCAGGAGCCACCACACCCAGCCAACAACGAAATATATAAGGCATATAAAATAGAGTATGTAGCTTGTATGCATAGTTAAAAGACTAGTGACATGCCTTTATCCACTGATGGCATCTTTGAAACCCTCTGAGTGCCTCTCTCCTTAGAGTTAACTGCTGTCTTAGATTTTGTGTTAATTATTTTTGTTTTAAAAAATTTCTCATTTGCATGCATTTTTAAATAATGGATTGTTTCATTTTGTCTGTTTTCTACTGTTACATAAATAGTCTCATTGCATGTTTTGTTTGATGCCTGCTTCCACCCTTTAATATTCAGTGTTTTAGATTTACCTATGGTGATGCAAGTAGCAGTTCTTTATTTCATGGTTTCATTTATTTTTCAGTAACACACTATACAATTATATATGTGTGCATTAATGTATTATCTTCTCTACTGTCAATGGACGCTGGGGTGGTTCCCATTTTGCAAACACAGGCCATGCAGTTGGAGGCAGCCTACATGTGTCTCTGGGCACACACATGTGACACTTTCTCTAGGAGACATCTCCAGGGGTGGACTTGCACCACCTCCACCCCAGGCCTCCTTCTAAGTGATTCTAATTATTGGTGTGCGGTACATCCCATGTGCCCAGCAAAGACTCAGCCACACAACTGTTTTGATGGCTGGCACCACCAACTCCCAATACTGGGGTGCTTGATACAATCCTGCAGCTGCTGCTTCCCCCAAATCTCAGTCATCTTTCCTTTCACAAGTTATCTGACCCTCCCTTCCCTGCCCCACTTCCTTTGTCTCATCCCCGAACCAACCATCTCCAAATGGCACCTCTGGGTGGGTCCCGAAGGACTCTAGATTTAGTACCGCCTGAGAGCGCTGCCTGCTTCACCTGCTGCAGAAGAAAGACAAGGCTCTCGCCCACGTGGTGCTAATGCAGGCTCTGCAACACTGCCACCCAGAAAAGAATGACGCATCCACTTGTTTAGGTCAGCAGGTTTCATTTTTTTAAGTTTGCTAATGGTTTCAGTTTCAAAGTATCATTTCTAAACATTACTAACTAGAATCTACTTTTATAATATTTATTTTGCACATACTACTGTCTTTATAACATCAGGCTATATTTTTAAAAGTTATTTTAAAATTTATTTTCCTTGGCTTTATTGAGGTGTAACTGAGAAATAAAAATTGTATATAACATATGGTAATTTTTCAAGAAAATTCTCAGTTATCAGAATGTATGGTTTTATGCTGAGGAAGGTACAAACTAGGGCTTTTGTAGATGAGGGAGGGGGAAATAGAAATAAATATCTCTCCACAGCAAGTTAGACTTAAGGTATCTTTTGAATCATTAAATAAATCAAAGACAGACTCAGAGGAAACCACATGACTCTTGGAAAACAAACTCCATTTACCTATCCCCTCTGAGGTTGTTTGGGATTTTCCCAAGAAAGAGTTGACCACTTGTGAAATAGCTGAACTTTGAAGTTCAAGGGTGGATGGACTCCCAGTCCAAGGTGGCATGGCTCTTGGGGAGGAGAATTGGTATATAAAGAAGGAGAAGCCTTTCCATGGCAATTTCTCCTCTTTCTTCTTCTGTTGTGGGTTTTTGTAATTGTTATGTATTATAGAACAGTATGTGCTCAGGTCAATTGTGCTGCAAGAGACTTGTACAGGATCCCACATGACATGTAGAGCACATCACAGGAACCACGGGGAAACACGTGTCTGGAAGTCTTTTAAAAGGCCACAAAGGACACCTGGGGAGTAGGGACTGCCTGTCAGTAGAGGGAGGGGTGGGAGCCAGGAGAATTTTCCATAAAGATGAAGCAGCCCACTTAAGCTTTCTTTAGGCATAACACAAACAGGCTGGCTATTCACACTGTTGATCCCTTTGAGCTGATAGGAATGACATGTGATTTCAGTCCTATTCAGTTTTCTGACTTTTTCAAATACCACTGAGAAGGGACACTTTTTCAAATACCACTGAGAAGGGACAACCTTGTTCTTCTATGCATTTATGGATCTAAACCTTTCTCTGCAGGATAGAGTCTGCGTCCCTTCAAGGAAGATGTACAGGCTTCCAGGCTGGCCAATCTCAGGGTTATGTGGCACTGGGGATTGTCTTATTCATGGTCAGAGAGTGGGTGCAAGGGAAGGGGCAACATTGTTTAAGGGGTTTTCATAGCTGGACGTGCAATAAAATAAGTTTGCCTGCAATCTTTGCCATTTTGTGGGCTCTTAAAGACAAGTTTCCCCTGCACTTGAACACCAGTGTCCAGAAGCTTCCAGAAGGCACTCAGTAACCATACTTTTTGTTTTGTTTTGTTATTTTGTTTTTTCTACCTGTAAAAAAACCCATTAATTGCCATCTGATAAAATAACCTTTCTTTGGAGGACAAATTTGGAAGCATTGGGTAGTTAGTGCTGGAATGACCTTAGGGATATTCGTAACTTATTCAGTTTTAGTCCTTTCTAATCTTAACAGAAGAAACCAAGATGCCTTTCATTAATTCTTCCAACTAAATTAATGGAGTCACTGCATCTCGAACACCATTAGCAGAGCAGAGACAAGAGTTTTGGCTGGAAAAGTAAGTAAATATTTGACTTCTTTCTTTCAACTTGATCTGAGAAATTGGTTGGAATTGCCTATCTAATGGATTTTCTGGCAAACATTTTAGAATATCTGTGTTTAAGGCAGGCCAAATAAGAAGATAATTTGTTTTTCTTTCCCTGCAATTACTACTACAATGGACATATTTTCTGGACCAAATATCAGGCCATGTTGTCTTAAAAGGACCACTTGCTTACAGTGAAAATGAGGCCCAATAATTAAAGGGAATGGAGAAAGGGCATGATCTTGCAATAAAGAATACTGAAGGGGGAAGGGGGAAGACTTCTGAAAGTATAGTTTTTTCCTTGTCCTAATCAGTATCCACTGGGAGACCTAGGCCTGTCTCTCCCTGTTCCCAGGCCAAATTTCACACTTTGTGGAATGAGGGTGATTTCTGGGGCTCCCTTTAGAGGTGACATTCTGTAATTCTGATAGGAAGATTAATTTCTTATTTAAAATTTTTGTCCCAACACTATCTTTAAACAATTCAATTGCTGTTGAGGAAAACTTATAATTTAAAGAGGAAAACATAACTTTATTTGAATTTAATTTTGGTTAATTTAGAGTCAAGGCATATGATATGGGTTGGCTTTGTATCCCCACCCAAATCTCATCTTTAATTGTTGTCCCATAATTCTCGCATATTGTGGGTGGGACCCGGTGGGAGGTAATTTGAATCATGGGTATGGTTTCCCCCATACTGTTCTCGTGGTAGTGAATAAGTCTCATGAGATCTGATGGTTTTATCAGGGGTTCCTGCTTTTTTATCTTCTTCATTTTCTCTTGCCACCACCATGTAAGAAGTGCCTTTCACCTCCCACGATGATCCTGAGGTCTCCCCAGCCATGTGGAACTGTAAGTTCAACTAAACCTCTGTTTCTTCCCAATCTTGGTACGTCTTTATCAACAGCATGAAAACAGACTAATACAACATACCAAGTGTTATCAAGAGGCACATTAATAATGAAGGTGGTAAAACATCCCATTTAAGTCAATATTTTAGTTAAGCAAACAATGAGCACTTACTGTGTACCAGGGGTGACACAATACTCTAGAAAAACTAGGCAGGCACTAAACATAGCTCTTTAAAAATTTTCACTCATTTTCTATTCCATGAATCAAGTATGATATAGTCAGCTAAGAAATGTCTTTTCTCATTTTAAAAAAATTGTATATATTCAAAGTGATGATTTGATATACATTGTGTACTGATTACCTCAGTCTAATTAACACATCTACCACCACCCATTGTTAACACTGTATCTATGTGTGTGTGTAGGGGAGTGAGGACCTTAACACCTCCTCTATAATTAAACTTCAAATAAACAATGCAGTATTATTACCTATAGCCACCATGTTGTACATTAGATCACTAGAACTTATTCATCTTATAATTGAAAGTTTCAGCCCTTTGACCAACATCTCCCCATTCACTCCCCCATTCCAGCTCTTGTCAGCCATTGTTTTACTCTTTGCTTCTGAGATCAACTTTTTGTATTCCACATGTAAGTGAGAACACACAGTATTTGTCATTGTATGTGTATTCACATACAAGTGAAATAATTTCATTTAGTGTAATGTCCTCCAAGTTCATCCATATTGTGGCAAATAGGAGGATTTCCTTCTTTTCTTATGGTGGAATAATATTTCATTGTATATAAATACACTACAATTTCTTTATTCATTCACTCACTGATGGGCACTTAGATTGTTTCCGTATCTTGGTTATTGTGAATGATGCTGCAATGATGGGGGTGCATCTCTTTGAGATACTGATTTCATTTTTATTTTTACTGGGTATATACCTGGAAGTGAGATTGCTGGATCATATGGTAGTTCTATTTTTAATTTTTTGAGTGACTTCCATACACTTTTCCAAAGTGGCTGCAGCAATTTACACTCCCACCAAAAGTGTGCAGGGATTGCCCTTGCTCCACATACTCGCCAATACTTCTTATCTCTTGCCTTTTTATAATAGTCATTCTATCAGGTATGAGGTGATATTTCACTGTGGTTTCAATTTGCATTTGCCTGATGATTAGTGAGCTAAGAACTTTCTGATCAAGTTTTACTCCATTTCACTTCATTCAGAGAAAATAAAATGACTCCTCAGTGGGAAAAGTTTCTTCCCCATCAATGATGGGTGGATAGAGACAAGGGCCAGTCCAGTACTCTGGGATCTGAAACTTATTTTGTTTAAGGTCCCTCATGAAGAAAAAAATAAAATAAAATAATATATATAGTTAAATATGAAAATAGGTATTTCATTAGAATACGGGAACTAAAACCACAAATTTAAAAATTAAAAAAATGACAAATACCACAAATATCACAATGTCCAGAAAATAACAAAACATACTTCCTAACATAATTCTAGAATACCTTTTCATATATTTTTGCTTGCAGACTTGTTTATTCTCAGAGCAATTCATGTGCAATATAGAATTTTTGCTATGTTGAAAATCATTGTATAATTGAATTATTCTTGTGTTACATGTGTCAACTTTATCATGAAGATGTGCACAATCATTATCACTGATGTACCTGTGTCTTCAGCCTGTTTGACTACACTGGGGTAATTTCACACACCCTTTCACCTGGAATTCCCAGACATTCTCAGAACAAGATATTTTAGAACTGACCTGTTAGATGTATATGAGACATAAGTGTTCAGAGAGTGACATCCTGTGTAGTTCTGTGCCCTAAAAACACAGAATCCTGATAAAATTATATTTTGCATAAATTACCATCAAAATGAAAAAAGTAATCTTAATGCATTTTATAAACATGCAGGCTTCATCACTGGTCTATCCCTCTTAGGAGAGAGCTTCTTTGTACAGATGAGAACCAAATCCTCAGCTCAGCATTATCTGCTTGATGGTTGGAAGACTCTTTCAGATAAGCATCCGGCTCTGGATACTTCAAACAGTGTTTCCTTTACACTACTCACCTGCTTGCAGTGCTGACTGCTGGATTGTAATCATATTGTGATAGGAATGTTGTACTGTATCTTTGCATAACAATGCTAGGTGAGTTCGTACTTTGGAGGAAGAAGTATGCCTGGAAGCTATTCCACACTAGGTCACGTTGCAATAACTTCGTTATACATATGACAGTGTCTATGAGCCATATAAATATATCTTACTACACCTAAACTAAAAATGATTTAACTTCCCATTAACCAGATTCCAAAAATGCCTGCAAACTACTCCCATGCCATCTTACACGAGGGCAAACATGGAACCTTAACCAATTGTTATCAAAATAACTTACTTGTACAAATTTACAGGTCATACATGACCATATGAACACACTGCCAAGGCCTTGGAAGGGGTTCATACAAGTGCAAGAACCTGAAGCTTCAGCTTCACTAGTTTCACTGGAAATCCACCTCTGAGGGGATAACTCTACAACATTAAATTCAGATATTTGAAAACATAATTGATGGTTAATACGTTAACATTGAAATTTAACATAGCCCTTTAAATTGGGCTACTTTTGATAGAAAAGGAGAAAAAAAATAGACACCTCCTGAAATAGTAACAGCCCATAGGCTGGAATGATGGGATCTCCTCCCAAGAAGAAAATTCCAGTTTTTCAGAGGCAATAACAACCAGATCTGACCTCTTAGAATGACAGATTCATGGTTCTTGGAATTATAATGGGAAGGGTGATATACCCTTGATGGATGAACTTTGGGCTTGGGGTAATATAGTTTGCATATTAAACAACAAGTGCTTTTTTTGGTACCCCAGTAGGTGAGATGAAGTTGTTACTTTCTGTAATTTAAACATGTGGCATTATTTGTGAAAGATCATGAGTAGTAATGGATCGACTCAACAGTAGCCAACAATTAGCCAGAGCCTAATTGCAGGACTTTCACATAATTATTTAATCCTCACAACAATCCTATGAAGTGATGATCATCTCTATTTTATCAATTGCAAAAAAGAGACTAGAGAAATAGCTTCCTCAGAATTAATAAGTGGTACCTTCTCACTCAAACTTTAGTGCTCTTTCTTCTATGAAGCTGAACATTATTTCTTGCTTGTACACATGGAGCATGATTCAATCCTCAAAATAATTTTCTGTGATGATCTACTTTACAATTGAATCATTAATTGTTAGGAGAAGTGCATATAACTTTATATAATCACCTATTCACAATCAAAATACTTATGGAGACAAGTCAATTCAATTTGATGAAGAAAAAGCAATTCTTACAGATGGCTTAGAGTTTTCAGAATTGATTGGATACATATCAAAAGAGAGCTTGCTGTCCAGATGTGAGCCAAGTCTAATGTATCTTGAAGACTTGCTGTGTGCCAGGCATTCTGCTAAGCCTGACACACACTAAGCATATGAAACATTCAATGCGTGATTATTCCCATTTCACAGGTGAGGACGTTGTGGAACAGATGGATTATTATCTACCTGGGCTCACACAGCTAGGAGGTGATAAAGGAAAGAAGCAGCATGTAGCCATTGGACCCAACCCCTCAGCCACTGTAGAGCTTGAGAGAGCTGGATCTCTCCAAGTTATATCCAGCTTTTTAATTATCTGACAAAGGAGAACATGAAGGATGAATTCCATCATCACCAAAAAGTCATAGTGATATTAACACATGCCCTGATAACCTGAGAAAACTGCTGTGAAACCAGAGAACAGTTTGATAATGAGCCTGGGACATATACAAGAAAACCTGAGCTATAGAGTGAGTGTCTGCAAAGGCCGAGAGGGCTCCCACTATGTTCATTCTCCTGGAGGTTGCTTTTATCCAACTCACAGTTGCTTCTTTTGCTCTTTATGGAGGTGTTTGGAAATCTTGAAATTCTTAAGGTTGCTTTGACCTTCTTAGATGAAAACACTGGACAAAACAAAGAAATCTGGCAGCATGAATGTTGTTGTTGATATCAAACCTGTTTCATAATATTGACTTCCTAGAAAGAGCATTTCTCTGACCATAAATTTTACTTGGTTTGTGTGGATGGATTCCTGTATCATGGAAATTATGTTCTTGTTTCCCGTACACAGTGTATTCACAGAAAAGCCTACCAATGTCTGTGTAAATAAAGCTGCACTATTGTAATGGCTAAATGTACTATTTTTCTGAAATTTGCGGTGTCTGAATTTTGTATCAGTAATGGCATTTCCTGCCCAAGGTAAATTTCTGAGCTGGTTATAAACCTGATAGAACAAAAGTGTTAGTGAAGTCTTTACTTCTGTTTTTGTTGTTGTTAAAAACAAAAGTTGCCAGTAAGAGTAAAAAGTAAAAACATCATCAAGTTAAAGAGAGGCACCTGGAGAAACTGGCTAGCACAGAGCTAGCAATATAAATACAAAGGGCTGGATAGTAAATGTTGTAGGCTTTTTAGGCCATAAGGTTGCTATTGCAACCACTCAACTCTGCTCTTCTAGTACAGGAACAGCCATAGATGATCCATGAAGGAATGAACATGGCTGTGTTCCAATAAAACTTTATTTACCAAATTGGCTGCTGTTTAGTGCCCTTCCTTAACTAAATTCTCCACTCAGGAATTCCATGTTAGAGCTTGCTGTCTCACAGGCACAGCGCTCCCAATGTTCACTCCCTCCTAAGCCCATGCCAGATTTCTGAGAATAGTTCTCTAAATCCTTCATATTTTAAAAATTGAAACCAGAAATCCACATTTTGCCAGCAGAATGAAACTTCCTCGGCCCACCAGTGTGAAGGAATGCCTACATTAAACAGAGTTCCTCTTTCTGTAAGTTTCATTTTATTACTCAAGAAGAGGTTAAGGGTTTGTGTTCTGGGATAAAACACAGGTAAGAGCTGAAGAAGCCCTACAGAATTAATCCAGAATAAAGGTATTTAGCCTGAAATATGTTACATAGTTGTTTCTCTAAAAGACATTCTGCTCTTATACCCACATCTAAGTTGCTCCAAAATACATCTATCAGGGTTGAGCATGGTGGCTCACACCTGTAATACCAGCACTTTGGAAGGCTGAGGCAAGCTGATCACTTGAACCCAGGAGTTCAGGATCAGCCTGGCAACATGGTGAGACCCTGTGATTACAAAAGATTGTAAAAAATTAGCCAAGCTTGGAGGCATGCACCTAAAATTCCCAGCTACTCTGGAGGCTGAGGTGGGAGAATTGCTTGAGCCCAGGAGATCGAGGCTGCAGTGAGCTATGATTGTACCCCTGCACTCCAACCTGGGTGACAGAAAGACACCCTGTGTCAAGGTCTCTTGTTAAAACAAACTTATTAAAACAAAACAAAGCAAAATAAAACAAACAAAAAAACACAGAAAAACAACTATTTATTAAAATATGCTATTTTTAAAATGTGCCATTTTCTGACATTTTTGGCAAATAACTGGATTTCCTATCATAATGAAACTGCCTACAAATTAAATCGACATGCTAGTTAAAAAAATTACAACGAAAAAGGCAAATCAGGTGAAAAGGGCCTTAAAATCAATCACTATCTTTCTCATTTAAAACATAATATTTAAATTTGGTTGATATTTTAGGAAATACAGAAAAGCAGAAAGAACATAAAAATAATAACTTACCACACAGTGATTAATATTAAAATTTGTATTTATTCCCCTCCCAAGTTTTTTGACTGCCTAAATGCAATTTCATATTTTTCTTATTTTTACATATATTACATAAACCAGAAATTATCTGAGACAAATCTCAATTAATTTAGAAGTTTATTTTGCCAAGGTTAAAGACATGCCTGTGACACAGCCTCAGGAGGTCCTGAGAACATGTACTCAAGGTGGTTGGGTCATAGCTTGATTTCATATATTTTAGTGGGGTAAAAGTTATAGGATGACATCTATCATTATATGTAAGGTATACATAGGTTCAGTCTGGAAAGATGGGACATCTAGAAGAGGGTGAAAGACCTTCCAGGTCACAGGGGGATTCAAAGATTTCCTGACTGGCAATAGGTTAAAAGAGTTAAGTTTTGTCTAAGGAGTTGAAGTCAGCAGAAATATATGCTTGGGGTTAAGATAAGAGGGCTGTGGAATTTCAGGTTCTTGTTCTGCAAGTGAAGCCTCTAGGTAGTAGGCATCAGAGATAATAGATGGCAAATGTTGTCTCAAGAGATCTTAAAAGGTGCTAGACTTTCCTGAAAAGATCTAGTAAGGGAAGGAGATTCTCTACGGAATGTAAAATTCCCCCACAAGGCACAGCTTTGTAGGGCCATTTAAACATAGGTCAAAGAAATATATATTGGGATGAAATACTTCAATTTCTTTCAGGACTTGCTATCTGTCATGTGATCTTACACCCAAGTCAGGTTGCAATTTAGTATCTTACTGCTACAGTCTGTTTTTTCAGTCTGAGGGTCTCTGTTTTAATGCTAATGCTGGTCAGTTGTGCCTGAATTCCAAAGGGTGGAGGGTATAATGAGGAATGTCTAACCATCTCTTCCCATCATGGCTTGAATTAGTTTTTCCAGTTTACTTTGGAATGCCTTTGGCTAAGGGTGTTAGTCCATTTAGTTGGTTGCTGGGCTTAGAATTTTATTTTTGGTTTACAATTGATTAACACATTTATTATCTTTTATTATTGAGAGCCTAGAGACATTTTTTGGAGATACCTACTTGGCCTTCTTTTTGCATTTGCAGAGAAAGAAGTTTATTCAAAACTGAATAGTATATTTTCTTGTTTGTTTCCTTACAGTTTGTATATTTTTCTCTTTTTTTACGTAAATCTTTTTACCTACTGGGGGTCTGATGTTTCTCTTATCAACTTCTGTGAGCTCTAAAAATAATAAGGGCATCACACTTACGTAATATTTGCTGTATTTTAAAAAATCTATTTTGACTTTATTAGAGTTACTCCAAATAAATTTTAAAGCTATTTTGTCTTCATGTACTCAAAAGTTGACTTTTTTCAAGATCTGCTCATTGTATACCCGTAAAGCTTAAAGACGATGTCTGATATTATCCTCCAGCCCTAAGGAGCAACTGACATTTGCTCACAGGTGTCTTCCTGTCTCTTGACCCTGGCTCTTGCCCACATTGCCTTCCCTGGCCTTCCTCACCTGATTGCCTTCTCCGTGGTCTCCCAGTCTCAGCTCAGACATGACCTCCAGGTGAATTGTCCCTGTTGCTGCCAGACTGAGTCCAGCTCCCAGTCAGCCCTGTGATCATAAGGATAACAACCAACACTCTACAAAGTATTGTGTTGCCAGATGATTTTGCCAAATTGTAGGCTAATATAAGAGTTCTGAGCACCTTTAAAGCAGGCTGGGCTAAGCTATGATGCTCAGTGAGTTAGGTGTATTAAATGCATCTTTGACTTAAAAATATTTTCAACTTAAGATGGGTTTATTAAGATGTAACCTCATCATAAGTTAAACAGCATCTGTAAGTACGTATACCTTTTAATGTCTTGTAATTTCTTATTTTCATATAAGGCAGGAGAATTCTTGAACCCGGGAGGCGGAGACTGAAGTGAGCCGAGATCATGCCACTGCACTCTAGCCTGGGTGACAGAGCAAGACTCCATCTCGAAAAAAAAAGAAAATTCCTAATTTATTAAAAATTTTGGCTGGGTGTGGTGGCTCACACTTACAATCCTAGCACTTTGGGAAGCCGAGATGGGGGGATTGCTTGAGCTCAGGAGTTCCAGACCAGCCTGGGCAACATGGTGAGACCCCCATCTGTACAACAAATGCAAAAATTAGCTTGGCAAGGTGGCACATGCATGTTGTCCCAGCTACTTGGGAGGCTGAGGTGGGAGGATCACTTGAGCCTTAGAGGTTGAGGCTACAGTGAGCCATGATTGTGCCTCTGCACTCCAGCCTGGACTACAGAGTGAGACTCTACCCACCCCCCCAAAAAAAATCAAGAATTGTACACAATTTTTCTGCATTCCCTATGCACAGATTCACCAGTTGTTTACATTTGGCCTCGTGTACTGTATCTTTCACTCCCTGTCCCCGAACACATTCACATTTACTTATGTATATGTTGTTTTGTCTGAATTATCTGAAATCAGGCTACAGTCATCAAGCCACCTGGCTCCTGAAAACTTTCGTGAGAATTTCTTACAAACAAGGGCACTCTCTTAGAGAACCACAATACTGATCAAAATCAGGAAATTTAATATCCATGAAATACTGTTCTTTAATCTGCAGATCTTATTCAATTTCAACAGTTGTCACAATTATATTGTCTAGAGTTGTCTTTCCCAGTTCTGGTGTCTGATCAAGAATCACAGTTTCCATGTGTCTGGTCTCCTTCAGTCTGAAATGTATGGCAGCCTTTCTTTGTATTTCATGGCATGAAACATCTAGAGGCAGAGAGCCCATTTATTTTATAGAATGTATCTCAGTGTGGGTCTGTCTATTGTTTCTTCAAGATAGATTTCAGCTGTGCGTCTTTGTCAGGGCTGCCACAAAGGGAGGCTGTGTCCTCACTGCATCATTCCAGGTGAGTCCTGATGTCAGCTTGCTTTATGATTGGGGTGTTCCCTTCCATCACTTGATTGCGATGCAGGCTGAGACGTTTTTGCACTTTGAGTTTTTACCATTGTGATTGTCAAGTCATTTGTGATGAGATGCTTCGAGACTACAGAACTATCCTGTTCATCACCATTCCTTGCTGCCTGCTGCTTGCCTCACTCCTTAATATCATCATTGCAAAGGTGTGATTTTTATGCTCTATTTTTTTTTCTAAATTTATGAGTTGGTCTATTCTGTAAGGGAGAGCATTTTTGTCTTCCTTCTAGCTTTTGTATGCATGTGTGTATTTGAAGATATAAAATTTATGGGCAAGTTCTATAAAACTCCTCTCCTTGGGGTGCTGATGGCCTTGGTCCTTGGGCTAGACTCTGTGCTAATGGCTTTATAGACATCATCTCATTTCACACTCTCAGCAAGTGACATAACATTATGTTCTTCATTTTAAAGATGAGAAGATTGAGAGGTTAAGAAACTGTTTATCGTAGCAAGTTTTATAAGTAGCAGACCCAGGATTCAAGCTCAAAGGGTCTAAGTCCAGGAAACAAGCCCTCTAGTTTTATACCAGTTAGGATTCTGAGGGTTGTAAGTGATAGAAATCCATGTTGTACCAGCTTAGACAAAAAAAAAAAAAAAAAGAATTCATCAGAGTGATACTAAAGAATCTCATTACAGCCAGGAGAGTGTTGAAACATCCACATATGTGGAGGGAAATAGTGCTACAAAGTCTCAGGAATAGTGAGTGACCCAGGAACTCAACTAACACTAAGTCCCTTTCTTTCTCCCTTCTCTCTGTCTGTGGCATCATTCTCCTTCTCTGCAGCCCACATGAGGGCAAATTCTGGGTGACATGTCCCCCAGTGTCTCCAGTTCATCACCCCTCACAGCATGAACATCTGCAGTAGGCCTCACTTTTGATCTCAGTTTTGGATTTTAAAACTTTGGGTCAAACCCTAAAGCAATTATTTAGTAAATGGCCAACCTTTCTTGGTCATTCAACTGTGCTCAAGGTATCACGAAAAAATGAAAACAAAAACAAAAACAAACAAAA
Source organism: Homo sapiens (assembly GCF_000001405.40). Taxonomy (NCBI): domain Eukaryota; kingdom Metazoa; phylum Chordata; class Mammalia; order Primates; family Hominidae; genus Homo; species Homo sapiens. Next base: position 46,668,126 of record NC_000007.14, on the reverse strand, counting down.
CGAAACAAAAACCCTGCTGCTTCTCCAGGAAATAGGATTTGATGTCCAGAGAGGAAATTACCTAGAGTATAGAACAAAAGCTTGATTGGTGGGTGGGGGGCCTAGAGAGAAAACAGGAGATTCTCACTCTCTGCTTAGAAACAGCAAAGCCACATGCTGACTGTGCATGTGTGTGGTGTGTTTGTTAATTGGTTGATCATAAATTGGGGAATTCACATCCGTGTGTATTTATGACTTTATCTCTATATCTATATGGTTTTGTATGCCATCAGTGAGTAACAAAATGAAAACCCACTTTCACCACTTCTATTCGACATAATACTAGAAGTCCTAGCCAGAGCAATCAGATAAGAGAAAGAAATACAGGGCATCCAAATCAGTAAAGAGGAAGTCAAACTGTCGCTGTTCACTGATGATATGGTTATATACCCAGAAAACCCTAAAGACTCATCCAAAAAGCTCCTAGAACAGATAAATGAATTCAGTAAAGTTTCAGGATACAAAATCAATGTACATAAATTATAAGCACTGCTACACATCAACAGCAACCAAGCTGAGAATTAAATCAAGAACTCAACCTTTTTTGCAATAGCTGTCAAAAAAAAAAAAAAAAAAAAAAGAGGAATATACCTAACCAAGGATGTGAAAGATCTCTACAAGGAAAACTACAAAACACTGCTGAAAGAAATCACAGATGACACAAACAAATGGAAACACATCCCAAGATCCTGGATGGGTAGAATCAATATCGTTGATGTGACCATACTGCCAAAAGCAATCTACAAATTCAGTGCAATTCCCATCAACATACCACTATCATTCTTCACATAACTAAAAAAATCCTAAAATTCATATGAAACCACAAAAGAGCCCACATAGCCAAACAAAGACTAAGCAAAAAGAATAAATCTGGAGGCATCGCATGACCCAACTTCAAACAATACAATAAGGCTACAGTCACCAAAACAGCATGGTACTGGTATAAAAGTACGCACATAGACCAATGAGACAGAACAGAGAACCCAGAAATAAAGCCAAATATTTACAGCCAACTGATCTTCGATAAGGCAAACAAAAACATAAAATGGGGAAAGGACACCCTATTCAAAAATGGTGCCAAGATAATTGGCAAGCTACATGTAGAAGAATAAAACTGAATACTCATTTGTTACCTTATACAAAAATCAACTCAAGATGGATCAAAGACTTAAATCTAAGACTTGAAACCATAAAAATTCTAGAATATAACATTGGAAAATGTCTTCCAGACATTGGCTTAGTCAAAGACTTCACAACCAAGACCCCAAAAGCAAATACAACAAAAATAAAGATAAATAGATGGGACTTAATTAAAAAGCTTCTGCACAGCAAAAGAAATAGTTAGCAGAGTAAATAGACAACCCAAAAAATGGGAGAAAATCCTCTCAAACTATGCATCCAACAAATAACTAATATCCAGAATCTACAAGGAACTCAAATAAATCAGCAAGAGAAAAACAAACAATCCCAAAGACATGAATAGACAATTCTCCAAAGAAGATATACAAATGTCCAGAAAACAAATTTAAAAATGCTCACCATCACTAATGATTAGGGAAATGCAAATCAAAACCACAATGCGATACCATCTCACTCCTGCAAGAATGTCCAAAATAAAAAAAAATCAAAAAATAATAGATGTTGGCATTGATGTGGTGAACAGAGAACACTTTTACATTGTTGGTGAGAATGTAAACTAGTACAACCACTATGGAAAACAGCGTGAAGTTTTCTTAAAGAGCTAAAAGCAGATCTACTGTTTGATTCAGCAATCCCACTACTGGGTATCTACCCAGAGGAAAAGAAGCCATTATATATAAAAGATACTTGCACGCACATGTTTATAACAGCACAATTTGCACTTGCAAAAATATGCAACCAGCCCAAATGTCCATCAATCAATTAGTGAATAAAGAAAATATGGTATATATTCCATGGAATACTGCTCAGCTAAAAAAGGAATGAAATAATGGCATTTGCAGTAACCTGGGTGGAATTGGAGACCATTATTCTAAGTAAAGTAACTCAGGAACGGAAAACTAAGCACCGTATGTTCTCACTCATAAGTGGGAGCTAAGCTATGAGGATGCAAAGGCATAAGAATGATAAAATGGACTTTGGGGACTCAGGGGAAATGGTAGGAAGGCGGTGAGAGATAAAAGACTACACATTGGGTGTAGTGTACACTGCTTGAGTGATGGGTGCACCAAAATCTCAGAAATCACCACTAAAGAACTTATCCATGTAACCAAACACCATCTGCTTCCCCAAAACCTGTTGAAATAAAAAAAAATTAAAAATTGAAAACTGAATTGTAAAAAGAATTGTATTAAATGGTGCATATTATAGGGTGTTATTTTTATGCTTTCAGCTATTCATAGCCTTTAAAATTTTTGAGTTATAGAAAATAAACTAAATCAACCTAAAATGGCATCTGTTGTATGAAAATTCACGATATTTTCTTTTAAAAATTTTGACCACTAAATTTTTCATGAAAGTGTGTTTCTATTGCTAGTTTCATAAAATGTATTTTATATATATATATATATATATATATATATATATATATATATCATAATGAAAAACTGCACTGCAATTTGGATGCGCTTAGGTGTATTCTAAAAACTCTCAGATACCAACCAGACATTATTTTCAAACTAGAAAAGCTCACTTATTCTGCAGTGTTACCATGCTTTTTGAATCAACTCATGGGAAAACACTATCTAATGAAATCGTTTCTCTATATTTTTTAATCCAAAGGCATAAGTTAAAAATTTTTATGTATTTTATATATTTAAATTAAATTTCATGTATCTCATAAATTTTGAATTTTTAAATTCCCAAAAAACAGGTTAAGCATAACCTTAAAGAAAAATAGAAATTGTGATACAAAAGTTCAGTAATACTGGGACTGTATTAATATTAATTAACATATAAACAAGATAATGGCACAAAGGGAGGCAGGCAGAATCCTTGCAACACGATGTTTTGAACTCTTTTCTATGTGTCTCTCCTGATCTGGGAAGCTGGGGTACTCAACCTCCGTCCCTAAGGAAACACATGTCACAGATGACCTAGAAACACTAGAGCTTTCAGATCTGAGAGTGGAGACCCCAGGACCACTTTCTATCTGTGGCTCTGGGTGGAACACAGGCCTTGCAGAGCGCACTGCACCACTGAGCCCTGTATGCAGCAAGTTCATAAGGCTGCAGAGCAGAAACAGGTCATTTCCTAAGAGCCCAGAGTGGGGTTAGTGTTTCTGGTGCGCCCTCCCACCAGGTTGAACATGGGATTGAGGTTCAGTAGCAAACAAGACTGGCAGTCTGCATTAAAGATAGGATGAAAACTGGAACCTCTCTGAATATCCCATATGGAGGACAGTGCCAGTGGGCCAGAGGATGAGAGGCACAGGGATGATGGCTGAGGTCCAGCTGAGGCCTTAATTTGCATGTTCCCTGTACTGCACATCACAGTTTGAATGCCTGTGAGAGAGTGGGTGGAGCAAACCCAGAATTAATGAAGAAAGCCAAAGTTAACTGAGCAAACTGAGAAGTAACACACAGTTGGGTTTCTGCTGCCACTGAATAAAGTAAGATTTTAAAATACAAATCAAATCCCAGTCCAGAAAAATTAAAGCACATGATAGCCATAGCTCAGCAGGAGGCTTAGTGTTTCCTGTGCACCCCACCCCACCAGTTGTCCATGGGATTGCGTCTCAGTAGCAGAAAAGAGTGGCAGCCTGCATTAAAGATAGGATGGAAACATGAACTTGAAGATAGATGGAAACTGGGACCTGGGATGCTGGTCTAAGGTGGGGAGTGTCATTAGAAGGCTCTGTGTACAGGGCTACCTCCTCCAGGCCTTTGCTGTGGAGTAAGGTCTTTTGTCTGTGCAGGCTGGCAATTCTGGGTTGTGGACTTTTTTAGAGCCCAGGCTAGAATAGATAGGGGATATGACAAAATGAAAAAAAAGACAAAACAAATCAGGTGGCTCCTCAAGTCCTCAGGTCCCTGGCCCATCTTTTCAGAATCTTCTGACAGTTACCTGTTATTTTGTCCAGGGTTTATATTTGTACTTAGCAAGAAGAATTGAACTCTATGTTGTCCAGAACTGGAAGACTACTATTTTTTTTAAAGTTTTTATCTGATTATAAAGATACTGCATGCCCTTTAGAAAACATGCAAAACATGAAACAATAGGAGGAGAATTAAAACTACCCACAATTCTAGAAATGCTATACTCATCTTCATAAATATTCTAATATTTTCCCTATACATAATTTTAATTGAGATTTTCCTCTTACTCTAGACCTAGCATAAAGTGGGAGAATCATGGAGAGAAAGCTCAATGGCCCACATTATTACAAAGCAAGATCCTTGTACTGACACCTTTTGCCAAGAATTGACGAAATGGCCCTGACCCAGTCAGCCCTACTTGAGGGCCCCCAAGGACTCATGCCTGCCACAGAGTGGGCCTCCGTGGCTGTCTGAAACGGCCCGTAGGAAGGGAACACCAAGGCAGAGGGGAGAGAGGACTTGCGTTCCTCTTCCCTTACTCCCTCTGCTTTCCCAGTAATAAGCGGGCGAGGCCTCCAGGAAGCATGAGGAGTGCTTTGTCCTCCATCTCCACCTAAGCAAGGAGTGGGGAAGGGGAGTGGAAGGGCAGCCACCTCTCCCCTCTACATTCCTCAAGCCTAAACTTGGGGGTGAGAGAGGGGCAAGATTCAAATCAGGGATCAGCTGAATACATAAGCCCTATGAGACTCTGTGAGACTGGACTTGTAACAGCTGGCCAACTCACTGGGGCATCAGCACCAAATGCCTTAAAAGGGAAGGGAATAGTCATTTCACAGGCCTAACTTGAAAGGAAGTGAGAGGAGGAGAGGGTATTTGCTTCACGTTTGTACCCTTCTAGGTTCACTCTTAAAAAAGAATATATGTGTTTTCTATAGTGAAGAGTTGACAGACGAAACCTGCAAACACATGTGTCAAATTGCAGACCAGGGGTCAGTAGTCAGACCTCCACGGTGGTAGAGATATCAAAACTGTGATTATGAAAACCCAACGTTTTAAAGAATAATTAATAAATATACTTTATGACATATCAAATTCAACTATCTGTATGAAAGCTGCATGGATAATTACCTGAGTTTTAAATATATTATGTAGCTAGACCTACATCCATTCGATATCTATATATCTACATCAATATCTCTATATATCTTTCTATAATATATTTACACATGTACAAGTATATATGAATATAAAGTAAAACAAACTGGACCCACAGAAAGACTATTCAGACTTGGTGTTCGTCTACACAGAGTAGGTCCTCTGATCCCACTTGGCCCCTCTCACCGCCTTGGCTATTAGAAGAACCTTCCTCTCAGTTCACCCCTGGGAGGTGGGGCATTGCTGAGGGGCCAACATTCATGACAGGAAGTCACCAGAAGAAGCTCCAAGTGGGGCTTGCCTGACTCCAGTGGGAGCTTCTTTCACGCATTTTGCTGACAAGGGGACGAAGGCACTGCATGCAGCTTGTGAATCTGGCTGGTTCTCTCCCTGGCTCTCCACCTGTGATTCCTTTTCTACTGTAAGGCACATCTCCCAGGTGTGATGTTGCCCTGTCAGCCCAACCCTAACAAGCTCCTACTGTAGGGACGAAAGGTCTTCAGCCCTTACACGCTTTAAGCTGGGAAAGACAAGATCAGACCCGTGAACTCTTCAGATAGGCACTCTGCTGTGGCCCCAGTTCAGAATCCATGGGTAGGGGAGTGCAGGAGCAGGGAGTTCAGGTAGCAGGGTGTGGGGTGTGATGTTGAAAATGAGGAGACAGATTAGTGGGGTGGAGGAACAGTAGAAGTGATAAGACTTTATGATTTAGGTGGTGTGACTGGTGAGGACGTGGTCAAAGATGAGAAAAAAGTTAGTACATTCTATTTTGAATGAGTTGGCTTATGAAAATACAAATTATTATGCTCAAAGTAATCATACATACTCCTTATATAGTTAAAACTGCTTTTTACCCCACTACACTTGCAGACTAGTGTGTGGGGGTAGGGATGCACACAGCACATATGAAATAACAGGGTGGGGCTGGGTGCAGTGGCTCACACCTGTAATCCCAGCACTTTGGGAGGCCAAGGCAGGTGGATCACGAGGTCAAGAGTTCGAGGCCAGCCTGGCCAACATGGTGAAACCCTGTCTCTACTAAAAATACAAAAATTAGCTGGGTGTGGTGGCAGGTGCCTGTAATCCCAGCTACTCGGGAGACTGAGGCAGGAGAATCACTTGAACCCAGGAGGCGGAGGCTGCAGTGAGCCGAGATCATGCCACTGTACTCCAGCCTGGGCGAGAAGAGCAACATTCCATCTCAAAAAAAAAAAAAAAAAAGAAAGAAAGAAAGAACAGGGTGGACACACTGTTCCAAGTTTAGATTCCATTTAAATGCCCAGTGCTTTGCCTGTCTTTGCTTACACTGCAGTTTCATAGTAGTACAGAATAAAATGCTACTAATATTCATAAGAAGCTCTCCATGTTTCTTAAAGAGGCAAGTCATTACAAATTATGAAAGATCATTTGTAGTTGAATAAAAACCATCTTTACTGCTAACATGGGTTTAAAAATTAAGTTAAGAACTGTGTGTGATTTCATTTACCAGAGCAGGAGTCAATCAAGTGATTTTCCTGAGATAATGCCAAAAAATGAAGCTGCATAAATAAAACGTACCAATATGCAAATTACTCTTGGCACAGTTATGAGGCCTCTCTCCAAAGTAAGTCTTCATTTAAACTAAGCCTCAGTGTTAAAACATATGTGTGTATATACATGTTTTTAAATACACATCTATTCTAATTATCTTGACTTTTTCAAGAAAGGTAGATAAATGATCAATTCTGTCTCCTTTAAAACACTCTGCCTGCAACTCAAGATATTTTTCTTTCTCATTATTTCCCATCTTTCTAATCAGCCCCCCTCCCCTGGAAAGCTGAACTACCACCTGTTTTCATTGATGTGTCCCAAACCAAGAGAGTCTTTAGCACTTTGAAGACCTTAAGCAATGTGCATCACCACAAAATTTATACCCTGTAGAAGAAAAGTTAGAGAAGCAGCTTGAGAAACCTTAGTGAATCAGATAAAATGACCAAGGGAGGCCTTTTTCTGTCCCTCCAAGCCAGAATGGTGTTTGAATGCAGCTAATGGAATCTGGCAAGTAAAGCAAATCACAGTGCTTTTCTGTATGGCCCAGCCAGGATTAGCTCAGTGATGGCCATACAGCATCCCACCAAAGCCTTAGAAAGCCTCAAAATCCTATGAACTAGTTTGTTATTCCCATTTTATGGGTTACAGAGCTGTGGTTCAGTAAGAATAGCTGGACTAAAATCACAAGTTTGATGGTCTGCAGAGGAAGAAAATGACTCAAGGTTTCCAACTTCAAACCCCAAATTCCGTCATTTCTGTTAATGACTCAGAAATCAGCCCCCCAAGTGCTGATGCAGTCCATTTCACAGAACACAATTTAATGTTTTACTCCAATCATTCTGAAAAGACACAGCATTGTTGCTTTTCAGAAAAAAATCTTTCCTTGGTATGCAGAAACATCTTACTTTTTGTGATGGGTAATTTTATGTATCAGCTCGACTGGCCACAGGGTGCCCAGATTAAATATTATTTCTAGATGTATCTGTAAGGTTGTTTCTAGACAAGATTAGTATTTAAATAAGTAGACTCAATAGAGTAGATTTTATTCCTTCATGTAGTTGGGCATCATTCAATCCACTGAGGGCCTGCATAGAACAAAAGGCAGGAGGAAGTATATACATTTTTTATTTTCTGCCTCACTGCTGAGCTGGGACATCTCATCTCATTTCATTTTCTACGACCATTGGACTGGGGCTTACACTGCTGGTTCCCCTGGTTCTCAGACCTTCAGAATCAAACTGAACAACACTTCTGGCTTTCCTGAATTTCCAGCTTGCAGATGGCAGATGGTGGGACATCTCGGCCCCCATAATCACATGGCCCAATTCCCATATTACCTCTCTCTCGCTCCATGTATGTATACACATATGATACAGGGAATGAGTTGTCCTAGAGGAACAGAATTAGAAGAACAAAAATTTAAAGGTGAGTTTTCTAAATTGAGGCTGAGATTTCTGGAACTGGCCTTCTAATCTGATTAGATTTAATGATGTTAATGGCTCTATTTCCAGTAGTAAAGAGAGCACTGATAGCCCATGGTGTGAATTGTTTATAGAGATATACAAAATATCTGCATTGTATACTCCCAATTAACCACTTACAATAAGCAAGAAGTGAAGTGGCTGTGTATATGATATTTTTGAACATTTCCGGAAAACTAACAAATATGAAGGCATTGTTGGTTGCACCTAATGTTGCTGAACAAAGTGGTGAAAGAAAAAAGTTGAGTTTAGGGATTGAAATTCCATCTCAACTGTCATGTAAATAATGTAAGAACTTTCATATGTGCCTTAAAGGAGACCTTTATCTCCTGCAACGACAGGGCTCCTGCAATTGCTGAAAATCAAACGTGGAGCTCCATTCTGCCACTGGCTGAATTATAATGCAAATTGAACTCCCAGCCTTGTAGGGTGTCTACTATTAAAAGTGAGGGTATTGATTGGGAAGGAATGGGATTCTAAAAAACGTAAATGGGGATTTGTGGGAAGACCCTGATGAAGCTGGGGACATCGAGCCTGTAAGTTCAGATGAATTTTCTTTACCAGTGGAAGTGGTCTCCCCAACCCCAGTGGCAGAGACACCTCTACCTCCAGTGGTAGCAGCCTCCTCACCTGCAGTGGCATCTGCCTTTCAATCCCCATCTGAAGGGATTAACCCTGCATTGCCTGAGGAAAGTGTAATGACCTCCCTTGAGGCAGTTGCCATGAAAGACAATGCTGATTTTCCTCAGGACCTGCTCTCACCCTTCCTCTTTGCATCTAGGCATACAAGTAGACTCCTGCAGGTAAGGTACAAAGTGTGGCCCAGAAGGAGGTGTGTTACACTCTAAAAGAACTACTCAGGTTTTCTTATGGTTTCAAGTGGAAATTCTGGAAACATGTCTGGGAATAGATATATGGGATAACAATGGAAGGAACATAAAGTTGGGTTATGCTGAATTTATTGATATGAGCTCACTAAGCAGTGAGTCTGCACTTAATATGACAACTTGGGGAGTTAGAAAGGGCTCAAATAGTTTGTTTGGTTGGTTGGCTGAAACATGGATCAAAAGATGGCCTGCAGTAAGTGAATTGGAAATTGCAGACACCCCTTGGTTTAACATAGAGGAAGGGATTGAAAGGCTTAGGGAGACTGGAATGCTAAAGTGGATTTGTCATTTAAGACCTACTCATAAGCTCTGGGAGAGTCCAGAAGACACATCTTTCACCGTGACTGTGAGAAATAAGTTCATAAGGGGAGTCCTAGCACCCTAAAGAGCTTTGTAGTTGTTCTTCTCTGTAGGCCAGAACTTACAGTGGAAGCCATAGCCATACAACTTGAAAACTTAAATGCAGTGAGAATAATTGGAACCTGGGGAGCAGGGGCCAAGAGGTGAAGTACTGAAGAAAATGTGGGCATAGTTACTGTAATCAACAGAGAGTCAAAGCAGCAATCAGAACAGTCTGACTCATGTGGACCTGTGGTGTTGGCTAGTTAATCATGGAGTGCCTAGAAGAGAAATAGCTGGAAACCCTACTAAATTCTTGCTTCAGCTGTATAAAGTAAAAAGTTCTAGATCAAGTGAACAAAAGTCTAACTTTAATTAAACAGAGTCATGGTCCCTCAGTCAATTATCAGACTTAAGTCAGTTTACAAACCCAGAACCCCTTGGATGAAGGGGAGGTGATCACCTTGAGGAAAGACCCCAGCGCACTGTTGAAAATGTATACTGTTGACATTTCTCCTAGCTTTCCACAAAGAAACCTATGGCCTTTCATCAGGGTGACTGTGCATTAAGGAAAAGGAAATAATTAGACCTTTTTGAAACAAGTGGGCACTGGCTCTAAACTGACATTGATTCCAGGAGACCCAAAGTATCACTGTGGCCCTCCAGTTACAGTAGGGGCTTATGAAGGTCAGGAGATCAATGGAGTTTTAGTTCAGGTCCATCTCACAGTAGTTCCAGGGTCTCTGAACCCATTTTGTGGTTATTTCCCCTGTTCCAGATGCAAAATAGAAATAGATGTATTCAGAAGCTGGCAGAAACCCTACACTGGTTCCTCGACTTCTGGAGTGAGGGCTATTATGGTGGGAAAGGCCAAGTGGAAGCTGCTAGAATCACATCAACCTAAAAAAATAGTAAATCAAAAGCAATACTACATTCTTGGAGGGACTGGAAAGATTATTGCCACCATGAAAAAACATGAAAGATTCAGGGGTGGCAATTCTCACCACATCCTCATTTGTCTCTATTTGGCCTGTGCAAAAGACAGATGGATCTTAAAGAATGACAGTGGACCATTGTAAGATTAATCAAGTGGTACCTCTAATTGCAGCTGCTGGACTAGATGTGGCTTCATTGCTTGAGCAAATTAACAAATCTCTTGATACATGGTACCCAGCTATTAATCTGACAAATTCTTTTTTTCTTTATACTTGTCCAGAGGCTGATCAGAAGCAGCTTTGTTTTCAACTGGTAAGGCCAGCTATACACCTTAACAGTCCTACTTCAGCCTCATATTAACACTCTAGCTCTATGCCATAATTTAGTTTTCAGGGATCTTGATTGCCTTTCCTGTCTACAAGATATCATGCTGGTCCATTGCATTGATGACACTCATTGGATCTGGTGAGCAAAAAGTAGAAGCTGCTCTAGACCTCTTGATAAGATATTTGTGTGTCAGAAGGTGGGAAATAAACCCAACAAAAATTCAGGGGCCTTCTAACTCAATTAAATATTTAAGGGCCCAGTGGTGTGGGGATATCAAGATATCTCTTCTGAAGTGAAGGATAAATTGTTGCATCTTGCCTTTCCTCCAACTAAGAAGGTGGCACAGTGCCTAGTGGGCTTCTCTGGATTTAGGAGGTAATATATTTATCATTTTGGTGTATTTCACTGGCCCATTTACTGAATGACCTGAAAAGCTGCTGGTTTTGATTTGAGCCCAGAATAAGGGCTCTTCAAGAGGTCCAGGCTGCTGTGCAAGCTTCTCTGCCTCTTGGGCCATATGGTTCAGCAGATCCAGTGGTTCTTGAAGTGTCAATAGTGGGTGGCGATGCTGTTTGGAGCTTTTGCTAGGCTCCAATAGATGAATTAGAGCACAGGCCTTTAGGACTTTGGGGCAAGATCCTATCGTCATCTGCAGAAAACTGCTCTCCTTTTGAGAAATAGCTTTTTTTTCTGCAACTGACAGTTTAATTGTAAGCCACAAATTTACCAAGCAACTTGAGCTGCCCATCATGAACTGACTATTAGCTGACCCATGAAGCCATCAAGTTGGCTGCATGCAGCAACACTCCATCATCAAATGAAGGTGGCATATACTTGGGGTATATGAGCAGGCCCTGAAAGCACAAATAAGTTACATGAAGAAGTGGTTCAAATTTTCATGGTCTCCATTCTTGCTTCATTACCTTCTGTCTCTCAGCTACACCTGTGGGCTCCTGGGGAGTTCTCAACAATCAGTTGACAGAGGAAGACAAGACTCAGTCCTGGTTTAGAGATGATTCTGCATGATATGCAGGGCAGCTGCAGCACTGCAGCCACCCTCTGGGACATTCCTGAAGGACATTGGTGAAGGGAAATTTTCCCAGTGGGCAGAACTTTGGGCATCCATCTAATTGTCCATTTTGTTTGGAAGGAGAAGTGGCTAGACATACAATTATATACCAGTTGATGTCTAATGCTTTGGCCTAATGGTCAGAGACTTGGAAGGAGCACGATTGGAAAATGTCACAGAGAAGTTTGAGGACAGTTTTTCCCTGAATGGAGAAAAAGTGGGAAGATATTTGTGTCTCATGAGAATGCTCATCAAATGGTGACCTTAGCAGAGGAGGATTTTAATAATAAAGTGGATAGGATGACATATTTTGGATACCAGTTAGCCTCTTTTCTAAGCCAACCTTGTTATTAACCAATGGACTCATGAACATATTGGCCATGTGGCAGGCATGAAGGTTATGCATAGGCTCAGCAACAGGGACTCCACTCATTGATGCTGAAGTGGCTATGGCCACTGCTGAGTGTCCAATCTGCCAGCAGCAGAGACCAGAACAGATTCTCAGCCCCCAGCCCCATAGCATCATTCCTGGGGTCATGAGACAGCTAGGTGGTGGCAGGTTGATAATATTAGATAGCTTCCATGATGGAAGGGGTAATGTTTTGTCCTTCCTGGAATATATACTTACTCCGGATATAGATTTGCTTTTCTTGAATGTTTCTGTCAAGACTACCTTTGGTGGACTCACAGAATGCCTCAACTGTCTTTAGGGCTTTAGCACTTTGGGGCAAAATCCTGTCTTCATGTTATTCCACCATCATGTTTTTCCATACAGCACTGCTTCTGATCAAGGAACTCACTTAATAGCTTAAGAAATGTGGCAATGGTCTCATGTTCAGGAACTCACTAGTCTTACCACATCCCCCACTATCCTGAAGTAGCCATCTTGATAGAATGGTTGAATGGCCATTTGAAGTCTTGGTTACAGGACCAGCTAGGTGATAATACCTTGAGGGTTGAGGCAGTGTTCTCCAGAAGACTATGTTCTGAATCAGCATCCAATATTTGGTGCTGTTTGTCTGATAGCCAAAATTCTTAGGTCCAGAAATCAAGGTTCAAAATTGAAGTGACACTACTCATGACTTCCCCTAGTGTCCCATTAGCAAAATGTTTTCTTCCTGCTTCCATGACTTTATGCTCTGCTGACCTAGAAGTCTTCATCCTGGAAAAAGAAATGTTCCCACCAGAAGACAAAATCATGATTTCATTAAACAGGAAGTTAAGAGTGCCATCCACCACCTTTGGGATCTCCCTTCTGAGTCAACAGGCCAAGAATTTACTGTGTTGGCTGGCATGACTGATCCAGATTACCAAGGGGACACTGAACTACTACTCCCTAGTGGAGGTAGAGTATGTCTGGAATACTTAGAGCATCTCTTAATATTACCATGTCCTGTGATTAAAGTCAATGGAAAACCACAAAAAGCTAATATATTCAGGCCATCTAATGGCCCAGACCCTTCAGGAATGAAGGTTTGGGTCATCCTACCAGGTAAAGAACCACAATTGGCTGAGGTGCTTGCTAAAGTCAAAGGGAATACAGAATGGATAGTGGAAGAAGGTAGTTATAAATACCAGCTACAAACACATGACCAGTTACAGAAAAATGACTCATGACTGCAATTGTCACAAGCACTTTCTCCTTACTTTGTTCTGAGTATGTTTTTATGCATATGTATGTGTATCTTTTATTCTGTCTTATCTTGTTGCCTTGTAACATAAGATGTATTTATTTCGTATTGTAGTATTTAAATATTGTTAATTTACATTATAAAATTTAAGTTATAGAATACCAAGGAGAAGAATAAACATCACTCAGGGCTTTACCTCTGCTTCTGGGGAAGGAGTTAGTGCATTACTGGTAGTACATAGGATAGGTGTATCACGTTCAGTGGCATTGTGACCTTGTTATTGTTTTTATTTGAGGATTAATTATGATTTGAGGTGAGGCATTTGTGTGCCAAGTTGACAAAGTTTGAACTTGTGATGGTTGATTCTACATGTCATCTTGACTGGATCATGAGGTGCACAGTGCTATTTCTGTGTGTGTTTTTTATGGTTTTTCTGAGTTGAATGAGAATTTGAATCTGTGGACTCAGCGAAACAGATTGCTCACCCCAATGTGGTTGGCCATTACCCAATCCATGAAGGGTTGGAGTAGAACAAAAGACAAAGAAAAGAGGAATATGCCTCTTCTTTCTTCTGCCAGCATGAGCGGAAACATCCCATCTCATCTCATCTTCCCTGGCCCTCAGACTGGGATTTATACCATTGGCTTCTCTGGTAATCAGGCTTTTGGGCTTGGATTAATTTGCATCACCAGCTTTCTGGGATCTACACCTCTCAGAGTGCAGATCATGGAATTTCCCAGCCTCTGTAGTTTCAAGAGCCACTTCCTCATAATAAATCTCCGCATATATCCTACAGGTTCTCTTTTTCTGAAGAACACTGACAAATACATTTTTCCCTTGTCTGACAACTCATTCTGCTTATTATTATAGATATTTGTGTATTTAACCTGTTTTTACTGAATAATGATTTTTTTGCAAGGGCAAGCATTGGATTTCCCCCATTTCTACATCATCTTTAGGTCCTGGCGATCTGTTTGGGTACCTAAGAGCTTCAGAAAGTGTTTCAATGGAAATGAATAAATTAGCAATTGTTTGTCTGTGTGCTCACTCATGCAAATATAACTTTTTTTTTTCTTGAGATGGAGTCTTGCTCTGTCACCCAGGCTGGAGTGTGGTGGCGCACTCTCAGCTCACTGCAAACTCTGCCTCCTGGGTTCATGCCATTCTCCTGCCTCAGCCTCCCGAGTAGCTGGGACTACAGGCGCCTGCCACCACGCCTGGCTAATTTTTTGTATTATTTAGTAGAGATGGGGTTTCACCATGTTAGCCAGGATGGTCCCAATCTCCCGACCTCGTGATCCGCCCGCCTCGGCCTCCCAAAGTGCTGGGATTACAGGCGTGAGCCACAGTGCCCTGCCAATATAACTTTTTTCTATTGTCTTTAACATTTTGATTTTCTAACTTATGCTTCTACATTGTAAGTATTTCCAGAAAGAGATCAGAAAGAGAATCATGTAGATGCTCACTAAAATTCAATTCTTCAGGCAATTCTCCCTCAAAAATCCACAAGTGAAGCCACACTGATATTTGTATGGGATTTTTCTCAGGGAGTTCTCATGTTACACTAACATCCACTTCTTGGTATTCATTATGATTCTTTTAATACTGAAAGATTTTCAGAACTTCTTGCTAACTTGGAATCATCAACTGGCTCTAGGTGGGCCCAATAAGGTCTTTTCCTAATTCATCCAACCACCCAACACAGTATTAAAGGACTCTTGTTCAAAGCATTTATGTTATTTTTTAGCTTCCAGATATGTTTTTTACTTTTTTCAATATTTTACCTCTTCTTCATTATCCCTGACCTGATCTTTTAGATGTATGTTTAACTCTTAGACATATGGTCAATGCTTTTTTATTATTTTGTCTCATGTTTTCCAACTTTTTCTTTGAGTTCTGAGTTTTGTTAATAATCAACTTAGTGTTCAAAGTAAACATCTGACTATCGAGCATGCACACTTGTTTTTTTACTGTATTTCTTACAATGTCTAAGACCTTTTTTTCTCTTTGTTCTGCCATTCAAAGCTGCCATTCTTGTTTCATACTTGCAACATCTTCTTAAATCTGCTTAATGCGTTTTCTCCTGCTCCCCAAAGTATATTAGTTTTTTTCTGAGTTCAGTGTCCCAGGAGTTCCCCCAGCCCCCTTTCTTGTGGTTGGTTTTCTCATGTGTCTGGTGAGGGCAGATGGTCCATTTGCATCACCGCTGGTAATATTTCCACGGGTTAGGTTGGTAAGTATGTTCATGTAATACATGAACATGTAAACGCCAGGGCTCACAGCAGACAGCCCAATAATTTATGGAGTGAGCAGACAAGCAGGTTTCACTTAAGGAATATGTGGAGTGGCCTGGAGTGTTTCATTTTGTTTCTTCCTGGCCAACAATGCTTGTCTCTTCTGAAATAATGTTTCTTTTTCCTTTGAGCCTGGGTAAAGGTCTAGTTCCCTCAGTGTCTGCTCACTTTCTTTCTTAGGTGCCTATCCCCCATCTCTAAGAACAGATTTTCAGTTCAGCCTGGGGTAGGCATCACCATTCTCCATGTGTCCAATCCAGGCAAGTCTACCTCTGGAGTGCCTGTTCATTACTGATATGCTACATTCTACCTCTGCTACGAGGTTGCTGAAAAGCTAAAGTAGGATCATCTGTGAAACACTGGTATATAGCTCTGCCTTCACATACCTGGTTCTCATAAGAAGAAATGCCCTGTCACTGTTTCCTTGCTGGAAAATCCCTACTCGGTTTGTAACACGCAGCAAATGAATCAACTTTCTGCATGAATCATGCCCACACCTGAGAGAATCAGGTCAAAACTATTGTTCCCATTTTGCATATGTGGAAAATGAGGCTTGAGTAGAGCAAGTGAGACAGGCAGGTGGGACCAGGAAACATCACCTGGAATCTTTGACGCTAGACGGCAGAGAGGGGTCACCTGGGATTTTGTTCTCTCTGGTACAGCTCACTTTCCTTCCTCATGAATCAGTCCCTGGAGCATTGCTGTGCCAAACCCTTATCAACCTCAGCAGGGAAGGCGCCAGGTTCAAGAGGCCAAAGAAAAGACTCAGAATCAGCAAATGAGACACGGGGTTTTATTAGGGGCTTTCATACAGGGGGGAGAGTCCAGTGGCGGCAGGCTGGGCAGGAGAACCGCCTTATGGACAGAAGCAATCCAGTGACAGCAGGCTGGACAACGTAAACGCACAGCACAGTGGTGGTGGGCTGGGCAGGACAACCACAACCACTTGAAAACAGCATGCAGTTTATGGAGTATTTTCACTTAACACCCTCCCTGTAATGACCTCCACCTGACAACCTTCATTTACTGACCCCCCCCCCCCAACCAAAACTCAGATCCTCAATCTTCTATACAGCCCGTGTTCCACAGGACATGCCAGGGGCTCAGAGGTTCCTCATAGACAAGGAATGAATCACCAGATTGGCCACTCCTGGATTCCCGAGCTTGGAACAACACTCAGGTGTGTCTACCACACAGGGTCATTCTAAGGGTATGCTTAAGTTATTGCTGTCAGGTGCATTTACCCAACAGCATCTAACAGTGAAAGAGACTTCCACAGGGCAACATGCTGTGTTTAGCTAGCCCTATCTTTATTCTTAGGGGGATTTTTTTCCCAAATTCATATTTTATATTTTTGCTCAAATTTTTAACTGGTTTGGAAACCTGGGCCTCTATTTCATTGAATTTGAATGATGACACATATTTAAAAGTTTACCAAAACCTTCTTTGTCTCAAAAAAATCATTAAAGTACCATGAAAATACAAATAATTGTACTATTTGATACAGAAATAATTAATTAATTAAAAATAAAAGAAAATATTTTCAACCTCACTTTCTCTCGAAGGAAATTTTACTTATCATATTCTCTCTTTATTTCCCCCCTTCAGTTGATTGGATGTGTTATCTCCTTTCTGATTTTCTTCCTTCCTTCCTTCCTCTCTTTCTTTTCCTTCTATCTTCTGGTATGTTTCATTATTCTGCTCAGTTTTTTATTTAGCCATCATATTTTCAATTTTCAATAATTCTCTGTTCTCTGATTATTTATTTTTAAAAAGTAGTTTTATTGAGCCAGGAAAAAATATTTAATAAAAAACAGAAAGCATAAATTATATGTCTATTAATAAACAGAAATATTGCTTTCAGATGGCATTGAATTAGGGGATTATTCTGCTCTGGTAAAAACCAGGCTATCTATGCATCTTCTCCTGCTGCCGCATTTGTTCTGATGAAGAAACCAATTTTTGGAATACCTTCAGCACTGTCTGTGGGATATTTGCAGGGTGCACATATAAGAAGAAGATGTCTTCCTCAGTGTTATTTAACTCTGTGCAATAACAACTTAGGAACAGTGATAGCTAGAGCTAGAGAAGTATTTTCAGTGAAAACAGTGATGTCCGAACATTGAGCAATTGTAGACTGAATTCAAGAATTCACTGTAATTCACACAAAAGTCATTGTAAAAGGAAGTACTAATTTCTGGTAAAACAGATGCAATACTTAGAAAAAAATATAGACAGAGCATAACCAAATCTTAAAAGAAAAGTGTTTTGTCTCTACTATTGAACTTAGCTAAGGATTTCACCCACCCACAGTGAGGAGGGATTGGGGTTAACCTCAGAATTGCATCGTGTTTTAATCAGAGCTTTGGAAAAATACAGCCATGAGAAGCTAACTGCATAAATCGTAACTGTGCATAAATCATTCTGCAATGTGAATTCAACACTTTCAAATAAATTTCCTGTTGTCTTTATGAAGTTTCAATTATATCTTCTGCATTTACAAGCAGTCTGGTGGCCCATGCAAGGCTGTCCTGATTCAAATAGAATTCCTAAGAGTTGGTGTCTAGAAGGATCTATTTAACAATTCAGGATGTTCAGGATATTGAAAAAAGTGGCAATGTTTGTATAACATTTTTGAATTGCAAAAGCATTTTCATATTTGTCATTTCATGTGAGACTCCCAGAATCTTTGAAGGTAGGGATTTTTTTTTGGCTTACTTTTTAGCATCCTCATTTGGGAGATGAGAAACCCAAGGCTTGCAGGTACGCTGTGTTGTCTAAGGTGGTGCTGGCAAACCATTCTGGACTCCAGTCCTTAACTTCCAGAATCATCTCTTATTTGTTGATATGGTTTGGCTATGTCCCCACCCAAATATCATCTTGAATTATAGTTCCCATAATTCTCACGTGTTGTGGGAAGGATCTTGTGGGAGATAACTGAACCATGGGGGTGGTTCCCCCATACTGCTCTCGTGGTAGTGAATAACTCTCATGAGATCTAATGGTTATACAAGGAGTTTCCCTTTTTGCTTGCCTCTCATTCTCCCTTGCCTGCTGCCATGTAAGATGTACCTTTCACCTTCTGCGATGATCATGAGGCCTCCCCAGCCACATAAAACTGTGAGTACATTAAACCTCTTTAAATTCCTTATGAATTACCCAGTCTCAGGTTTGTCTTTATCAGCAGCGTGAAAATGGACTAATACATTAAATTGGTACCAGTAGAGTGGGGTGCTGCTGTAAAGATACCCAAAAATGTGGAAGTGACTTTGGAACTGGGTAACAGGCAGAGGTTGGAACAGCTTGGATTGCTCAGAAGAAGACAGGAAAATGTGGGAAAGTTTGGAACTCCCTAGAGACTTGTTGAATGGCTTTGACCAAAATGTTGATAATGATATGGACCATGAAATCCAGGCTGAGGTGGTCTCAGATGGAGATGAGGAAATTGTTGGGAACTAGAGTAAAGGTGACCTTTGCTATGTTGTAGCAAAGAGATTGGTGGCATTTTGCCCCTGCCCTAGACAGTTCTGGAACTTTGAACTTGAGGGAGATGGCTTAGGGTATCTGGCAGAAGAAATTTTTAAGCAACAAAGCATTCAAAGATGACTTAGGTGCTGGTGAAAGCATTCAGTTTTAAAAGGGAAACAGAGCATAAAGGTTCATAAAATTTGCAGCCTGACAATGCAATAGAAAAGAAAAACCTATTTTCCAAGGAGAAATTCAAGCTGGCTGCAGAAATTTGCATAAGTAATGAAGAGCCAAATGGTAATCACTAAGACAAAGGTGAAAATGTCTACAGGGCATATCAGAGAACTTTGAAGCAGCCCCTCCCATCACAGGCCCAGAGGTCTAGGAGGAAAAACTGGTTCTGTGGGTCAGTCCAGGGCCCTTCTGCTGTGTGCAGCCAAGGAACTTGGTGCCCTCCATACCAACCACTCTAGCCATGGCCACGGTACAACTCAGACCATGGCTTCAAAGAGTCCAAGCCCCAAGCCTTGGCAGCTTCCACTTGGTGTTGAGCCTGTAGGTGCAAAGAAGTCAAGAACTGATGTCTGGGAACCTTTGCCTAGATTTCAGTTGATGTATGGAAATGCCTGGATGTCCAGGTAGAAGTTTGCTGCAGGGGCAGGGCCCTCATGGAGAACCTCTGCTAGGGCAGTGCAGAAGGGAAATGTGGGGTTGAAGCCCCCACACAGAGTCCCCACAGGCACTGCCTAGTGGAGCTATAAGAAGAGAACCGCTGTCCTCCAGGAACCAGAATGGTAGATCCACCAACAGCTTGCACCATGTACCTGGAAAAGCTGCAGACACTCAGTGCCAGCCCATGAAAGCAGCCAGGAGGGAGGCTGTACACTGCAAATCCACAAGGGTGGAGCTGCCAAAGACCATGGGAACTCACCTCTTGCATCAGTGTGACCTGGATGTGAGACATGGAGTCAAATGAGATTGTTTCGGAGCTTTAAGATTTAATTGCCCTGCTGGATTTCAGACTTGCATGGGGCCTTTAGCACCTTTATTTTGGCTAATTTATCCCATTTGGAATGGGTGTATTTATCCAATGCCATTGTAGCTAGACCATTGTATCCCATTGTATCTAGAAAGTAATTAACTTGCTTTTGATTTTACAGGCTTATAGACAGAAGGGACTTGCCTTGTCTCAGATGAGACTTTGTATTGTACTATGAACTTTTGAGTTAATGCTGAAATGAGTTAAGATGTTGGGGGACTGTTGGGAAGGTGTGATTGGCTTTGAAATGTGAGGACATGAGATTTTGGAGGGGCCAGGGGCAGAATAATATGGTCTGGGTGTGACCCCACCTAAATCTCATCTTGAATTGTAGCTCCCATAATTTCCACATGTTGTGGGAGGGACCTGGTGGGAGATAACTGAATTATGGGGGTGGATTCCCCCATACTGTTCTCATGGTAGTGAAAAAGTCTCATGATATCTGATGGTTTTATAAGGGGTTTTCCCTTTCACTTGGCTCTCATCGTCTCCTGCCTGCTGCCATGTAACACATGCCTTTCACCTTCTGTCATGATTATGAGGCCCCCCAACCCCAAACATGTGGAACTGTGAGTTGATTAAACCTCTTTTTCTTTATAAATTACTCAGTCTTGGGTATGTCTTTATCAGCAGTGTGAAAATGGACTAATACATTTGTGTAGTCTTTTCTAGTTTCCCGACGGCATGGGAAGCTATTTACAGGTGGCTAACACTCATCTAGTCTAAGGGACCTCAGATATGACCAAAGCTGATGGTTTGGTTAGGGAGGGTCAGATTAATTGCAGTATTCAGGAAATTGAAGTTTCCAGAGGCAGGTTAGGGGAGCAGTGGTTCACCTGATCTCTTTGGGTCATCACAAGAACCCATCCAGGGCATGGAGCAGGAAATATAATCCAGACCCCCTTGGCAAACCCAAACTTGTTTCCTCTGTTCCTCTCCCACCCACAGCTGATGCTACTCATTGATGATGGCACCCTTTCTCATCTGTCCATCTCAGCTGGTGCCCTGCCATTACAACACAATAACCATTTCTGCTCCAGACCTTCATGGTGGGTGCAGAAATAAGCTGGCTCAACAGAGCCTGAGGGCCCCAGCCAGCAAGTCTAAGATTTTGAAGGAAAGCTACAATTCCAACAGAAATCAGCATGCCAGGCACAAACTGAAGAAACCCTCCAGTCATTCAACACAGCCTCAACGTTAGGATGTGATCAAAGCCTGACAGCCAACAGATAACCAGCCTTCATCCCAGCTCAATTAGAGGGCTATGCCTCAAACTGATTCCGTATCTAACTTGCTTTGTGTCTGATTTAGTTTCAAAGTTTTTCAGCACTGTTTAGAGGCTCAGAATTATGCCTGAAGTCATGAATACTCCAAAATATAGACCCTTTAAATAGGTGGCTGTCATTCCAGTGCAAGAGAAAGACAAGAAAACAGTGATAATATGATGTGTGAGTTTGATGTAGAGTGGAGGTGTAGGTATTTGGGAAAAACTTTCTGTAGGGTCTGCACCCTGGGTTGAAGAACAATACACTTACTCGTAGGAGGTCAGAACAAGATTTCTTTCCTTGCAGGTGGATGGCTTTAGTCAGCTTAGCAGGAAGGAATGGAAAAGGCAGGGAGGAGCAATGTAAGCCTACATAAAGCTATTCATTCCTCTACACAATGAAGGGCTCTCTCTCTCTCTCTCTCTGTGTGTGTGGGTGTGTGTGTGTGTGTTTGTGTGTGCATGCATGTGACATTTCTTGTAGCCAAAACTAGAGAAAATTTGATGAAGGTTTAATCACATAGCCTCATCCTCAAGCTGAGACCCTAAGACTGACCCAATGTGACTGTCAAGCTAACCAGAATATAGTCAAGTACAGTAGCAGGACAAAGAGACAGTAAAGCTCAGAGCTGCAAGGAACTAAGTGAGAAAACAAGTCAGAAGTACTTCCACCTCTAGGAAGATGAAGTAGACATACTTTTCCCTATTCTTCCTGCTAAGTGCAACTGAAAGCACTGAGATATATATTCTGAAAGACGGAAAGAAGAAGACTGTCTAGGAAACTCAAGATACAAGGAATTACACAGTGGCTGGTTTTCTGGGTTTTCTTTTAGCCACACATATCCCAGACTTGTAGCTGAAGAAGCTGGTAACCCAGAAACACCAACAGTCACAATCAAAAAAGCTTCTCAAAAGCTGGCTCTGTAGTCAAAGGGCCAGAAAGCAGCAGCCTAATAAGACAGAAATATTTTAGTCAATAACTTTTCTACTCCAGTCAAACACAACTGAGAGTATTGTGGCTACATGCTCTTCAGCAAAAGCCTAGTGAGAAGCTGAAACATCACCTTTACCCAGCGGTAGAGAGGTGCTTCGAGCCTCCCCTGTGGTGTCAGAGAAGGCTGAGTAGAGAGCCAGGACTCTTCCCCGCTGAGAAGCAATGAGTCCTTTCCCACCACTTCTATCAGTGGAGATCAGGTATGGAGCAGTACAAAGGCACCCTGCTCCTCCCAACCAGGGTGCTCTCAGCAGAGACTAGATGGGAGCCAGAACTTCTACCTTACCCTGACATTAATGAGTCCATGCTACTATTTTTCCCTGCTGCAGCAATGTCTAAGTAAGCCAATTAAAACAGAAAATTTAAGTAAGTTCCAGATCATCACAAAATAATACATACAATGTCCAGGCTGTCATTTTTAAAATATGCATATAAGAACAAAGGAAATCCCAATTTGAATTTAAAAAGACACTGACACAAGATGACAAATGCTGCAAATATCTGATACACAGATTTTAAAGCAGCCATCATGAAGAGACTTCAAGGAATAATTACTATATTCTTGAAACAAAATAGAAAACTCAGCAAAGAAATAGAAATTATGAAAAAGAACCAGTTTGGATTTTAGAAATGAAAAACACTGTAAAATGAAATAAAAAAGCAAACTCATCGTCTGGACTTATCAACAGAATGGAAAGGACAACAGAAAAGGGAATCAATGATCCGGAAGATAGAGCCATAGAAATTAGCAACTCTGAGCAAGAGAGAAAAAATAGTCTAAAAAAATGGACAGATACTCAGGGTTCTATAGTATTCTAGCAAAATATCTAAATATCCTGTCATTGAAGTCCTGGAAAGAGAAGAAAGGGAAAATTGGATTAAAAGTGCTCAAAGAAATAATGGCTAAAAACTTATCAATTTTGCGAAATATATAAACATGCAGATTAAAGAAGCAAAGTAAATCTCTTAACAGGAAAAACTCAAAAAAATCTACATCAAGACACATTATAGTCAAACTTCTGATAACTAAAAACGAATAAAATTTATTGAAAAGAGTGAGAGAAAGGACACCTTATTTGTAGTAAGAAAATATTTAAGTGATAAAGAATTTCTCATCAGAAACCATGGAGGCCTGAAGAAAGCAGCACATTTTTCAAGTATTAAAAGTAAAGAAACAAAAAGAAAAAAATGTACTAAATCCTATGTCCAGCAAGTATCCTTCAAGGATAAAGGGGAAATCAAGATGTTAGAAGAAGGAAAGCTATAAATATTTGTCGCTAACAGGCCTTGTAAAGGAAGAGCTAAGGGATGTTCTGTAAACAAAAAGATGATGAAAGACAAAACTTTGAAACATCAGAAAGAAGGAAAGAACAATGAAAAGAGTAAGTGTATGGGTAAACACAATACATATTGTTTCTCTTAAGTTTTTTATACTAGGTTTGGTGGTTGAAGCAAAAATTCTTGCATGGCTGATATGATTTTCAATGTATATAGAGAAACTACTTAAGACAATTATAAATAGTGGAGAAATAGAGATGTATAAAGAGGTAAGTTTTCTATACTTCACTCAAAGAGTAAAATCTCAAGTCGATATAGATTACAAATTAAAGCTACCAGTAAAAATTTATACAAATAAATACAATTTAAAACAATTTAAATAAATCAGAATGACATGTTACAAAACTAAAGACAGAAAGAAAACCAGGAAAATGTCAAAAAGGACAGAGAATAAAAGATTTATCTATAGTTACATCAAATGTAAATAGACTAAATATGCTAATTAAGATACAGAAGTGACAAGTATATAAAAAATTATGGTGCAATTATATGCTATCTACAAGGATCTAATTTCAAATATAATGATACATGTAGGTTGAAAGTTTTAGTTTGTAAAAATATGTAGAATTCAGAGCAAAGAGAATTATCAGAGAGGCACATTAGTGAATGATAAAAGGGTCAATCCACCAAAAAGACAATGCCAAAAGTGTATGAAACAAAAAGACTGCAAAACATGTGAAACAATATCTAATAGAACTGAAAGAAGAAATAGACAAATATACAATTACAACTGGAGACTACAATACTTCTCTCTGAACAATTTGGTAGAACAATTACACAGAGTATAAAACATACCTAAATTTTCTGAGAGGGAAATTTATAGTACTAAATGCTTACAATAGAAATCATGAAGGCTGGGCATGGTGGCTCATGTCTGTAATCCCAGCATTTTGGGAGGCCAAGGTGGGGGGATCATGAGCTCAGGAGTTCAAGACCAGCCTGGGCAACATGGAGAAACCCATCTCCACAAAAAATTAGCTGGGTGTGGTGGCATGTGCCTGTGGTTCCAGCTACTTGGGAGGCTGAGATAGGAGGATTGCTTGAGCCCAGGAAGTGGAGGTTGCATTGAGCCAATATCATGCCACTGCACTCCAGCCTGGGTAACAGAGCAAGATTCTGTCTCAATAAAAACACAAACAGAAAGAAGTTCTTGAATCAATGAATTTAATTCATATGTACAGTAACTAGAAAAAGATGAGCAAAATAAGCCCAAAGCAAGCAGAAGAGAGTAAATAATAAAGATAAGAATAGAAATCAATAAAATTAAAATTAGAAAAGTAATACAGAAAATTAATAAAGAGCAGTTTCCTTGAAAAGATTAAATTGACAAACCCCTAGCAAGAAAAGCAAAGGAAAAAATAAAAACACAGTTACCAATGTGAATAATGAAATGGAATACCACTACAAACCCTACAAGCATCAAAATGATATTAAGAAAATACTGTGTACAATTCTACACTCTTAAATATAACTTTAATGAATCAATTAATTCCTTAAAAAGCAGACTGAATAGGAAATAATCTGAATAGCTCAATAACTATTAACAATATTGGATTCATAATGTTAAAATACCTGAAAAATAAATCTCGAGGCCCAGGTTGTTTCCCTGAAGACTTCTAACATTTAAAGAAATGGAAACTATAGACTGAATATCCTTCATGATGATAGATGCAAATGTTCCTTTTTTTTTTTTTTTTTGATAAAGGGTCTCAGTCTGTTGCTCACGCTGGAGTGCAGTGGCGCAATCTTAGCTCACTGCAACTTCTGCCTCCTGGGTTCACACCATCCTTTGACCTCAGACCCCCAAGTAGCTGAGACTAAAAGCACATGCCACCATGCTTTATTAATTTTTGTACTTTTTGTAGAGATGGGTTTCTCCAGGTTTCCCAGCCTGGTCTGGACCTCCTGGACTCAAAAGATCCTGCTGGCTCAGCCTCCCAAAGTGCTGGTATTACAGGCATGCACCACTGTGTCTGGCTGATGCAAATATTTTTAATAAAATGTTGGCAAATATCATTCAGTAGTATATAAAAAGATTATATGCCATGACCAAGTAAAATGTATTCCAGAGATGCAAGAGTAATTCAATATTTGAAAATCAATATAATCTACCGTTTAACAGGTTAAGAAAAATTACATACCACATCAATTGAAGCAAATAAAATATTTGACAAAACCCAACACCCTTTCATAATAAAAACTCTTAGAAAACTACGAAGAGGATGGAACTTCCTTAACTTGATAAAGAATATCTACAAAAATCTACATCTAATGTCATACTTAAGGCACGAATGTCTGCTCTTGACACTATTATTCATCTTAGCATTGCAAGCTGTAGGAAGTACAGCAAGACAAAAAAAATAAAAAAAGAAACAGAAGTCATGCAGATCAGAGAGGAAGAAATAAAACTGTACCTACTTATAGATAAAATTGTCTGTATAGAAAATTCCAAGGAGTCTAAAAAAATTTTTGGAGCTAATGAGTGAATCCAGAAAGTTTACAGCATACAAGATAAACAGAAACATCAATTAAATTTCTATACATTAGCAATGAAAAAGTGGACACATAAATAAATGCAATCCACTCACAATCATTAAAGAAAAATAAATACATAGGGGTGAATCTAAAAACATATGTCAGGACTTGTATGCTGAAAAGTATAAAATGTTGGTGAAAGAAATAAAAAATCTAAATAAATAGAGATTATGTTCATGAAGTGGGAGACTCTATATAGAAAAGATGTCAATTTTCCCCAAATTGATATACATTTTGAATGAAATTCCTACACAAATTGTAAAAAAATATATTTTGTGGGTGTAGACACGAGTATTTAAACACTGATATGGAAAGTCAGTGGTAACAGAATCACTAAAACAAATTTTAAAATAATTAGAGTGGAAGGGATCAGTCGATTCTATTTCAACACTTGTATGGCTGTAGTAATCAAGACTGTGTCACGTTGGAGGAAGTGTAGACATACAGATCAGTGGAATACTAAGAATACTAAATCCAGAAAAAGACCCACAGAAATATGCTCAACTTTAATATAGGTGCACAAGCAATTTAGTAGAGGAAGCACAGCATTTTCAACAAATGGTGCTGGAGCATTTGAACATCCACAGGCAAAATTATAAATCTGAGTCTCATACTGTCTGCAAAAATTAGCTCAAAATGGATCACAGACTTAAATGTAAAATATAAAACTTTTACCAAAAAAAGCACAATAGAAAACATTTGGGATCTAAGCCTTGTGAAGTATAATTTTCAGGCTTGACACCAAAAGTAAAATTCATAAAAAAAAATTAAAGGAAAAAATGATGTAAGATATAAGCCGTGGTTAAGGTGAGGGGCTTAGGATCTTTAACAAGAGCCAAACATACTCTGCACTCATTCATTTTCATACAAAGCCCATCACCTTGGCGATGGCCATTCACAGCTTGCCCCATGATATGGTCTGGATTTGTGTCCCTGCCCAAATCTCTTGTTGAATTGTAATCCCCAGTGTTGGAGGTAGGGCCTGGTGGGAGGCACTTGGATCATGGGGGCAGATTTCCCCCATGCTATTTTTGTGTTACTGAGTTCTCACCAGATCTGGTTGTTTAAAAGTATGTAGCAACTCCCTCTTCACTCTTTTCCTCCTTCTCCAGCCATGTAAGACATGTCTGCTTTCCCTTCACCTTCTGCCATGATTGTAAGTTTCCTGAGCCCTCCTCAGCCATCCTTCCCATATAGTCTGTGGAATTGTGAGTCAATTATACCTCTTTTATTTATAAATTACCCATTCTCAGGTTGTTCTTTCCAGCAATCTGAGAATGGACTAATACACCCCACCTAATCTCCCTTTGCCCGTCTGTGCCCTGATCTTTGCCTCATTGGTAGACCTGATGGATGCACCATCCAGTTCCCTTGCCTCTGGACCCTGGATGAGTCTGACCAGTGGGAAGCATCAGCAAGATATCAGAGGGCAGAAAGAGAGAGAGAGGTCTTTTCTTCCCATTTCTCCCTTGCCCCATGCGTGGTTCTGCGGCATCTCTGTTCCTCTTGACCACAACCCTGCTGGGATAGAGTCAACTCCACAGTTCTGGCCCATGCTGGCTACAGGCACACTGCTTCCGCTGCTGACCTATTTAGGCCTGGGAGGCCTGATAAAGCTCCATTGCCCCATAGTGCTCATCTCTGAGCCCCTTGGCTCCACCTACACCTCTCTAAGAGGTCCTTTACCACCTAGATTTTATAATCCCAGGTGAACTTGATCACTGTTTTCTGTCCACAAACTTAATAATATGACCTTCACTTGCACAGGAAGGCATTATTTTGTCTTTTTTTTTCCTTCCTGATGTATAATTGTTCTGCCTTTTTTTGGATTGTGGGGAGGCACTCTTCATAATCTCAGTTGAGCATGGACATCTTCATGTTTTCTTTTTGCATTTGTCTCCTTTCCTTCTCAGGGTTGCACTCATGGTCACTTACCTGCTAGGACAGGGGCAAGGTCTTCAGGTTGTCATAGGACCTTGCCACTAACAGTGTGGTCCATGGACTAAGAGCATTGGCCCCACCCAGGAGTTGGTAAGAAATGCAGAGTCCCAAGCCCCACCCCAGGCCACTGCCTCAGAACCTGCACTTCAGGGGATAGCATATGAGCCATGCATCCGTTAAAGTCTAAGGACTGTTTAAGGGATTGGTTCTCCAATTAACATGCAAAAATTATCAGACACAGGCCAACACTGTGGCCTCTACCTCCCAGAATTATTTTTAAGGTTGGATCACCATAGATAATGCCTGAAATAGTTTCTAGCAGATAGATGGAGCCCAACAACCAACCATCTTAATTCTTACAACTGCCCAAGGATGCCCAGCTTGACAGGAGAAAGTCAGGCCTTTCTGTCATCTCTGCCTTCCTGCGTTGTTGAAAAAGTCAAAGAAATGATTTAAACAACAGTGCAAACATCATGGTTTGTGATGCTGCCTTTTGAAGGTATGCGGGAATGCATGCTGCCACAGGTAGTGCCTTCATCAGATCTTTGAGGCCCACGAAATGGGGATGGGAGGGTGTGGGGAAGAGGGAGGAGGATGTTCCCTTCTCTGAAAAAGAAAAAGAATGTCCATTACCCATCCCTACTGGAGCAAGTGCTCTCTGCACCACATCCTGAGCTGCCTCTCCTCCAAGGAGCCTGAGCCGGGACCTGTGGTTGGCACAGCCTAGAGCACCAAGGATAGCTGTGTGGAGGGGCATATGTCATACAGCATGGGGCTGCTCCACCTGGAAGAAGGAGTGTCTTGATTTCCCTTCCTTCTCCAAGGGGAGGTCAAGGGATGGAGAGAGTAGATGCTGCAACCCAGCTCCAGTTCTTCTAGAGCAGAACTTCACTGTGGAAGGGCTCCCTTTTCCCCACTACTTATCCCTTAAGAGGGGTCGTACAGAAGTGAATTCATGACCTTTCTGCGCCACTTGACTATCGCCATGCCTGACTCTCTGCTTGGCCTGTTTGGGAAACCAGACCTGCCCAGCTCAGGGTTCTTCCTCTTCCTCTCTGGAGTGGGCTTCCTGCTGTGAGTGCAGGGGAGACATATTCAGCCGGACATGAGGGACTGGGAAGAGGCTTGCTGGAGCCCAGGTGCTAAGTGAGCAAGAATTGGCTTGGCTAAGAGATGCAAAGTGGCACTGCCCAACCTATCCAGTGTGGATGTCCTAAAAATGACATGGTGACCGAGGGGTTCAAACTTGAGAAGGGCAGATGCTATGGAAAATACGGGGCCTTCTCATGTTCCCCACCATAGTCATCAGTTCTGGTGCTGTTGGTTGCTGAGATTCATTCAGTGCTAAGTATAAGTCAGGAGCTGGGGATAGAGGTGAGCAAGATGGATGGCTCTCACATACTGACCTGCCAGTCAGACCAGCGCATGCAGAGGAACCCCTGGGTGAATTCAGCTTCCCATAAATTCTATGAAACAGAGCTGTGTTGGAGAGTAACCAGGCAAGGGCCTGGCATTCAGCTCTTGCTGTGACATTTGAGTTGGGACCTTGCGGCGTTCTGGGGATGCAGGTTTCCAGAGGAAGGGACAGAGCCCCCAGTGTCAGAAAAAGGAGCATCTATAGGGTGTATGGCCCTGGAGAGGGGCTATGAGGATGGATGCTGGGGGGCGGAGGAGGACCACAGTGGGATGGGCCAGAGAGGCAACTGGAGACTGAATCAGGGTCCTGCTGTGTCCTGTGTCCAGGGGCTGCCGAGCTCCCTGGATGTGTGATGAGCTCTCAACTGGCTTTCCCAGTTCTGCCAGGGCTCCTAGGAGAGGATCCCCTCCCCTGACCTCGTGCTTCCGAGCTGTGGCCTTGCAGACACTGGGTCCCCTGAGGCCCTGGCCTGCAGGCTCACTTACCCTGAAGTCAGTGTGCATTTCAGACTGGCTATGCCCTGCATTATTGTTTTTTTTTTGAGGGGCTTGACACCAGCACTTCATTATCCATGCTCAGGGCCCTCTAACGACGCTTCTGCACCCCTTGGATAGGATGTGTATAGGCCGAACAGCAATTCTTGCATTCCTTGTATTGGAAATAGAAGATTTGCCAATTTTACCATTTGTTTCATGGAAAGATCTCAGCTATTTTTGGTGTTTCATTTGTTTGTCTGTTATTATCTTTTATTTTGTTTTGCTTTTTACTATGCTGACAAAATCCTGGGGGCTCTGCAGAGATTCCTCAAGGACACCACTCCTGGGAGAAAATGTTTGTCTTGGTAATTAAATTTATCTACGTTGTACTAGTTTGCTAGGGATGCGGTAACAAATGGTCAGAAACTTCCTGGCTTAAACAACAGAAATGTATTCTCTCAGAGTCTTGGAGGGTGGAAGTATGAGATCAGGATGTCGGCAGGGCTGGTTCCTTCTGAGGCCATGAGGGAGTCTGTCCCAGCCCTCTCTCCAGCACCTGGTGGTGCCGCCCATCCTTGGAGCTCTTCGGCTTATGGCCACACCACTCCAATCTCTGCTCCATCTTCATATGACTCCTACTCTGTAGCTCTGTGTCTCTAACCTCCTTCTCCTTTCTTTTATGAGGACAACGTTTATTGATTTCAGGATGATTTCATCCTAAGATCCTTAATTTGAATCTGCAAAGGCTCTATTTCTAAATAAAGTCACATTTATATGTACTGGGGTTTAGGACTTGGACGTGTCTTTTAGGACACACTCCTCAACCACTCCACACGTTCTCGGTATGCTTGGGTTCATAATAATAAGGATACTACATCAGCACTCATATTGCCTGGGAGCTTAACTTGCACTGCTTTTCACTCAAGACTCAGAAAAAATCAACCCAGTAGGCCCAGTCAAGTGGATGGAGACAGAAAGTTCAGGGAAGGACAGGAAGGCCCTTTGGCTCAGTTCTTTCCTTCACAAAGGTCCTGCCATGTAAGCCTTTGAGGACGTCTTCAGATTTGCCTGCACACAAAAAGTCACAATGACATAAAATAAAAGACAAGCTGATCAATTATTATTATAGCCATTTTCAGATCACATGATCTGCAGGGCTCTACGAGTTAATATTTGGTAAATCCTATAATTGAATTATATTGTGATTAGAAACAGAAATTTTCTTTTTATAGAAAAAATTAAAAGAAATTAGCATTTTAAAATTATTTCTGAATAATTCTATTTCTGTTTTAGCTGCTTATGCTTTCTTCTGTTTCTCCTTGTTCTTTTTAAGATAGGAATGGTTCAGGGCTCACTGGGTCTTTGCAAGTCTCTGAGTATGACTTTATTCTCTATTTTATAGCTATAGAAGCAGAGAATTGGAGGATTCAATAGTTGAGCAGGACTGCAGGGCTTGAATCCAGTTCTTGTGCACTCCAGAGTAGCCAATATGCCACATAGTCCTGTGTCTCGTGTACTCAGGAACATTAGAGAAGGTTTGTCACTGGACTTTTCAATTAAGGAAGTTTGCACCTAATGCAGACTTGTGCAGAGATTTGGGGAAGCAGATAGGAGGGGGTGGAGTGGAGACAGTGGTTTCAGGGCATGTGGGACAGGGTCAAAGCCACCATCCTTCCAGCCCCTGCCAGGTCAGTGTCTGTGCACACTGGCCCCAGCAGTGGGCTATGGGCTGCTTATAAATCTGTGGGTTGAGGGGTGGAAGGTGAAGGGGGCTGTCAATAGGAGGAATGTTTAGTCCAAGCCAAAGAGAACATTAGGCTCCGGGGATACCTTCCCTTCTAGGGGAAGCAGAGTCTCACGTTTAAGTGCTCAAACGTTCTGCCTCTGGAGACTGTCACAGTTAAAAGTTCTGGGCTGGGAGATGACTGGACAAAGGTTGGCCAGGCCTCAGGATGGGAAATCTGGTGTTTAAGTGGTCTCACTAGGAAGTCCTTGATTCTGGAAGCTGGGTCAGGAAGACACAGGCTCTCACAGGGCCGGCTCCCTGTCTCACACCCACTCTGATTAGGATAATTTTGTTTTAGACCAGTTCCAGTGAATACCAAGTTATTGATTGTTTTCTTTTTAAATTCTATTTTATTATTTCCTAACCTGATCTTTTTAAAAATTTCAAATGTTCAGAAAAATTAAGTGTGTGTATTTTTTTCATAATTGAGATTTTATTTGTTGTGTTGAGGATCAGTATACAGACATTTCAATTTGTATGCAATTCTTAACATACACACTGAAAATCTAAAAAGCCATGTATTGTAATTTTTTTAAAGTTATTCCAGTGATGCTCCCGCTTCAAATTCGGAGGCAAATTCCTTAAGAGGCTATCATGTACCAGTATCTACACATGTCGATAGACTGTTTCACATGTCCACCAATTCACAGTTGAATAGCATATACACTGTCTACTCCAAATTTCAACTTTTACAGCACACTCACAAAGTTATTAGGAAAGCAGGACTGTCATGATCGAAGATGTCACAGAGTGCACACAATTTTGATAGGAATGATCATGATCAGGGAATGGTTTTCTTTAATAAACAATTCTACCAAAAAACAACATGGGATTAGAAGTAATTTTAAATGTTCACGACATTAAATGCAGGACTGTGACTCCATCTTGCCAGTTAGTATGCTTTGTACTATAGAATAAAAACTAACCCCCCATTTATGGAACATTAAGCTGAAACCCGAGACTGCCAAAGTCCCCCACAATTCTCTATGTCACAATATTTTTTTGATTGTACCAAAAAACAAACAACCAGTGAATGATTTAACCTGTTTTTAAAAAGCATTTACACTTAAAAAGTGGAATGAGGTGGAATTATCTCCTTTTAAAAAATGTTTCTAGAGCTACTGAAAAACTTGCATTTACAAAACAGTTGATAAAAATATTCATCTGGATAGCACAAAAAGGGAGACAGGGACCTCTGATAAGACATGGTACATGATATTAATCAGACTCGGCTTCTTTCTCTCTGGCTTTATCAAAGGCTGGACTCTTCTCTGTTTTAGTTTCTTCATTTTCTGAAGGTAAATCTTCTTTAATTTCTTGGTCAGCCACTTCAGCCTGTTTTCCCATTGCTCCCGTTTCCCTTTTGTTTGCACTTTTTTGTCTGAAGATTTATCCTTTCCTGCTATTCACCCCATACACACCCCGCCCCCCACCCCCGCCACTTCTTGGCTTTATTTCCACTTTTTCAGGAGCAGGTTTAGCTGACAACCATACCGATCACCTCTTGGGCTCTTCCTTTACTGTTCCTTTGGCTGAACTGATTTTCCTCTTGGTTGTCTTGGTGGTGGGGAGGACGCATGCCTGGTGCTTGTGGACCAATGTGTGCTGAGAGCCTTCTTGATGCTGGGCTGCTCAGCTCCTGCCCTAATTATTTAATTAAAGCTCCCCCACCACAGCAGAAGGCCAGTAATCTCTGTGGACATTGAAGATATGCTGAATGAATCCATCCATTTGAACTGGACCCAGAAGGCTAAGGTCATCCTTGCTGCTTCATCATTTCACGTAAATGAGTGGTAAGCCTACTAGACTGCAAATATCCAATCAATTTAAAATAAAAAAAAAAACCAAAAAACAAAACAACAACAACAAAAAAAAAAAACGGCGTTTGGTAAGAAATAGAAGCTTCCCAGCTTCTCTCTTTCAGCCCCTTGGCTCTTGCATTAATTGTTTCTGTGAGGATTATTCCTGTTTTGGAAAGTATCTCTTTGGTCTTGCTTTTTGATGCTTTGAGAGGCTGATAAAATATTTCATCACAAACTTCCCGGGAGGAGCTGATGCGTCTGTGATTTTTCTTAGGTCAATGAATTACACAGCCTGTTTGACCATGTTTAATACCTAATGCATGCATAGTTTACTCCTGAGCTCAGTGGTTGGAGAGGCAATGAGCAGTGGAGGAAGGTTATCTTCAAAGGTGCTATCTGGGTTTTAGAAAGCACAAAACAATAGACACGTCAAGTAAAGTGATGATGTGAAAATTACTGCAATTATCAAGGATAAATACATTTGAATTGGAACACCCTCAAGGACAGCTCATTCTTGGCTCAGTCTTCCCTCCTGTTTTGAATCTCCATTTGCAACTTTGGTAGCTGTCCATGAAGACCAATGGGCATGAGTCGAGGCAGGGATTTTTCTTATTTTTGTTTTTGTGGAGAGTGAAGGCATCACATTATTATTAATTCATAACTCTGAATCAGTTAAGGGAGGGGATTTTTTAAAATCACAACTAAACAAGGTTGTGCCTGACTTTTGTAGGTGCTTATGACAAAGAATAGACACCTGAGCTTTGTATGTGTTTCCAACCAACCCTCTGCTCATTTTGTTCTGTCAAAAGTATCGCTTTTCCCAATCCTGCCTATGATCCTAGAGGCTCCACTACAATTCCTTCTTGATTCTGCTCCAAATCAGATAATTGGTCCCCCTCTGAACATAGGAGCACCTGGTTTTTGGTGCACATCACTTTTTATGTTGTCAAACTTCTGTTTTGCTGACTCATTCTTCTTCCCTCTCTCCTCCCCTCAGCAGCACACGCTGTTATTGGGAGTTTCAACTCATTTTATGTGAGTGGTTTACAGACATTTCCATTAAGGAAGTGGAAGGAAGAGTCCAAGAGAAAGAAAGCACAGAAAGGGAAGGAATGAAAGTGCTAAAAAAAAAAAGAGAAGAGAGTCTAGGTGATGTTTGCAGGTTACAGAAGGACAAGGGAGAAAGAATCATCCCTTTAAGATCATATTAGAGGATGTCTGCAAAGTGTCTGCTGTGTAGATTCAGGTCTCAACAAATGGTGGCCATTATTAATTCTATTCTATTGAATGTAGCAAGGTCAAAGATGTGGTTTTGGTCACAGCCAATCCAGAGATCTTCAAAACAGAGTCACCTTGCCCAATGTCTGGTAAAATAATATGTAAATGAGTCAGTTTGTTACTTTTCAAAAAAAGGCTTATGTCCTCTTCCTCCCCAAAAGTGGAATATCTATTGTTGGATCTAGGAAATTTTAAAATGTTTAATTATTAAAAATAATTATTTGATATATTTCTCTATGCTTGTGAAGATTTCCTATGTAATTAGATGAGACACCTAGAAGCAGACACACAGATTCTAAAGAACATAACTTTTAAGAAGCTTGACTCCTGCTGCCAGTCTGTTCCTCAGAGATTATAACACCCTGTTCATGATTGACATGAGATTAACTACTCTTTCCTAGTGTACTAAGAAAACAATTGCATTCTTATTTTACATTTTTTAATTTCTACTTAATTCAATTTTTAATGTGTAACTTCCAGCAAAATTAGTGTTTAATTTCCAGTGAACTTCATTTTTAAGTTCTAGTGAGTTTCAACTTATTTACATGTCAAGTAGCCATTTATATTTATTCTTCTGTGACTTTACTCTGAGGAGGTGTATTAGTCTGTTTTCATGCTGCTGATAAAGACATACTCAAGAGGGGATAATTTATAAAGAAAAAGAGGCTTAATGGACTCACAGTTCCATGTGGCTGGGGCAGCCTCACAATCATGGTGGAAGGGGAAAGGCACGTGTTACATGGCAGCAGGAAAAGAGAGAATGAATGGCAAGTGAAAGAGGTTTCCCCTTATAAAACCATCAGACCTTGTGTGACTTATTCACTACCATGAGAACAGTACGGGGGAAACCGTCCCCATGATTCAATTATTTCCCACCAGGTCCCTCCCACAACATGTGGGAATTATGGAAGCTACAATTCAAGATGAGATTTGGGTGGGGACACAGTCAAACCATATCGGGAGGCAGTATTTGTGATCTTATCTATTTTGATCTCTTCATGTATTAAGAATATTAATGTGCTTAATCTATAATATTTGTTGGACTTTTTATCACTGTATGCCGTGTGCATAGACTTTTGAGTATTTTGATATTTCTCCACTGTTTTTTTTTTCTTTTTGGGACGAAGTTTCACTCTTGTTGCCCAGGCTGGAGTGTAATAGTGCGATCTTGGCTCATTGCAAACTCTGCCTCCAGGGTTCAAGTGATTCTCTGGCCTCAGCCTCCCGAGTAGCTGGGATTACAGGCACCTGCCACCACACCCATCTAATTTTTGTATTTTTAATAGAGATGGGGTTTCATAATGTTGACCAGGCTGATCTTGAACTCCTGACCTCAGGTGATGCGCCTGCCTTGCCCTCCCAAAGTGCTGGGATTACAGGTGTGAGCCACTGCACTCGGCTTCCACTAATTTGAAATTTGAAAAATTTTCTCTAATCAAAGAGTAGATCTATATGCATCTCTATTTTCTTCTAGAACTTCAATTTTATTTATTATTTTCACCTTTTTTGTTAGCTTATTGTCAGAAATTTTAAATTTATTTACTATTAGTTAACCAAATCTCTCCAAACCATTACTAAATACTTTCTTTTCTCGCCAACTGGTGAATTTTTACCATCCTACATGAAGTTCATTTATATCAGGACCCATTGCTTGACTTCGATAGTATAAATATCTCTGTCCATTCTTATCTAGAATTGTCATAGTTACATATTAAAAGAGTGATTTAATATCTGGTACAGTATTATTATAATACATTTTTTAACTGTATACTATATTCTCACCATAAATACTTAAATGATCTTAGTGATTTTTTGATAACCCATGTCCCAAACAATCCCACTGAGCTGGTATTGTGTCCTTATTAGAAATGCTGTTTATTTTCATTTAATGTCTTCATAATTATTGCTGGTATATACCAAAGCTTTTGTTTTCTGTTCTTTTTTTTTAAAGTCTGATCACTATATTCTACTCTTTTAGAACAAATCCAGTAGTATTATATAAGTATTTTAGGTGTACAATCATGTAATCTTATAATCTACAAATAATGACAGTATTATCTATCCTTTTTAAAAAATCTCTTTTGATAGATTCACTTTGATGCCTTCTTAAATTCAATTGTTAAGTTAAACAATATTGATAATTCTAGAGTGCATATTAATGATAAAAGCCTTTACCTTTATGGTAAACTACCTAATGCTCTTTAATTTGTATTTTACTCTATTTTGTTCTAAATTCTTTTCCCAAATTTTTTAAATTTAAAAGTGTGTTAGCTTATTGCTTGCATGTGATATGTGAGAATTTATGTTTATAGTTTTCAGGACATTAGAGACTTCCAGCATTTCCATGGCCATACATTTTTTTTTTAAAGACTTGACTCAAATGAAATAATGCATTTTTAATGTGAGGGTGAAGGAGATGTGAGAGGTCAGAGGTTAGTCTCCACTCATAGTGATTAGGTCTTGTACTCTAGCCTAAGTAGCAGTTTTTACATTTAATTTAATTAATTTATTTCTGTCAGCTGTTGGGGCAGCAGATGGTTCTTTTGATTACAGCAAAGCAAAGGTAGGAAGCAGAAGTCTCACAGACACTCAGAAACTCCAGGAGGGGGACTAGGGGAGTGGTGCTGAAGTGCCAGGGCTGGCAGGTCTCTGAGGACCAGTTGAAGGGAGGTATGTTCCCTCCCAGGAGGCTCATAGGGGCTCAGCATGTCTCTGTTTTCACTGTTTCCAGGGTGGAGGGAAAGGACTGGAGTCCACCCTCATACCCCTGGATGGCCAAATGCCAAAGTCCCTGCTTTTAACCTCAGAGCTGCAGATGGATCTCCACTGTGCACTTGTGGTTGGATTCCAGCCTCCAAGCACGTCTGAGTAACATGAGCCACACAGTGAGGCCCTGGCTGGGAAGATGAACAGGAGGCCACGTAGGCCTCCAGGGCCAACCATTTCTACTCAGGCCTGGGAGGATGCACAATTCTCCAAACATGAACAGAATGTGAACAGTGACCCAAGCTCAAATCCAGATCTTCAGATTCCAAAGTGACTGGCTGTTCTGTGCTGTGCAGAATGGAAATTATACAGTAATATACACTCTCTGGAAAATATCAGGAAACGAAGGCCACCTGTGTTGTCATGCAAGCCTGAGAGACAGAACCCAAATATAGGCTGGAGAAATGGAAAAAGGCTGCCTGAAGGGGAACAAGAGGCTCCGGAGGTCATACTGGGTCAGATGAGCAGCTTTCAGTCATGTTCTCTGCCAAAGCCCCCAAAGCCCGCCACAAACCTGCCTCCCGAGGGCATAACACCAGATCTGGGGGCACCAGGACACAGCCACCGTGTGGTGTGTTGTCATCAGCACCACCTTCTTTGCTGCTGGTGGTCATGGCACAGGCTGCCCATTCTGCAATCCAGCCCCAGAATCCCTTCAGAGCCTGGGGTTGATTTTTCCAATCCCAGCTTTTCAGTGGGAACAGAGCTCTGCTCCCTAAGGAGAGGATTCTCAAACAAGCAAGTGGTTAAGATACTGGCATCTGAAAAAGAATGGCAAATGTGCATTGCATCATTATAATCTGAAGTTCAGCTTGTTTATCTAACACTTACTTACTGAGGATCTATTCTGTGCCCAGCATGGTGCAGAGGAATATGATCCATGGGGGAGTGTCAACTTGGCCAGGCCGTGGTGCCCACTTGTTTGCTAAAACACTAGTCTAGATATTGCTATGATGGCGTTTTGTAGATGTGGTTAACATTTACACTCAGTGGACTTTAAGTGAAGGACATTATCCCTGATTCTAGGGGTGAGTCTCATGTAATCAGTTAAAGGCCTTAAAAGCAAAAAGTGAAGTCCCCCTACCCAAAAAAAGTCTGTCAAGACTATAACATAGAAACCCTCCTTGGGTCTGGGTCTCCAGCTTCCTGGCCTGCCCTGGAGATTTCAGACTTGTCAGCCCCCATAATCATATGAGCCAGTTCCATGAATTAAATCTCTCTCCTTTTTCTCTCTCTCTCTCTCTTTTTTTTTTTTCTTGAGACGGAGTCTTGCCCTGTCGCCAGGCTTGAGTGCAGTGGTGCGATCTCAGCTCACTGCAACCTCCGCCTCTCAGGTTCAAGCGATTCTCCTACCTTAGCCTCCTAAGTAGCTGGGACTACAGGCGCGCACCACCACGCCCGGCTAATTTTTTTTTAGTTTCAGTAGAGATAGGGTTTCACCATGTTAGCCAGGATGGTCTCGATCTTCTGACCTCATGATCTGCCTGCCTCGACCTCCCAAAGTGCTGGGATTACAGGCGTGAGCCACCGCACCCAGCTCTCCTTTCTCTTTTGTCATATATATTTATGTATATGTGTGTGTATATACATGTATGTATCTCCTACTGGTTTTGCTTCTCTGGGGAACCCAGAATGACTACTGTCTTCCTGGTAGATGCACACAACTGAGAAATGAAACAGATCACTGTCAAAGCGTGCATTATCATAAGTGATATCAAGGGAAGAAAACAGGTTGTTGCCATGGAGAACAACAGGAGAATACCCCAAGTTAGATGGTGTAGTCTGGGCTGACTTCTCAGAAGAGGTGAGTTAAGATGCAGACTTGAAAATGCAGAGATGGCTCTTGAATTAAGAGGGCTAGTAGGAACACAACTAAGGGAATGTACAGAGACACTGAGAGTGTCTCAGCCCCCCACAGTCTGGAGGGCATTGAAGAGTGGAAGAGGAAGGACACACATGTTTATGGGAGCCTGCTCAGTACCTAGATCTGGGGTAAGCCCTGTACATAGAGTATGGTTTTTCAAATTTCATCCTTGCCACTTCAGATGGGGATGGTTTTATAATCTCATCTTACACATAGAGAAACTTGCCCAAAATGTTATAGCCAGTAACTGGCCCAGCTTTTATTCTAACTCAGTTTTCTTTAATTCCAAGACTCTTTTCCCTTGTTTTGTCCAAAGGATGGAGACAATTTAAGATGTTTCTCACTTTTGAAACAGCTGCATACTTTGCTTACAGTTGAATTGCAACCCATAGATCAGTGATGCTGTAAAAGCATATTTTCTCTGCTGCTTCAAATTTCTTGGATATCTGAATACGGAATCATTTTCTGCACAAACCAAGCGAACATTCATTTTTACATTAGTATGAGTCTGCTGCTGAGAGACGGGAAAGAAGCAAACATAGAGGCTTGAGGCAGCTCCACGCCAGTGAACATGGGCTGCATATACCAGCCCTGAGGTCACACACTTTCTGCACCTATCTTTATTGTGTGCAGTCTCTGCAGCAACCTCCTAATCTGCCT
The DNA here is from genome assembly GCF_000001405.40 of Homo sapiens. Taxonomy (NCBI): domain Eukaryota; kingdom Metazoa; phylum Chordata; class Mammalia; order Primates; family Hominidae; genus Homo; species Homo sapiens. Next base: position 46,627,794 of record NC_000007.14, on the reverse strand, counting down.
CCTCACCTCGACTCTTTCCAGCTCACTTCTCTGCTGTTGTTGGAGAGGGGTGTTTCTAAGAATGCATGCTCTTGCTTAAAGCACTGCCATAAATTCTTGTCATCAATATGAGCAAGTTTAAGCTCCTTTCCTTTCTATTTAAGGCTGCTCATAACTTAATCTCAGATGGTTTTGCAAACTGATCCATTACATTCTATACAGTTTACTTTTCAATCTCACTAAACAACCAGCTCTTTCATAAACACACTCTTTCTTGCATGACTCCACGATTTTTTAGTTTCCCATTCACTGGGGTTAGATCTCCTCTCTTTTCTTATTACTTCTTTTCTCTCCTGTCTCCTCATCTCTTCTTTTTTCTTCTCTGCCTAGCAAATCACTGACTACCATGCGCAAAACAGAATCATCACTTTGTCCTTTCTACTCTTTTGGCACAGTACTTTTCATAAAGTATTGAAAGTATTACTTTGGTGTGGGGGGCCTCCAGTTCAGTCCATGGAGCAATGCAGTTCCATGGACTGAGGAAAGAACATTGTCTTATATTTTTGAGTTTCTGTTTTGTGTTCTACTTTGTGTACCATGAAAGACTTTGGGCTCATCACTTCTCTGGACATTTCATTTTCTTAAGCACAAAGCAATGCCTCAGAAGAAAGATTCCCACGGTCTGTAGCGGTTCTGACATTCTGTGACCAGACTGAGTCACCATTTCCCTCATCACTCCCTCCTTTTTTCATCCACATTTGGGGAATGTGTTGTGTATTAAAAACACCTTTAGAATCCCTGAGAAAGATGGTGGCCGTAAACCGGATCTCCCAGAAACAACAAAGCATTGGAGCCATCAACACATCATTAACATTTGTTGCTCATGAAAGAGAAAATGCAAAGCCCAGTGCTGGCTGATGGCAAAGTGCTGGAAGCTATCACTCAGTGTTAAAAAACCCTGTTAGGATTATGTTGACCCAGCTGCCCAAAGATTTCTCATCATGCACCTGTTGGGTATTATGAGTAAATGATATTTTGCCAGTATGGGAGGAAATTGTCTTGACTGTCATGTTACGTGATGCAGTTTGGAGTCCCCTCTCATTTGGGTCCAGGTGTTGCTCTCATGTGCCTCCAAATACGTGACAGAAGAGAAGGCTTCATCTCTTATACCCATGTCCATGGGCTATATATGAACGTTTTTAGTTTAGTTTTGTTTTGTTTTTAATCTGTTCAGTTTTACATCATAAGATCATAGAGCCAGAAGGTTCCACATTGGTAACATAGTTTAAACCCTTTATTTTACAAAGGAAGAAAACAAACCCCAAGAGAAAATGTGAAACTCTCTGAATCATACAGTTGCCTAGTGTGACAGCTGCTCTCATTACAAACCCAATCATCTCTTCCCAGGGCCAACGCTTTTTCTACTACCCCATCCTCTCTCTCCTTGGGTTGAAATTCAAGAGTTTTCCATAATATAGGTTAAGGATTATGAACAACTATTATGGCTAGAGTGAATGTGGTTACCTGAATCAGCGGGTTGCTGGGCGAGATGATTTTCTGCTCCCTTGGGGTGGGCCTAGGCATGAGTGGAAAGGGGCTGCCTGCTTGCAGAGCAGATGTTCCAGCTGTGGTGACTTACAGACAGTTCGGCCAACGGGTAGAAGAGTGGTTCTGGCGGTCACATTTTAACGACATTTTTCTAAGCCTCGTTAATAAGTATCCTACAGAAATACAATACATTTATAATTCCAAAAACGTTGAAAACATAGACTCCCTCAATTTGAGTGCTTCTGTTTTCTGTATCATCTAGCATATGAGCAAAGAATGACTAGGAAGAGTATAATTGTGTTTTATTTCTCTCCTGATTTGGCTTGTAGTTGGAACGTGTGTGTGCGTGTGTGTGTGTGTGTGTATGTGTGTGTGTTTTGGGGGGTTCTGTCTCAATTCAAATATCCTAAATGATTTAATGACTTTTACCACATTAAAATGGTAATAGTAAAAAAAAATCTATAATTAAAACCACCTTTCAACATGAGCAGTTTTATGTTTTATAACTTTATCCACTCTAAAATACAATGTTTGCAGTCAACTTTTGCAGACTTAGAGAAAACACAATGACATTACAGGATCTCAGGCACCAGCATAAATTATTTAAATACATATCAACAATCAAGCAAAATAGCTGGAACAATAGGAAGCACTTCACTAATATCAACAATTACTTTGGTTTGTTTTGAGAAGGGTTTCTCTTCTTGTCTATTTTCCTATGGAAGTTTCAAAGAAAATATAGTGGAACTTTAAAAAAGAACTATAAGACCTAAGAGACATGGGATAATTTATAATTCATATTTAAATTAAATATAATTAAAAATTATGCTGTGAAAAGCTTAGCAATTACCACTGAGAGTTTATGTGCTTGAGACAAAGAAGGCACACTATGCATATGAGTTTGAGAAAATGCTTTCTAGAGCACCTTGTGATGTAAGTACTAAGTACAAAGAGAGTCCATTGTGAATTTTCTCTAGTAGTCAAGCAGGGCTTCCCAAACTTTGGTTGTGCCTGCATTGTTCTGAGGGTGTGAGAAAGCACAGACCTGGGCTTTACCCCTGGAGCTCTGACTCAACAGAACTTGCGTTTCTAGCAAACTCCCCTGTGGTGTCCGTTCTGTTGGTCCATGGGCCTGTGGGGTGTGTGTTTGTGTGTGTGTGTATGTGTTTAATTTCAGGTTGAAAATATACTGAAAAGAAAGACTGTAATCATGTAATTTAAAAATGCTTTCAATCTCAATAGACATGATGACTGTTATGTTGGATATCAGAAGAGGGAATTAAAGTTTCTCTCTCTGACAACGTTGCAAACTCCGTGTTGCCCCTAAAACTTCACAGAATGGAAAATCTAAAATCAGAAGCTAAAATACAAAAACAAATGCCCAGGTGAGCCTTCAGGGCAAGGGAAATTCTCAGATACCCAAAATGACGAGAAAATAGAATGCAACAGAGAATCAAGTGCATGGATGCTGACTGTTGCCACAGAAGTGTTTCTGATCGCTGGTGACCCTGAGTTTTGGTCCTGGTGATCCCTGACAAAAGACAGTAGTGACTGAACCCTGTGCAGGTAGGGAAGTGAAGGCAAACACTCCGTCATAAAACCAGTACTATGTGCCCAGTGGACTAGTGAGACAAAAAGGACACTCCTGAGGGAAGGGAAAAAATAAGCAGGTGTTCACTGAGCATTTGTATGGCAAACCCTATCTTCACATGTTTGGGGCATGATGTCACACTATCTGTTATCCTCAAAAAAACATACAAACAAGCCAACTTGATAATGTATTCGTTTTCTCAAGTCCTGACACCTGTCAGAGCCCATAAGAATACTTTCTAGGCTGGGCGCGGTGGCTCACACCTGTAATTCCAGCACTTTGGGAGGCCGAGGCAGGTGGATCACCTCAGGTCAAGAGTTTGAGACCAGCCTGACCAACACAGTGAAACTCCGTTTCTATTAAAAATATGAAAAAAAAATTAGCCGGGCGTGGTGATGCACTCCTGTAATACTAGCTACTTGGGAGGCTGAGGCTGAAGAATTGCTTGAACCCAGGAGGCGGACGTTGGAGTGAGCCGAGATGGCGCCATTGCACTCCAGCCTGGGCAAAAGAGCAAAAACTCCATCTCAAAAAAAAAAAAAAAAAAAAAAAGAAAAGAAAAAAAGAATACTTTCTAGAGAAATTCAAGTAAAAGTACCCTGAAGCAACTGTAATCAATAAAGTTTCAATGAAAAGGAGTTCACAAATTTAGAACAGTGTTTCGAAGCAGATGAGGTAACAAATAACCATGAATTAGACTGAGCAAAAAGAAAAAAATAGAGTCAGATGTTAAAAGACTTCAGCTATTGGAACACCATATGCAGAAGTTTTTAAAAAGTGCATTTAATAATTTAAAAGAAATAACAGTGAATTTCAAAGACCTAAATTACTAGAATAAATAACATGCAAAATTAATCAGAATGCAGCTACAAAGAGAGTAATAAAATTTGAAGAGACATGGAAAGACCACTAGACTAATAAGGTGTGTGTGTGTGAGAGAGAGAACAGAGTTTAGGAAGGAAATAATAGAATAGTTAGAAGAAGTAATATTTGAAGAGGCAGGCTAAAACTTTATTTTCTCAAAATTGATGGAGGATATTAATTCTTATATTAGAAAAGCTCGAGACACTAGACACATTTAAGTAGGAAAACAAAAACAAAAACAAAGACAAAGATGAACTTCCAGTATCGAGAAAAGATAGGTTATATATAAACAAAATATAGGCCAACAGCTGACTTTTCCTCAACCACAATAGAAACTAGAAGACTGGGAAATTATCTCCACAGTGCTGAGAATAAATAATTAACAAACTAAAAGTATAGCGTGAATGGAACTGTTTTTAAAAAATTAGAAAAAATAAATATATTTTTAGACAAATAGCCCTGAAAAGTTTATTACTAAGTCACCTCAAGGAGAACTTTAAAAGAATATACTTTTCAGAAGAAAATAATCTCCAAAGAAATATCTGAGATAAAAGAAGGGATGGGTAAAGAAAATTGGAAGCTTACAGGTAAGCCAAAAGAAGTATTGACAACATAAAATAGTAATTATCATAATGTCTAACTTGCAGAATTATAAAATGACATGAAACTAAAACACTAAGCAAGTATAAGCTATAAGTCCAGAAGGGAATAGTTGCATTAAATGTCTAGGCCCTTGTATTGTTTTGGAAAGACAATAAAAGTTCTCCAATCAGACTTTGTTGGGTTAAATATGCAAGTTAAAATTTCCAGTATATGCAAACAGAAAAAAAACTAGATAACTTTCAAAGTTATTATATAGAAATAGAAGAAAGTAGAAAAATTCCAAATAATGTATAAAAGGAATAAAACCAAAAGAATTGTTGATAATCACAGGCCAGAAAATTATAACCTAGCATGGTAAACATAAATTTAAATTTAAATATAACTGTATTCTCAATAAATGTAAATGACTCAGACTTTCTAGTTGCAGACAAAGATTGTCAGACTGGATTTTAAAATATGGGGGAGGAGGGAAATGTCATTCGAAAGAGACAATTAGCATAAGAACCAAGTTTGAAAGCAAAATAATGAAGTTAGTATCATGAATTAGCACTTAGTAGTCCATAGAAACAGAGCTATCGTGAAACAAATAAAGCCCTAAAATGGTTTGGAGTTTTGTTTACATTATTGAGAAAGGACTGTTGCGTTTACTGTCAAGTCCATACATTTCAAATCCAAATAAAATCAAGCTATCAGGCAGTGAAATCTATCTCATTTGAAACTGTGGAAGCAAAATATATCATCTAGAAGTTTGGTAATCTTTTTACTTATGTCACAAGCCTCTTTGTTACTGAACCACTGGTGTAAGTTTTGAAATTTTAAAGATTAATAATGTACAATAATAGTTTAGATATATATAAAACATATGCAAAAATTCCAAGAAGATATTAATAAACCCAACTTAGCAATGTATAAAAAGACATTCTGTCCTGACCAAGTTGTAGTTATCCTGGAGTTGCAAAATTGTTTATCTTAGAAAATTCCTTTAGTAGAATTTCTTTTTTGAAAAGAATAAAGAAGAAAATCTATGGGCTCATCTCAAAAGATTAAATGAAAGTACTAAAAAATATAATTTTAAGAATTTTTACATGTATTAATAATAACAAAACTATAAAGAGGATAGTTTACTAATATTATCAAGCCCTGTAGGTATAAAATTATAAATTGTATTGAAAGGAATAAAGGAGACCTAATAACTGCAGGGACATGCTTTCTTATGAAGACTCAGTGTTGGAAGGAAGTCAAGTTTTCAAAAGTGATTTGTGTGGATTCAATAAAATTTCTAAGATGTTTTATAAAACTGGATGAAGTGATTCTGATTTTTTAATGGATTCCTAAATAGTAATAAGAGGCAAGAAGTTGTTTTCTCTAATATTAAGCCTTATATTAAAAAAATAAGGCTAGAAAAAGGGACCCATAAAACAGAATAAAGTCTGCAAAGAGAGCCATGGGTATTATGAAAATAAAGAGATGATAAAAGTGACATTCAGACTGGGGAAAAATTAGTGTTAGAGAATTGGAACGAGGAGCAACATGATACAAAATTTGTTTCCTACTGCTTCAGAAAAAGTATTTCTTCAGGGGTTGAATTTTTAAATGTGGAAGGTAAAGTTTTAAAACCTTTAGAGAAAATATAGGGAAATTTCTTTCTGACCTCAAGGTAAGGAAAGATTTCTAAACTAAGATACAAAAAATAAAGAATAAGACTGATTGGCTTAATTATATTGAATTTAAGAACATAAATGCATTAAAATAAACTATAAAAAATTAAATAAGCTACACACTGGGAGGATATTTTTTAAAAATAAGGATAAGCATGCTAAATATATAAATAGTTATTTAAAAATCAATATTAAAGTAATAAACCCTCAATAGTATATTCAGAAGCAAAAATATGAGAGAGTAATAAAAAATGAAAAGATGTGCAATCTCACTAGGAAGGAGGGGACTACAATACAATCCCACTTAAGGACTGAAAGTCTGATATTATCATACATTTGTGAAGATGTGAAGCAATCCTCAAGCCCCATTGGAGGGGATATAAGTTGTTTTAATCATGTTGGGCCACCATATTATAGTACCTGGTAAAGTACCACATCACCTAAAATCCAGCAACCGCAGTCATGGGAACATCCCATAAAGAGTCTCTTGCACAGTTTTCCCCGGAGATGAGTTCAAAACTGTTCATAGCAGTGAAATGCTAGTAACAACTGAAATGTCCATGATTTGCCCACTGAATACGTTAATTATAGTATTCTTACATTATAGAACACTCTATAGCAATGAAAATTACTGAAATACACCTCAAACATAAAATTAAAAGCAAAATGTTGTGTGAAAAAGCACATCAGAGAAAATTATAATCACAGAAGAATGATGAAATTTATGAGAAGGCCAAAATGAGGCCAAACTAAAACATAATTATTTGGAAATGCATTTTTATGTAGAGGAAAGACAGTAGATTGATAGAGGCTGTTTCTTAGGTGGGAGAAGAAAAGAAGGTATAGGATTGTGAGGGGCACACAGGAGTGTAAGCAATGATGAAGACACTGGTTTTATTGTTCGGCTCAGCAGGGGGTGGTACATTGATGACTGTTTTATTGGAATTTAAACTATGATATGCAGTTATACATTATATATACTTATATATTTTTATATAAACAATATATTATATATTCTAATATATAATATACCAATATATTATTGTATATGGATACATTAATATATCTAATCTATTATATTCTAACTATATATTATATATCCTTTTGTATGTGTATTTTATAATATGATAGAATAAAATAAAATTTTAGGAAATAAATTTGAAGCTAACTGTAGAACGAATAAATAGGAGAAAGGAAGCTGACCACCTAGCGATGCCCCAGCCCAATCGGCACATTCAATCAAAGGCAAACTTGTAGTCCAACAAAATTGGATTTATTTGTTGCCCCATACATGGTATACATGGCATTATTATTACCACACAGCAAGGAAGACTGCATATCTGATGAAACATGGGGTTTCTTACCAAGCCAAGAAAAGAAAAAATAAAGATTGAGTTGTTCTAGGATTTGTGGGCAGGAGGGGATTTAGGTGGAATTTGAAAGATGCAGTATTTTTGAAGGCTCAAAGCAAATTAGGGCTCCATGCAAAGTGGTCAACATCAAGTCCAGACTGCAGCATGGACCTAGGACTCTGTTTCTTTGCAAACTGCAAAGTAGAGATACATGCGGAATGTTATGTTCAGAACCCTTATCTGAAGCTCTGGGTCTGAGCTGGAGGTTGAGGCTGCTTCTCTGTGTCAACGTGACTTAGATCATTCAAGCTGGAGGCAAATGTTTCATTCTTACTGATAAGGTTTCAAACAGACAGACTTCCAAGATTTAATGAAAGCTCAGTAAGAAAGCAGCAGTCACTCGAAAAATGGGACTGCTGCTTAGACACTACAACAGCAATGTGTGCTTGGGAGAAATGTTGCTTCCTGTTAACTTGGAAGCTGAGACTTTCTGTGTGTTTTATTCCAGCCTGATGAATGGGTGGACAAATTCTTACAAATATATAGTGAATGCTTACTTTCACAGTAGAAGAATGAGAAAATGTATTAAGAGGAGATGCAGATGGAGAACCTGAAGAGAACCAGAGATGCACATATTCAATGAGGATTTTCTATAAGTAAAGGCAAGATCCCCCAAATCCCACACTGGATCCTAGATTAAACAAAATTATAGCTACATCTAGACACACTAGGGTGGAACTTTGCACCTCAAAAAAAAAAAAAAAGAAAAGAAAAGAGAAAAAGTCCAAAATTCTGTAGAAGAAAAGATGGGTTGCTGACAATAATAATGGCATTTAGAATGGCATCAGATTTCTCATCAGCAAAAGCAAATGCCACATGGTAGCCAGTAATATCCACGGGCTTTTCCGCAGAAGTTCCGTGAACCCTCAACAGTGCCAGTGACCTAAGAAGAGAATTCTAGAAAGGCAAAAACAAAAAATAATAATTTTATATTTATGATGACAGAAAACCTTACTTAATAACCTGTTTTGTTTTGAGCCATTTGTATGGCACGTGAGATAGGCATTAATGAAAGCAGGTTATTGCATAAATTTAAAGTAAGACAGCCCAAACAACAACTTAACCAGAAATAAAAACTTCTTTCTTCTGATTTCTGATTTCTATTGAGAATGATTCCATGATGATGCCTACCATCTAAATCTTCTATATCATGTTTGCCTGTCCTGTAGCTTTGTGTTTCTTCATTTCTAGACCAGAGATGAGGAAAATCTATTTAGACTTTGTGCTTTCCATGAGCTCTACCTTAGGCTTATCCAAGCAAATAACATTGCTGTGTGAATTTTAAAGAGGCAATTAACCTCACGTTTTAAAATCCCAAAGGCCAAATTTTTATAATGGAATATATCATAGGACTAGATATATGATAGTTACTGAACATTTGTATGTACTCAGTATTGGGATTAACATTTAATGTATGCTATTTCATTTAATCTCTACAACAATGATGTGTGAGCTATTTTGTCTCTCACTTTAAAAATGACAAAAAAGATTTCAATAGTTATTTTTCAAATGATTGTAGAACCAGGGGCAGGGTTTGGAATTTGAACCCAGGGCCATGTCACTTAAAAGCTTATGCCTATCACCATTGTGTTATATTAAGACTTGGATTTTCCATGCAATTTTCTAGCAAGTTCTCAGATGGAAAGTGCAATTACAGGACAAACAGGTTGAAAAGAGATATCCCTGCAACTGTGTTCTTCAGACCTTGTCCTGAGTTCCGTGCCTAGAGAGCACAGCACTGCCCCAAATCCACTGTGTTATAAATGTTTCTCTACCTCCCGATGACCTCCCTCTCCAGTTTGCGTCTGTAAAATCTGGCCCTTCTTAGCTTTTGAGAATAGATTCCCCACCAATGGAGAGAAGAATGAGATCTCAGGATATCAGATAAACTAAAGATAGATAGAGAACACCTCACTGCTTCTAAAAAAGTCAATGTGAACCATCATTCTCATGTGAACTCTGATTGATAATCACCACAAATAGACACTGACATCAGAGATCACTTTGATAAATGCCAGCAGGCAAAAGAGAATGCTGCTTAGATTTTTAACACCATATTGCACTGAGAATATCCACAGGCGGGATATATAAAAATACAAATTCAGATTATAGCAAATCCACGTAATGCAGAAGCTATGGTCAAACGGTAAAAGAGAGAAAATTGAATCTTTTATAGGTTGTAGTTTACATTTATACATAGTCCATTCTTTTTTGATTTTTAAAATTTCTTTTTATTATCTTTTTTGTTTGTTCTAACCCACCAGACAAAACATGGATTATTCTAAGCAGTGTTTAATAATGATAAAAATAATAATTAGTGTTTAATCTCATTCTCATTAGTGTTTTCTATTTTATAAAGCATAAATCATCAGTGTCATGCAGGTTGCTGTCCGTTGATCCTTATAGGTGCATGACCAGAGCTCAGTTCATTAGCACCAGCAGAATTTTTGAACTGTCTCTGTAGAACCAAACATGAAAGGTGCATGGAAATGCCACTGTAGGTAGGCTGGAAGGTCTATACAGAGCCATGGGTTGGAAGACATGTGCTAGACTTGAAGGGTTCCAGAACATCTGAGAAATGAAGTATCACAGCCTTGCTTTTTGTTTTGTTCTTAACAGGTGAAAAAGTTGAAGCTTTGTGTTATTAAGAGATTTACTGAAGCCACGTTCCTGACATAGCCCCAATGTACATGCAGCACGGCTCCCTCCAGGGCCTGTTGCGGTCACCCAGCTCTTGCTCCAGCCAAGCCTCAGCCTTCTCTCTGATGGAGATTTGAAGATAATGTGAGTTGCTTATGGTGTTAAGATGAACTATGTAGAAAAAAACTATTGATCTGTATGTCAATAATTAGATGACAAGTTATAGCCTCCCCCAAATGTTACAATGCATGAATTTTTCTCAAAAAGCATTTATACATTTAAAAAAGATGAATGATGTTGGCATTATGGTGATCCTTTCATTTCTGTTGCACTAGAAGTAGTTTGGTTGTTCTTTAGATTGGAGAGGGGAGTAGGGAAATACCTTCCAGATGTCCTTAAAAATAAAGTGAAAAGATCTGTATGCTAGATGGATCTTGGCTGAAGGATCATAGTACAAAAAGTGCCTCAAATATAAATCATCTTGTGATTAGATTTTTAACAAGCCTTCCAGGTAAACCAAATGACAGCACTCAGTGTCTTAGTAAATGGTTTCAAAGGATTAGTTTCCCTAATAGTTTGCTTCCTCTGACCTGGCACAGAGTTCTCTTTGCCCCCTGGAGATGATATACATTTTCCCATGCTCACAGAGAACAGGATGAGTCAACAAACTTTAGCTAGAAACTCAGCCAGCGAGGTTTCTGCCCTCTTGAGTAAGAACTTCACTGGATGCTCACCTGGAACTTCTAATTGAAGCCCTTCTCTGACTCTGAACAATGTCACCAGTGGTCCAAGATTCAGAAAAATTGCCCTATATGTGATGTGTGCAAAAATTAGGCTTGGGAATTGTTCCTAAAATTTACTGTTATCAACACCGGAATTTTTAAAATTTCAAAGATTCTTTCTTTTTTTTTTTTTTGAAGTATGTGCTTATATTGAAAGTGATTACATATAAATATAAATATAAATAATATTAATTTTTGTTTTAAAGAAAATCATCTTTTTCTCATTATCTTAGGACTAGTTAGGTATCCATAATCCCACAACAGCCACAAAGAAAAAACCATCTTCAGAAAAAAAGATATTTACTATTTCAAGTATAACTTTACCCAGACTGTAGCATTGCTTTAAATAAAGTTAACACTTCAAGAGAAAACAACATGTTTTACTAAGGAAATTTACTATAATATATAATTTATTTTCAATTAAGTTTTTACTAAATAAAGCATTAATTGATTTTTTCTATTTTATTAAAGTAAACTTTTAACTTTAAAAAATATTATACCATTATTTTAACATAAAAATATTATTTGCATGTTACTTTGTCACAAGCGTGTATCCATTTATAATTATATATAATGTAATATATTTTTATTTTATTTTAGTTCTTAAATAAAATATTTATATAGTTTCACATTTTCAACTACATATAGGTGTGTGTGTTCAGTTTATGGCTATGTGTGTCATACATTTCTCATTATACTTCTCATTTTATGATGTTGAGAAGTTGAAACCCTGAACACTTGGTGGGAATACAAATTGGTACAGCCATTATGGAAAAAAGTATGGAGGTCCCTAAAGAATGAAAAATAGAGCTACCATATGAGCTGGCAATCATGCTTCTGGGTATACATCCAAGAGAATTGAAATCGGGATTGGGAAGAAATACCTGCACTCCTTTGTCCGCTGCAGCATTAGTCACAATATCCAAGACATAGAAATAAACCAAATGTTCATCGATGGATGAATGCATAAAGAATATGTGGTATATATACATAATGGAATACTATTCAGCCATAAAAAGAAGGAAATCCTATCATTTGTAACAACAGAGATGAATCTGAAGGACATTTTGCTAGTGAAATAGGCCAAACAAAGAAAGACAGACACTACATGAGTCCACTTTTACCAGGAATCTAAAATAGTCAAACTCATAGAAGCAGAAAGTTGAACAGGGGTTGTCAAGGGCTTGGGGGAGTGGGAAATGAAAAGTTGTTGTTCAATAGGTATGAAGTTTCAGTTACACAGATGAATAAGTCCTACAGTTCTGCTGAACAGTATTGTGTCTATAGCTAACAATACTGTATTGTGCACTTATAAATGTGATAAGTGGCTAAGTCTCATGTTAACTGTTCTTACCACAATTTCAAAAAACAAACATTTAAAAATAATAAATAATTTTGCAATAAAAATTATCATAATGTATACCTTCCAGCTTCTGCTGAATTATTTCTCTTGCTAGCTTCCTAGGACATATCTACCATGTGGCATGATTTAAATATTTCAGTGGCTATTGCCCCGTATTTCTATTCTCCAATTCGGAAAGATGAGTCACTTCAAAATGTCCCCAGAAAATTATATGCACTTCTGTTTTCACCTCCTCATCCTCTCTTTCCATGACAAGAAGCTAAAGGCTGAGGCTTTGATGACAGTTGATCCATGGAGTCGTGGTGCGTGAGGGCTGGAGGATGGAGCCCAGAGTGACCAATAGTCAAAAAGGGAGTTCCTCATGGCCCTCAGGAGGCAAGGGGGTTCCCAGAAGACAGCTTCAGAAAGGGAACTCATGTTTTGGGATGTCAGTTTTTTTAGAAAAGTAACTGACAGTGCTTCACTCACACCCATTTCCATAGCTGCTCAATTACCTTGAGCCACATATTTCAATGGAAATGACATGGGGCCCAAGCTGTGTGCACGAGACCTCACATCTCAGCCCTTCCTTGGCCACGTGGCTCTGAGAAAACCACCTGTCCAAGTCTCAGCTCCTCCCTCAACTTGTTCCTGTGCAGATCTGTGATAGTCTGCAGATACACCTAACATGATGCCTAGAGTATGGCAGAGACACCAGAGTGGTCATAGCAATGAAAGGAAACCATGTTCCTAACACTATCCCAAACCATGACCCCAACTCCCAGACCCATATCCCGTGTTCCATAAATAAACCTATTACTTTGCTTTTATAATCTAACCATGCCTTTGGCAACTTTAGTATTCTCCTTTCTCTTAAGGCCCAAGTTTTTCTTAATTCTTGTCTGCAATATATGTTCAATTGGTTTTGCAAGTCCATATGCTTTTCTGAGCTGGTCATCCCTCAAGTGCCCCTGTCAAAGACTCTCAGGTACAATACTCTGAGAAGGAAGCCATTATTCTCAGTCCTGGTTAGGTCGGAGCTCAGAGGGGCCAGCATTCAGTGGATAGAAGTTAGAGTTTAATGGCTGTGGACTCAGGACTTGATCAGAGAAAGGAAAGATGGCCAATGGGGATAGGTGTTGATAGTGGTCAGCAGATTCCATGCACTCAATTGACACAATGGCCCTGTGAGGTGGGGTACTATTTATTGTCCATTTTATAGATGAGGACGTTGAGGTTCAGCAAGTTTATATAGTACTGCAAGTCACATAGTAGACAATTGTGAAGCCATCACAATTGGCCAAGCATTAGTTCCATTTCACTCTATTTCATTTATTCTGGTCTCCAATTCATCAGGCTTCACTGGTTCAGATGAGTACCTACCCACTAATGGCCAGGCATAGCTGCAAACCCATGATCCCACCCCAAATCACCATAATTGTCTCCAGGATGAAAGGTAAGCAGGATCAAGAGGCCCCATTGCCCTTGGCTCAAGGGAGATCTTTAATATGCTGCAGTAACCCTTTTATTGACTACATGGGTTTTGGAGCTGAGACCTCAAATTTATGATATTCTAAATCCCTACCAATCTCTTCCTGCTCTGAAATCTCATGGAATTTGCAGTAGTGAGATAAGGCAGAGTGAATTGTGTCATCATAAATATCTGGGTTTTATTTCCAGCTTTTCTTAGAAATATCTCTATGATATGGGGAAAGTTATTTAATCTGGCTGAACCTCAGGTTCCAGCCTTGCTTCAAAGGGTCGTTATCAAAACAGAACAAGATAACAAACCTGAAATCACCCAGCACTTTCTGCATTGATAGATATGACAATTTCCTGTTCAGAAAAGTACCTATTATATACATAAACACCTCTTTAACAACAGAAAAAAATGAGGTCATTTTCTTTATATATAAATAGCTACCTGATTAACTAACTAGGCTCTGCATGAATGTTTATTGAATTAATAAAACAGGAAAATAAATGCGTAAAACCAAGAGCATGTACTGCATGTAAGCCCCACTTGGCAGATGCCCCAGGACCTTCCGGATCATCTCGTGTTGTACTTAGAGAAATTCCCAATGGAGCTTTATATGGTGCCTTTGAAAAATGTCTCTTCCTTAGAACACATGCAGTGCAATACAACAAACACTTTTTCTCGATGGTAATATTTGGAATTGTTACTTCGAGGATTTGTCTAGGGTCAGTCAGAAGATTTATCCTCCATGGCAGGTTTCTGTGTTCACCAGAAGAAATAAGTCCTGGCCAGAGGAGGCCATTAACCTAAAGGCTTGGAACACAAGGCTTCAGCTAAGCTTCTATTGGAGCTATTGACAAGAGCTTACAAAAACATTGAGTTTGGGGTTTGTTTTCCAGAAATTCCTTCCTGTATCTTATCTGAAGCAAGTATATTATAACAAATAACACTGCAATACATACACATGCAGACATTCACACAATATACACACATGCAGATACACATCACACAGATATACACACGTTCACAGATACAGGCATAGGCGCACACACACACACACAGAACAATTTTTCCAGCAATTGGAGATGATGGATTTTGATAATATTGCATGGTGAAAATAAATCAAAGTAATTTTTTGCCCATATTGGATAATGTCTAACACACAGTGTTTTCTTGACATTTTTGAGAGATTGTTGAGTAAAAGCAGAGGGGCTTATCCTTTTTGACCCCCTCCAAAATGCCACTATCCAACTATTAATTATAGATTTGGGGGGACTGAATTGACCCCTGTTTTAGAACTTGTTAAATTCACTAAAGCATTGCTTAAGCCTACCCTTCTGTTAGCCTAATTTGCCAGCCGAGTAACATTTTAGAATATGAGTGGAAGGTCATATTTTTCCAGAAGGTTTTTCTTAGAACCTTGTTTCAAAGAAAAGCAAAGCTTCCTGGTACACAAGATGAAAGACTTAAAAAAAAACTTGTGACGAAGACTCTTTGGACATTAAATAGCTTATTAAATAGCTCTTTGATGAATTACAGTAAGTGTAAATAAATAAAAAACATATGGATTGGATTTCTTTTGAAACATAAATGGATTTGAATTACAAAAAAAAAACTTGTTTTAAAACAACAAACAAACAAACAAAACTCTAGAAATACAGAATATGCTATCTCTGCTCCGAAAATGTCCCATGTTGATTTTCAACTTACATAAAATCTAATTATGAGGACATAGGAAAAAAGTCAGTGATTCTGGATATTTCTTGGTTATGATTCAAAATAGATGTTTATGAATGTAGATTGCACTAAGAACATTGATATATTTTTAAGATAAATGATTGTTATTCACTGTCTGACTCAAGTATGTTCTCAGGTTGAAAAAAGATACACCATTTTCTTTAGATCATTAAAACCAGATAGATTTTTATCATTTCATGCATAAGAGTTTCATATAGTAGATATACTTCATTTGCACTGATTTTCTAAAAGATTTGTATTAATTTTATTTTTAGATTTTTTAATGTTTTTTTAATGTTTTTGTATTTTCCTACAAAAAAAAAGTATTACCAGTTATTTAGAATCAAGGTATTTTCTGGTAGAATTAAGAAACCTCCAGCAACTCTGTTTCCAAATGAGAAATCTCTGGAGTTTGTGAAAGAAGCAAGAATGCGGCTTATAAATAACCAGGAAATTGGCATGAGGCTCACTTGTCTGGCTTGCAGGAACTTTTCCTAAAGATTAAATTTTGGTTCTATCTAGTTTACATTTCTGTTTTTTTTTTTTCTCATGCGAAGATCTATTTCACATAAAATGCTTGGTATATTTGAAATTAGATAAAGGGGGAAAACCAAAATTTGGGTTTCCCAGAAAATAATAATTATAATCATGAATGGCAATAACACATAATGATCTCTATTACTCACATAGTGCCTACTCTGTGCCAGTCACTGTGCTGATTTCTATATATGCTTTGCCTTACTTAATGTTCACAGAAAACTCATAAAGTAAATAGCATTGTCTTCATTTTGTAGTTGAAGAAGCAGGCTCCTTCAGAGGTCCTGGCAGCCTGAAGAAGCCACCTGCTAAGTTCACTCTGACTTGGGACCATCCCAATATATGGGCAGCTTAGAAAACCCTCATGCCTGGGTGGCCAACCTTCCATTTTTCTTATTTTCCTCAGCATGAATGATCTGGCAGGCATTTTGACTAACACACATGTGCCAGGGATTACAAAATTAAAAGGGAGCCCAGGGAGACAACAGGAGTAGGAGAAGCATTTTCTAATGGCTTCAAGTTCTAAGCATCCAGCAAAGCAGAATCACTAGTTATCATTATGCTTGCCACCTGTGCAATTGACCCACTGGCTGGGATGTGGTCTAAGAGAAGAAACGTGTGCCTTCTGCTGGATCTTTTGGAACTCCTCCAAGATAAAAGGAATTCTGACACCACATTCAGCAGTATCAACTTCAGGGAGGTACTACAGAAACACTCACGGATCTCAAGTGAGTCCTGGTAGGATTCCAGTTAGCTGAGAACATTTGTTCTTGGAAAGAGCTTTATTGAAAGGACATGGATTCCCAAGGGGACTTTTTGGTGACTTCCTAGGAAGTCTCTGAACTTTCAGAAACTTATGTAGGGTGGCCTGGCATGGGTGTGTTAGTTTATCATAGGTCTTCCTCTGGCATCAGCTCACAGCATCAGCGAGAGTGTGACCAAACCTTTCTTGTGCACAATTCATGATTGTACAACTGAAATGCTTCGGAGTTGTTTTGTAAAGGTCATGTACTTATCCCATGAGAAGAAGAAAATAAAATCTTTTTCATTCAAAAGGAAAAGTCATGTTGACAGTGTGAGAATATCAAGCCTCTTCTCAAAGAATGTTTCTATCCCTTGTTGGAAACCTGGAATAATCATCCTCTTATATTTTTATGGCACTTTACGGTTTATAAACTTTTATTTCCATTATCTGATCATATTATCATCTAGGTTGAATTCTCCAGAATGGTTTTGCAACTAACTCCATATTCCTTGATTTGTGAGTCCATGTAGCCCGAAGAGATACATCTGAGTGGCCAAGCCCAAAGACTCAGGATGGTGAAAGATGCCCCGACCACATGGCAAGTTGTTGCATGAATTACTCTTGGAGAGGCACAGGCAATGAAGTTTGTACTTAGTTTTAATATGTACTTACTAATGCTGGGCGCGGTGGCTCACACCTGTACTCCCAGCACTTTGGGAGGCCGAGATGGGTGGATCACTTGAGGTCAGGAGTTCGAAACCTGCCTGGGCAACATGGTGAGACCCTCTGTCTACTAAAAGTACAATATGTACTTACTAATTACATAAAAGTTAGGAACCAAAGTCTTGAGGCGTCATTTTCTCAATTAGAAAGTGTAGATACTAATGCCTACATCCCAGGACAGCCAGGAGGAAGACATGGGATGCATATTTGTGAATTCACTTTGAAAACCATCCCGGGATTTAGCTAGCACTCTAATGTTTCCTCTTTGGGCCCAGCAGTGGGCTGAGAGCAGTAAATATTGACTGAACAAATGAAAAAAAAAATGTAGTACCAATGATGGACTTCATTACCATGATTAGGAAGATTATGTAAATAATCTATAGCTTTCAAACTATGATCATTTACATATATATCTTTGAATTATTAAATGGTCAGTCTAAGTGCCCACAGTGAACCTCTTGTTATTACTCCTTCCTAAATAAATTCCTACTTTTTGGAAAATATCACCACTATTCTTCAAGCTGGAAACAGAAAGACATCTTTGACTATTTTTTCTTTAACTCCTGGATCTAAGCCATCTATAATCCTGTCAAGTCTGTCTTCAAAGTTTATGCAAGTTAAAATTTAAAATACTTTTGTTTCTGGACATATTACCTTTCATCTATCGCCTTGACCATAGAAGCGCAGAATTCAAGAAGCCCAGGGCTTGCTTGTGTGGTTCATTGCTGTATTCCCAGCAATGAACAGTACCTTAGAACAGTACCTGACACTTAAAGCCATTCTACTATTATTTGCTTAAAGAAGGAATAAATTAACCATATTCTACCTTTCTATTACTTATCAACATATACAAGCATATTTATCTAACTTATCCAGCATTTAAACCTCATTAGACTGAGCAACATTGACAAATGAATGTCATATTTTCATTTTCTTGCTGAGTACAAAATTCTAAGCCATTATAGAGAGAGCAAGATTAGTTTTCTCACCTCCAGGAGATTAAGACCTATTTGAAGAGCTGCCAAATTAGAATATAACTGTTACACAAAACTTGTGTGGGGTGTGTGTGTGTGTGTGTGTGTGTGTGTGTGTGTGTAGTTCTATGCAATTTTAAAACATTGGTAGTTTTGTGTAACTACTACCAAAATCAAGATGCACATCTGCTACAACACTGCAAGACTTTCTCCGGTTACCCTTATGGAGACTCCCAAACCTTAATGTCTGGCAACGACTGGCCAGGGGTTCCCATTATTTGGAGAGAGTTATGTAAATTGAATGATACAATATGTAGTCTTTTGAGAATGCCTTTTCGTAAAACTCAAAGTAATATCTAGAAATCTGTCCAAATTGATGCATATTTCAGTGGCCCATCCTTTGAGTAATATTCCACTGCTAGTACTTGGAGATAGTTCTGTCCATTTATCTTTTAACAAGGGTGAAACACAGGCTTGCAGAAACCTCACTGAATGATCAAAATACAGTTGGGATGTGGTTCAGGAATGCCCACTGGAGAGGTTAGGTCAATGTAGATGAAAAGGCAGTTTCAGCAGGGTTGCCAATTTTGTGTGAAGACACCTCTAATGCTACATAAAATTGAGCAAAACTTAGTGAATAAAAAATTAAAAGGCAAAGATTAAGAACAAAGAAATAAACATATTATGATTCAATTTATACAAACAACATTTTATTGAAAATAGGTAGACTTAAAAAGAAACAGACACATATTATGCTTTAATTTGAGGATTATGAAAATTGTTCGTAATTAAATCAATTTTCCAGAAGTAATGTCAATTTCACTGAGTTATTAATATATACATGTCTTCATACAGAGGAGAAAGATGCAAATGGTGCAAATTCAGGGACAGATACATTTTTCTATGAGTTTAATTATCAAATAAAATATTGCTGAAATGATGTCATTCTATGGTACCTACAAAGATTTTAACCAACTTGAAAACTTTTTGAAATATTTCTTCTTCCAATTTTACAAGATAAATTCTCTTCTTCAAATTTAAAGAACATGATATACAGTCATTTGTTGCTTAACAATGGAGATATCTTCTGAGAAATGTGTTGTTGGTGATTTCATCATCATGCCAACATCATAGAGTGTGCCTCCACAAACCCAGATGTATAGCCTACTACACACCTAGGATATTGCTCCTGGGCTACAAACCTGCACAGCATGTTACTCTACTGAATACTGTCAACAACTGTAACAGAATGGTAAGTGTTTGCATATCTAAACATAGTGCAGGTACAGTAAGAATGTGATAGTATAATCCTATGAGACCACCAAAACGTGTCAGTGGTGCATGACTATATATAGCATATGTAAATGTCTGTTTATTACATATATATTCCTTATGTATTATATATAATCGATATGTATATGTATAAACTATGTGTATATATAAAAATTATGTACCTATATAATTCTAATAGATAAAAGTGTATATATTATGTATTATAAAACATATACATATATAACTATATATGTTTACATGTTTATAAGCAATTATACCTACATTATATTATAAAACTATATACATGATGGAAAAAATATATAAATATACATGCCATTTATAATTACTGAACAATGAATTTTTAAGTATTTACTTCCTGGGCAGCGGAAGGGCAGAACTGAGAGGAGATACAAGTTTTCAAAAATTCCCTAATGTGATGTAATGAAAAAACTTGTGTGTTAATTAAAAAATGTCCTTAAACTTCTCAGCATGGAAGCCATGTGGCAGCAGGCCCTGGCCTGCGTAAATCACAGCTGCAAGATTACTGAGTTTCTGGATTTACAACAAAGCAGACCCAGGATGACGACAAAAGCTTTAGAATTTCAAAATTTTTAAAAAGCCATGCTGAGACTTTAGCAAGAGAAGGAAACATACGAATGTCCAGAAACCATATCTGGCCCCACAGAGGACTTCATCAATACTAGCAGAGAGCAGAAAGATGGGGAGTGCAAGGGCTCAGAGAAAACAAAAATAAGCCATTCTCAGAACTAATTTATTTTAAACCAATCAATCAAAGTTTTCTGGAGCCCAACAAACCACCTATACCACATCCTGTGCATGATATTTTATTGCTAGATTTATGTGAATGGAATGAACACAGGGTCAGACTTAAAGAGTAAGGCCCTGTTGCAAGAAGCAGGATGCTCTTTGATTTCCTCCCAGGGTTTGAGCAGTGTTGCAGCACCACTGAGATTGATTGGGAGACAGGAGAGCTCCAAATAGCTTCAGAGCAGCTGTCAGCTTCAGTCTGTCTCTGCAAAGACTCACTCACAGAAAGAGAGAATTAGTATAGACGCTCCGTAGCTCTAATAGTTCATGTTTCCTACTTTGGAAATAATTGGTATTCATTGGAGAGAAATACGTAAGTAATGATGTGAGAAACTAAGCAATGTGAAAAGTGGTCCCCATTGAAGTATGCTCATGATAGTCAGCTCTACAGTATTTGATGAACCACACACTCTTATTTTATTGCTCTTCTTTTTCTTCATTCGGTCAGTATTCTGAGAATTTGCTATGTGCCAGGCACTGCTACAATTATTATACATACAAAAACAGTTAAGACATGGACTCTGACTTTAAAAATCTCATGGCCTGATGAGGAATGCCAATCAATAAGTAGATAATTACAGCACAGAGTGATCAATGGATGCCATAACAGAGAGGAGTGCAGACCACAGCAGGAGGAGAGGAAAGGCATCCCCTGACTTTGAAGGCCCTCTTCCTTAATATTTCTTGGTGTCAGCATCTGGTTCAAAATCTCTCTATCCTTCCTTGCCTATTTTTTCTTCCTTCAAAGATCATTGAATAACTTCATCTTAGAGTTTCATGAGATATATCCCCATTTTCTTTCTGTCTTTTTCAAAATGACCCATCCCATGGTCCTCATCTCTCAGGCCACGCTTGTAAGATAAGGCAGTGTCTGGTGGGAACATTTCTTAGGAGGTCAGAAAAACCAAGTAAGATGGGCTGGGTTGATTTCTCAGGAAGGCTGAAACCATAGAAAGACACTGTAGGAAAAAAAAGCTACAGTTGCATTTGGGGAAGTTGTGCAGAGCCAGGACTAGATAGAAATATGTTCCCCAGATTAGAAGTCAGGAGAAGTAGGTACAAATTGAAGTACAGAATGAGGTGTAGGTTTCAACAAGTGGTTCAGAACTGAGACCACAATGTTCAGCAGATGTAAAGGTTATGTCTTTTTTTTTTTTTTGGAGACAGAGTCTTACTCTGTCGGCCAGGCTGGAGTGCAGTGGCATGATCTTGGCTCACTGCAACCTCCACCTCCCAAGCTCAAGCAATTCTCCTGCTTCAGCCTCCCAAGCAGCTGGGATTACAGGCACGCACCACCATGCCCTGCTAATTTTTGTATTTTTAGTAGAGACAGGGTTTCATCATGTTGGCCAGGCTGGTCTCGAACTCCTGAACTCAGGTAATCCACCTGCCTCAGACTACCAAAGTGCTGGGATTACAGGCATGAGCCACCACACCTGGCCAAGGGTTATGTCTTTAAATGAAGTTGGCTGTCAGGTTGATGGGCGATGCTCCAAGACTAGGCAGAGTTTGGAAAAATGATAAGAGTTGTGCCATAAAGGATCATGTCCTGGTTGTTAGTCAGTTGTAGGTGTGGTTCCAGAGGTCATCCACAGAGGGGCTTCAGTTCTGATTCACCCTCTTGAATCCCATTCTGCTACTGAAACACTTTTAGCTGTAGGGTTGAAAAGGCACCAGGGTTCTCACAGGCACGAGGATAGCTGGACCTCGTCATGGTTCCCATGAAGATCCTGCTGATGACAGCTGTAGATAAAACCTGAGAGAAGTGGGGCCAGCCAGGACTGGTAGACTCTTCCACCTGTACACGGATATATTCCATTCATTCTCTCCATAGCTCCTGATTGCACAGGCATTTAAGGAAAGAATTGTGTTAATGAACTGAGACCTACATGCCATTAAAGTGTCCACTAAAATGGGCAAACCACTCACTGAATATATCAGGAAAAAGTATTATGGTCTATATTAGAAGACCTATTCAATAGGATAGTTTGAATTTTATTTATTAATTAAACAAACACTTATTGAGTACTTCTTATGTCTCTAATCATCTAAGGCATGGAGATACAGGAGTGAAGAAAATAACACAAAACAGGGGCTAGGGAAGACATATAGAAACATGAGTAAATTGTTATTATCTTCTGAGAAGTTTGATAGAACGGGTGTCATTTTGATTTTAGGGGATCAGCTTTTTGACTTCGGTGACTACCCCACAATCTCCCTCCTATTTCAGAATCACAGACTTGAGTGCCTCTTGAGGCTCCCCTTGTTCCCAAGGGCTTTATCCAAATACCCTGGTTGCAGAAGCTGTTTTAAGAAAGTTATACTAGTTTATACCTTCTAGCATATTCTTCTAGAAGTAGAAGACAACTGGCTATTTGCTTCCAATAGAGTTAGATTAAAATAAAATCTTGACTTTGGAATTACAGACCTCAGTTGGAAACCACGTTTCTTTTTCTTTTGGCAGCCACTTGACTTAGTTTCAGTTTTCTAATCTGTAAAATAAACATACTGTTAATAGGTATCTGGCTGCACTGCTATAAAGTTAAAATGCAGCAGCTAACATAAATACATTCTGTAAAATATAAATCACTAGTCAAAACAGGGCAACATTAACTGTCATAATTAATAATAGCTTGCCTAGTTATGTTATCTTTGAAAGAGGAAAAAAAGAGAGATGCTTCCTTGCAAAGGGAAGGGCCTCTACACACATTTCAGAAAACAGACGTTTCTAAGATCAGACATGGAGTGTATCTTTCAGCTCCCTGATAAACACAGCACAAGTAAGAACAAAGTGCCTTCCATGGCTCCTTATCTGCTGGCGGAAAATGTATGCTGATTGGTTAGGAAAGAAGTCTTAAATGTTTAAAGCCATCAGTCACATGTGTGTTATTTTTTAAAAATTAAAAACATGAAAAACATTAATTCAATGCATGTTTATAGAAAGTCTACTACCATTGTTTTTGTGCTAAAGTTTTAGAGAATATGACCCAGTTACTATTTTCAAGAACACACAGCCCCATGAGGGACAGAGCCATGTAAACAGTAGGAAGCACCGGCTGGCGGTCAGAGCTCTCCTGGGACTGGGTACGCAATGTTCTCAAGCCGCTGGCTGCTGACTAACGGGCTAGAAGGGACGAGGTTCGGGCTGCGAGGAAGGAAGGCATTCCCCAGAGCAAGGGCACGGATCCACGCCTGCTACTAGGC